>NC_000005.10:171518899-171821930 GCF_000001405.40 Homo sapiens | reverse complement strand
AGTTAGGATTTGAATTTAGCTCCTTTTGACACTAAGACCATTACATTCCATGACTACACGTGCTGTGCCCTTGCTTTGGGACACCTTTTTTTTTTTTTTTTATAAAGATGGTTACTCCGCTTTGGAAAAGGTCAATGGAGGGACACACTGCAGCCTGGGGAAATTTTTTTTGGAGCTGTTGTCTCACAGGATTTTTTTTCTTTTCATGAACTTAGTTCAGCCAAGGGTGCTTTGAGAGGCCAATTTTCAGTCTCGCCCCCCATTGAAACTCAGAAGAACATGAACCAGGGCCAGCGAGCTTGCTGGGTGAACTTGGAAACAGTGGCAATTGGTCAGAGTTGGCCTGTCTCTAGCTCCCTGTGTACTAGTGGAGGGATGTTTGTTGTTTCAGTGGCCACCGAGCAGAACTCAGGGAGAGGGTGTGGAGCCCTCAGAGGCCAGGCAGGCTGAGAGGATGGCATGTGTGCACACCACAAACCAGCTTCCAAACATAGCCACAGTTCAGGGGAAAAAACCCCAACCTGACTTCATAAGCTCTCCTGATGGATATATAAATCCTCTTGAGGAAACGCTGGGTTATTATTGAATGTTCACTGTGTTTCCTGGATGGAGTTTGGAAGAGAGTAGACAACTCAACTTTTGTTCGGCAGGAACTTGGAAGACAGGGGATGGGGCTCTGTAACCCACCTACACATACATCTTTCAGCATGGAGCGTCTGTTCAATATGCCCTCACCTAGAGCCCGGTCCTGCGTGAATATGCTCATGCACTGAGACCTCGGGCAAACCTGGGGGCTGAGGAGCCTTATCCAGATTGCACAGGTGAGGCCATGGGTCCCATGCCGGTGAAGAGACTCACATCAGCTCGTACAATCTGATGGTGCTGGAGTTAGGATTTGGATCTCAAACTGGTTCTCTCCAAAAGTCATCTCTTAACCACTCAGTTTAATTGCCTCATCACATAAAATTACCTCACCTGGAAGAAATGCCCTGTTCAGGTATGTATTCAGATGGTGTGGGCCGGGGCCAGGAGGAGGGCAAGCATGCAAGTGAACTTTCGTATTGAGCTGACCTGTTCATGAGCCTTCTCTGCCATGAAGGGAACCACCCCCCTCCCCCACTCCTGGCCCGCCATGAAACTGACGGAGAGGTATGGGTATGACATTGCTGAGCGGGATGGTGGCTGGGCCACCTGTGCGTGGAGCTGAATTGTGCATTCTGGACCTGCTGTTGCTCAATCTGGAATGTGCCACTCCCATCATCTTACGACAGGCTATAGCTGGGCCTGTCCAACTTCGTGACTTGATGGATCATGACGGGCAGTTCTGGTTGCGTGTTCACTTGATATTTCATGGCCAAGTGCTTCGTAATGAGCAGACAAATAGTAAGCCAGGAGCTGTTTGTTGAAAGGTACATAGCTCTCCACCACAGATAGCACGGTCTTGTTCTGGAAGCCCAGGGAACTATGCTGTGATTCTTCTACTGGGGCCTTCAGTAAACTCCTCATGGCGCCTTCTTTCTCTTATGGAAAACTCTAATATCGGAGGCCCGGCGGAGTCATATGGCCCAAGTGGCAGGGCTGCTTGCTCACAGCCCGGACCTGCCGCCCAGCCCTTTCCTGCTCTGGGTCCCATTCGCACCTGGAGACTTCTGTGTCGCTCAGTAAACTGTTTCGGAGAAGTTTCCCCAACTGTGGAATCTGCTGCCTCCAGACCCCAAAAAGGCACACCAGGCTTTGTGCTTCCTTTTGAGTGGTGGGAGGTGGGAGATGCTTTAATTTGTCTTTTATTTTGGAGGGGATGGCCCCTTACATAGTAAGGCCCACTCTTCCGTGCTTAGGACTAAAAATGTCACCAATATAGGGGGTTGTTGATTTTTATTTTTTTAAGAGGCAGAGTCTCACTCTGTTGCCCAGGCTGGAGTGCAGTAGTGCGATCATAGCTCACTGCAGCTTTGAACTCCTAGGCTCAAATGATCCTCTTGCCTCAGCCTCCGGAGTAACTGGGATTATAGGCATGAGCCACCACACCTGGCTGAATTTTTAAGGCTCATTTTCCAACCTCTAGAGCCCATGTGTCTTGTGAGAGCCTCTTGCCTACTTGGCACTTCTTGCTCATTTAGTTTGACTAATACAACGTCATCGAGATGGTGATATTTGCCATGGCTGTTATTGTTACATGTGATGTTCTGCAGAATGTGCAGATGGGGTCTAGATCCCTTTGGACTATATCATGAAAAAGAATGGGACAACTCATATAGCCCTAGAGTACGACTGTCAGTTTACACTGTGGACTGCTCCATGGGAATGCAGACTGCTCTTGGTACTCTTTCTTAACAGGGACAGAAAATAATCCATTGATCCCAGCTGGGGTTGCATGCCATGCACCTGAACTGTGTTAGTCTGCTCTTGCAAAGATGCCACATCTGGACCAGCTGCTGTAATTGTTGAGCTCGTGCAGTCTACTGTCATCCTCCAGAATCCGTCTGGTTTTTGTAGGGAGCAGATGGGTGAGTTAAATGAGGATATTACGGGGACTACCACTGCTGCTCCTTTAGGTCTTTAAGGATGGCACTAATTACTGTCATTCTCCTTGGGCTGTGATTTTGTTTTGGATTTAACGTCATGGCTGGGGGATGAGGGCAATTTTGAAGGCTTCCACTTTGGCTTCCTTCACCAGAATGGCTCCATCTGCCAAGGAACGAATGTGGGGGTTCTCCTAACTACAACAAGCATTCATTACACTCACGCATTTGAGAACCAGCGAAAGGACCACTGGTTGCATCCACTGTGAGCCAGACCTGGGCCAGATTTACTGGGGACTATGTTGATGTGGCAACTCAGATCTGGTGTCCAGCAGTCCTTGAAATGTCTGGGTATTTTCCCTGACATCTCACCTGGCACTAGACGCCCTTGGGGAGTGATTGAGGGCATCATGACTGCAAACACTCACTGTGGTGTTCCAGGGCCTTTCCTCATGAGGACCCCTCTACTCCTGCAGTTGGCAGTTTCTAGGTCTAAAATCTGAGCAAGGGACCATGATATTTAATTGAGGTAACCTCTCTTAGTCTCCTGAATCAATCATCCTTGATTTCCTTTAATTGTATACAGTGAGAAATGCCCTTTTGGGGAAGATACCTTTGCTTTGCCCCCAGGGGCACTGCATTCTCTTCACCCTTTCTGTAGGGCTCCGTGGGGTGGGCTCCCTGCTTCCACCCCATCCTACCACTCATCACTATGCCACCACCGACCTTGCCTCTGATGGTTAAGCACTGCTGCCTGGCCTCTGTTATTCTGTGATTCAGTTGCTATCATGGAGCCTGTTCCAGTAACAGCATCTCCTACCAAGAGCACTGGCCATGAGAACAGCCACCCTGACCTTCAGTTATGTTGCTGTCCCTCCCAGTGCATTATTTATTGCATCAGTAGATGGGGCATCCTCTGGACTCACTTGCAGAGCAGAGTGGGAGGACACAGTAGGAGAACATATCTACTCCAGCACACTCACGTCTCCGAGTCCTCTGATTCCTTCTTTCAATCATCTATAATAACAGCGCTGACATTTCTGTTTGACTCAGTGCTAGCCATTCCAAAAGCCACCAAGGGACGTTTTTAGTGTTGGCACCTGGGGTCCTCTCTAGGGTGTAAGTCCTGTATGGTAAGACAGTGTGCCTGTATGGATAAACCTTCATTTCAGTGACCATATTCTGCCTCTTTATCCAGCATATGATCTCTTTTCCTGCTGGTTCACATGGCTAGGTCTCACAGCTCCTTCAGGGGACAGTGCCTTTCTACCCTTAGCAGGTGCAACTCTTCCCTGATTGGGTTATGTTGTCTTAAACCTAGTTATTGGTGTAGTGGCCAGAAGGGGCAAGGGGGCATATTCTCAGACAGTGTGCTTTCTGGCAAGGCACCTCTGCATCATTTTCAAGTAAGGGAAGAATTCTAGCCTTTAGCAGGGAGCAATGGGCCACTTCTGCAGGCCAGTGGTTTCAGGGGATTCTGGGGATTCATGATTTTCAACTGTATCAACCCAGATGTCTCCATCTCGACTCAAAGTTATCCTCCTCCCCAATCGGGGCCCTGACTTTGGCATAGTAGCCTTGCTGGCACAGAGAATTCCACCTTTTCTGGAGTTCTGCTCTCCCTGTGAAGTTCTGAGCCCAATCCACAGCTTCTTCTGAGCTCTCCTGCAGAAAATGAGAGTCTCTGTGTACTGCCAAAAAAGACCTTCTGGTTTTCACACTATGCTTTCCATTGGTGATTACTTATCATGCCCAGCCTTTCATTGCCTTCTTCCAGGCATCAATGGTGTGCAGCAACCACTATCCTGTTCCATTGTGCTGATAGTTGCTACTTCCCAAAACCTCTCAGAAGCCTAAGGCAGTGGACCCACTAGTGCCTCCCTTGCCCGGCCATCCCCTCTCACATGACTGGTAAAGGTTGTAACCATGACACTGCAACCTTCACGCCAGGGGCTAACTTTCCTCCATTCGCCATGGTGAGGAGGGTCCTTCCAGCTGGACAGCAGGTAATCCAACTCTAAAATCCCATTTTAGAGTCTACTTCCATCCCATCTATCTTAGGCTGGATTCCCCAGGAAAGAGACCCTGAGACAGATTTGCAAGCAGCTGGCTTACTGGGGTTCTCAGGAACAGAGCCTGTGTAGAGAGAAGCAAGACTGAGCCAATGGAAGGTTGAACCATGATGCAGTTGCAGCAGGGGATTCAGCTGATCCCCCTGGGAACTCTGAAGCTGAGATGCCTTTCAAAGATGTCCTGATTTGAGGCAAGGAGGCTGGGCCTTGGTGTCCTAGCACTAACAGTCAAGTGATATGGGCTTCTGTGGGGAGGGGAATAGCTGCCGATGAGGCAGTTTCCTTTAGCTGAGGGTGATAAAGAAGAATATTATTCTGACACTTGTGAAAATGGTGAGAAAGGCTATTCAAGACTATTGCAATAGGGGAGAGAGATCTGACTCAACTCTGAATATAGCAAGGATGAGAGGGGATTTATAGGCAAGGAGCAGGGTGAGGGATCAGGGATGAAAAATGCTGAAGAGGAGAGATCAAGTGTAGGAGGATTCTCACCAAACTTGCCTAACAGGATTCTTGCTAAAGGCAGGCCAAGAACCTTCACATCAAAGGTGGAGATAAGGAACTTGACCAGGTATCATGGGTGGTCAGATATTAAGGGATGAGGGGATTCATTCTAAACTGACTTAGCAAGATTCTGGCTAAGACTGGACTCAAAAAACGTGCAGAGATGGACCCAGAAGCCCAAAGTTGAAGCCTGGTCAAGAAGAGGGCTCAGAGGAGCCTAAATAAAGTTTGGTCAAAGAGAGAGTCTTTGTCAAGGGCCATGCCTAGGATGTGAGCCATTGGCCAGTGTGAGGAATGAGTTGTTCCTTGGTCTCACAAGTGGCCTCAGGTCTACCAGTGTCTGATGTTAAATTTCTCTTTGCCTGTTCACTGGTTGTGTGGGTGATCACTTTCTGCCCTTCACATTTCCCTAGTAAACACAATCTGGGTAGAGTCAGACAAAGGACTATTAAGCTGAAGGGAGAAGAAATGGGGTTATTGGAATGATTGGAGCCAGACTAGAAACTTGATTACTGAAGCCAACATCCTTTTACACTGCTTGGGCTGTGAAGGTGTTGAATAAATTGAATTATTGGTGTCTGAGCCTCTCCCCTGCCTGGGAAGCAGAGATCAGTGATCACCTGGAATAGGCGGTGCAGGCTGAGGGGGTCTCTTACCCATTGCTCTCATGTAATGGGTATGTCTGGGAGAGGGCTGAGGGTCAGGTAAAGATACAGGTGGCTCTAAAAGGGTGATTAAAGCAAACGTAATTTGATTTTTCCCAGGAATCCCAGTTTTATGGTGCAAATGCATCAACTTTCACAGACTTTTACTACAATTCACACAATGTAGGAAATGTAGGACATTGGGCTCTCTGAGGTCTGCCTGGTTATTTCTGGGAATCTCTAGGGGTGTCTCATGTGAACCCAGCCTTTTAGATGACTCTCCAGTTCCCTTAATAATGTCTGCTGCCCAAAAAACTACCTGAGGGCAGTGCAATGCCAATGTCAATGCCGATGGAGATGTTTGGATGAGGATGCTGCACCCTCGTCGCTCCCAGGGTTACAACCCTTCAAGGGGCAATTCAGTCAGTGTTCCTGGGCCCCATCTGTATAGGGGCCAGGATGAGTTCCAAGCAGAGCATGACGGGGCCTTCTGGGAAAAGCAGCTTTCTCGCTGTCTTGAGAGGGCCCCAGGCAGCCAGGCTCTCCTTCTCTCACACCAAACACATTGAGGACAGACAGTAGCCATACCTGCTGCTGAAAGCATCTCACAGACACAGATAAGCAGTCTCAGGATGAAGGTGACACTGTGGACAGTGGATGGAAGGGCAGAAAGGCCCCAAGTCCTTCTTGACGTTGTTGAGACACTAGATCAAGGACATTTTGAGTTCCCCACCCCCCACAAAATTTAATCATATATGAACAGATAACTAGACTGTCCAAGCCAGTTTGAATTGGGTTTTCTTTTATTTGCTAGTTGAAGCCTTTTGACCCTATGCAGCTCTCTTTAACTTCTGTCTTTAGCTCCTCTCTTGAAAAGACTCAGATGCAAATCAGGAGACTTAGTTTTTTGCTGTTTGCAAATATCTCCTCTCTCCTCTAACCAAAACTCCCCACAAATCCACCCGTGGTGACCACCCTTGCACACTCAGCCTCAGCTCAATCATAGTTGAGGGTTCCACCTCGGGATACTTAAATAAGGAGAACCTGAGACAGTTAATGGGAGGCAGATTATGGCACCAATGACTAGAGAGTCTAGGAGGGTGAGGATGGGTACTTGGAATGAAACATGGGGAGTCTCAGTTCTAGAATCAGAATTCTGGTTCCAAATCCCAACTCCACCAGTGTTAAGACCAGGGTTGGGTGAGTCATTTACTTCTCCGTGCCTCTACTTTAAATTGGGCTTAATAAGAGCATCTAACACAGAGGTTTTTTTTTTCAGAATTAAGTGAGATAATGTAGATAAGATGCTTAAACAGGGCTGATATACAGTAAGTACATAATAAATGTTTCCCACTCTTGGCTGCTCTGATGGGTTAGCTGGTGTGATCTGGATGTGTGGAAAAGCAGAGCAGGGGTCTGTTTCCCACCTTGGGGTTCTCAGCTCCTCCTGGGTGAGCTGGGCTAGGTATCTGGGCTGAGTCTGCCTAAAAGGCCAGAGAAGGAATGGAAACTGGGTTAGTCCTTGATGTGGAATTCTCTTGCTTTCTACATTGAATCCAAACAACTCAGTGGTGGTGATGGGTGGGGCAGTAGGACAGTAAGTGGCTGTTGTCATGTCTGAGCACACACCCCGTCCTCCTTCTGCAAGAGGAATTAGCCTGGATTTGAGTGTTCGGAAGGCATCGGAAGGTGGCTCACCACAGCTTTAAACTTCTTTTCATCTTGCTTGGGCCCTGTCACATCTTTATTGGGTTTATAAATTCTTTTTTCCCCTTTCTTTTAAAAATCTCTGTTTATTCGTAGAGCCGCTCATTTTAAAACTTGTGCAATATCTTAAATGTCATTTTTGCCCCAGTCTGCTCATAACGCATGAGCAAGTGCCTCTTACATAACTCTTACATGCAGCTCAGAGGGCCTTTGAAAGTCATGATTCCCAGCAAGCATTTAACATGGACAATGATTACATAACATGGAAAATGTGCAACTCTCATCATTAATTTGATCTAGTCTTTTGAAGTCGAGGAGATAGAGGCTACATATAGACCTTGCCAGCAGAACTGGTTAATTCTACTAGTTCAGGCTGGTCTACTAAAGGCCTCAAGGAGACCTGATGCAATCAAGTTTACTGCCCAGTGTAGTGAAATAACCAGCCAGACACAGTCCTCAACTGGGTCATCTCTCTCAGACAACTGGCCTTCGTTTATTTTCTCTTTCCACTGTATTGGCCAGTGGAATTGGATTAATTGGCCTGTTGTTTTGGCATTGAGTACAGTCAAATCATTGGCCAATTCGGTGGGGGAAAAACATCTGTCAAGCTTGTTGTTCCGCTAGCTGATCTGAAGCCCTGTGTAGACACAGCTGTAGTTAAGATCTGTTGAGAAATATAGATCCAATGAACATGGTGGTTGGATGCACTGGCTACCTTTGACACGGCTGCGTTGTGTTTGTGGTCCAACATTCTTCATGCAAGAGGCCTCAATTTGCTTATATATTCTGGATGACTGATTAATTGGAGGCTTTGCTGAGGTGCGTTAAGAGCTCTAGAATCATAGGGACATTGGTTTGTATCTTGGCCACTAATTACTTGTGCGACCTCTGGAAGTCACTTTCCCTTCTGATCCTCAGTTGCTTCACCTGTAAAATGGGAACAATTCCAATACTACCTGCCTCATGCCATTGTTGCCAGGTTTGGTGACCAATCGTCTTGGTTTGCCCAGGACTGAAGGAGTTCCTGAGATGTGACTTTTGGTTTTAAAACTGGGACATTCCTGGGAAATGAGCTGGTCACCTGGTGAGTATTAAATGAGACAGAGCCTTCAGAGTATTTAAGACATGTGAAGGACATTTCATAAACGCTAGGTACATTATTTACCATCTAGTTTTTGATCAAGCACCCATTGACTGGAGCCAGTAAAAAATGAGATGATCCCTCCTTCAAGATAGTGTGAGTTCCTCATAACATAGGACAGGCCACTCTCCTCTCTCATATATGGCATTTACCACCCAAATTCTTCCTCTGTGTCAGATGAGGTTGACAGGCTTCTGGAGTTTCAGGAACAGTTAATCTAAGAAGGGCCCAGCTTTTCATTACCATCTAGAACTTTCTGACCCCAAAGCCAGGAAGCCTGCATTTTGTGTCCTGCTCCGTCACCACCTAGTTATGTGACTGAGATGGTAGCACTTTACTTTGGTGAGACTCAGTTTCCTCAAAGGGACAGAATGATATCATTGCCTCATGGGGCTCTCGTGAGCCTAGAAAGAAATCATGCGTGTAAAAGGGCTTGCTGAACTGCAAGGCATCATTCAGATGGGAAATATTTTAATAAAGGCCTAATCCCGCAGGTTTTCTGCGCTTCAGCAAAGAATGGGAGACTTCCACCATCTTTAGACTTAGATCCCCAAATCCAACCATTGACCACTCCGCCACCAGGCTCTTGCTACGTGATATTCAGGCTGGCTCCACCCTCAAGGCAGTCAGGGTCTATAGACGGATACATTCGATGTCATGAATTGAGATAAGAGAGGATCCTGGTCCGGGTGCAATGGCAGCTCTGAAGAGAGAGGCATATAGCCCGGCATGGGAGTCAGAGAAGGGCCAGGTATGGGTTAAGCTGAAGAGTGAAGGAAAAAAGTTCCAGGCAGAGGGGAGAGCTTGAGCCACTGTGGAGGGGAGGAGTGCCTCCAGGAACTGTCAGTGTCCCCGGGCGACACTCATGAAGTGGGAACCTAATGAAGGTAAGATGGGTGGGGACCGGCTCATGAGCGGTCTCATACGCAGTGTTCGTATGGACTCTTTTAGTTAAGAGAGGCAACTAAACTAAGTTGAGTGAAAAGGGGGATTTGTGGGAAGATCCTGGCATAGCTCAGAGAATTGAGGGCAGAAATACAGAAAGCCCAGGCCTGACAGTCCCTCGTCCCTTCTCTCGCTCTCCCCCATCCTCAGTTACAACCTTTCCTACTAGAGGTGGCCAGCACGGCATGGAACATGGTCATCAGCAGCCCAGAGGGGCATCTTCTCCAGTTCATCCTCCAGATTCAAGAATCCTCCCTCCTAGTTCCAGTAGAAAAATCGAGGAAGAGGTTTCTGATTGACTGTGTTAGGGGCAAGTGCCCATCTCCGATGAATCGCTGCAGTGGGCAGGATGGGGCGTTAGGACTGGCTCTGTGGGTCACTCTGCTCCCAGGTGGGAAAAAGAGGTATCGGGTAGCGACAGTGATAAACACAGTCGATCCTCACTATTTGCAGATTTCTTTGTGAACTCACTTATGTGCTAAAATTTACTTGTAGTTCCCAAATTACTCACAGTGCTTTTGTGGTTATTCATGGACATGCAGAGAGCAGTGAGAAATTGGAGTTGCCTGGCTGAGTTGCACACATTCCCAGTGGAAGCCAAGCAAGGTGACTCTCTATCTCCTTGTCTCAGCTGTCACACCACAAGCCAGTGTCCTTTTCAAGGTGCATTCAGTGCTGTGTTTCTTACATTTTGTGCTTTTGTTGACGATTTTGCTGTGTATAACACCAGTGCTGAAGTACTGTCTAGTTTTCCCAAGTAAATGTAAGAAGGATGTGATGGGGCTGGGCATGGTGGCTCACACCTGTAATCCCAGCACTTTGGGAGACCAAGGCGGATGCATCACGAGGTCAGGAGTTCAACACCAGCCTGGCCAACATGGTGAAACCCCGTCTCTACTAAAAATACAAAAATTAACTGGGCATGGTGGCACATGCCTGTAATCCCAGCTACTCGGGAGGCTGAGGCAGGAGAATTGCTTGAAACCTGGAGGCATAGGTTACAGTGAGCCGAGATTGCACAATAGCACTCCAGCCTGAGCGACAAGAGTGAGACTATGTCTTGAAAAAAAAAAAGATATAATGTGCCTTACAGAGGAAATATGTGCATTGGAAAAGTTTCATTCAGGCATGAGCTATAGTCCTGTTGGCCGTTCTTAGTTCACTGTTAATGGACCAGCAATATATGTGAAATACATGTTAAAATTAAACAGAAGCAGACACACGGGCAAGATTATATATTGATCTGTTGATGAAAATATTGTGACCAGAGGCTTGCAGGAACCTAACCTTGCATGTCCCCTAGGAACAATGGTTTGGTGTTCACTAAATCAGCATTTGTGGTGATTTTATAGAACATGACTGTGGTGAATAACAAGAGCACACCAGACCATGCAAAAAGAGTTGAGACTTTATCCTGGAAGCAGTAGGGAGCCACTGAAGGGTTTTAAATGAGAGGGAGATGGATATGATTTGTGTTTGAAAAATTCCCTCTGGCTACTGGATGGAGGTTAGAAGGAAGGACCCAGGAATGAATGCAGAACAGTCAGAAGGCGGTTATAGAATCCTCATGAGAGATAATGACATCCGATCCAGGCAAGGGGGCTGGGGATGAGGAGAAGGGGATGCATTTGAGACAGGCATTTAATAGGTAAAGTTGGTAAGAATGGAAATTCACTAGATGATGGGGGTGGGGAAGGAGGACCCCAAACATCTCCGTGCTTTAAAAATGCCCACATCTGATTATTAAAGTAATGTCTCATTGGTCTGTGCCACGTGTTTCCTTCTGTGAGAGGTGGTAGGGACCCTCAGCCTTCGGTGGGGAGCTGAGCAGCTGTAAGAGCTGGTGTTTGGGGACAGGCGCACATTCTTCCAAAGCCCTCCATGTAAGCGGCACGCAGGACCAGCTGTGTTTTCTCTGCCTCCTTACATCATCACCAGTCATAAAAACCCGACCAAGGGGAATTGTGCTGACGATCTGGGCTGTGATGTATGAGACAAAGGAGTCCAGGGACTGGTTTCAGAGTTTGCACAGTTACAATCGCTGCTGGTTGGGAGGGAAGGCAGGCTAGACCTGGCACGTATTGCATTTGACCATCGTCTACGGTTGCTCTTCAGGTCAAGAGTTTCCTGGCTTTCAGCAGACTCTGGTTGTTTAGTTCAACCATGGCCTTTTAAAACAGCTGACACTCTCTGGCAAGGTGCTGCAGCTGGGGTGGAACACCTCCCTACCTGCCCCCACTCTCCTCCCTGCAAACCTCGAGGTCCCCAGCTCCCTGATCACAGAGGCCCCCCTTTCCTAGGCTTTGGGGTCCTGGTTCAGCACCTTCCTCCAGCTTTGCTGTCTGCTTTTGGCCTCTGGGTGACCCATTGGAACACCTCACCTGAGGCCGACTGGAGGCTTCTCTGTGTCTGTGTATCTTGGATCTTTCCCTTCACAATAAAGAGTTTTCTGACGGTGCAGAGGAACCCAGTCCTGCCCCATTCCCACATGCGCTGTTAGTGTGGCCCTATTCTGCCAGTGGGCAAAATCCACATCTTTATTTTAGGGGCAAATGTTCATTTGCAAAATCCATTGAAATGGACCCTGCCACGTACTTTTTTAGAAGACATAAATGCAGAAAACCCTTATTATGCATCGTATGTTGATGATAAGTCACATTTTAGAGTGTTCATCACATGCCAGGCACAGTGCTAAGTGCTTTTACTTAATTTACCTTCTTAGGTAGCTTTTTTTGTTTGTCTGTTTGTTTGGGACAGAGTCTCGTTCTGTCGCCCAGGCTGGAGTACAGTAGTGTAATCACAGCTCACTGTAGCCTCTGCCTCCCAGGATCAAGTGATTCTCCTGCCTCAGCCTCCCAAGTAGCTGGGATTACAGGTACCTGCCATCATGCCTGGCTAATTTTTCTATTTTTAGTAGAGACAGGGTCTCACCATGTTGGCCAGGCTTGTCTTCAACTCCTGACCTCTGGTGATCCGCCCGTCTTGGCCTCCCAAAGTGCTGGGATTACAGGCGTGAGCCACCACTCCTGGCCCTTCTTAGGTAGCTTTTACTGTAGGCAAACAGAGGTTAGGGAAGGTGTCTTAAGTCCTGTTTCTTGTGAGTGACCCAGCCAGGATTTGAGTCCAGGCTGGCTGGTTGACCCCAGAGCTTGTACTTGCCACTGCTCCATTAGCAACACCAGCATCATGGCAGGAGAACACTCTCATGGCCTGTGCTCTTGCCAATGGACATTGCTGGCCAGCACTGGATGAATCAGGGTGCATGAAAATCCAGTGACTCAGAGCCCAGTGAGGCCCTAGAGCCATCTATCCCCATCACATAATTGGGGTTGAGGATTCTTCAGTTTTCAGAATTTAGAAACTCAACAGGAATGTACCATCTCCCAACATACACACTTAAAAAATATTATTTTTTATTTCTAAAAATAGTTTCAACTTTTGTTTTCAATTCGGGGGCACATGTGTAGTTTTTTTTACATGGGTATATCTTGTGATGCTGAGGTTTGGGACACAACTGATCCTGTCACCTAGGGGCTGAGCATGGTACCCAATAGTTTTTTAACTCTTGTCCTTCTTCTTCCCTCCCCTCTCTGGTAGACTCGTGTCTATTATTGCATCTTTATGAGTACCTGATGTTTAGCTTCCACTTATAAGTGAGAACGTGTGGTATTTGGTTTTCTGTTCCTGTGTTAATTCACTTAAAATAATGGCCTCCAGCTCCATCCACGTTCTGCAAAGGACATGATTTCCTTCTTTTTCATGGCTGTGTAGTATTCTATGGTGTATATGTCTCACATTTTCTTTATCCAATCCACCATTGATGGGCACCTAGTTTGATTCCATGTCTATGCTATTAACACACACTTTTAAATATTCTTTATGGGTATTTTTCTTTACACAAATAATGCATGACTCCATTTGTATTGTAAATGTTTCGAGCATATTCAAAGGAGAATATAGAAGGCCCTCCTCCTCTCTCTTTCCCCGCATCCCTCTGCAGAGGTGGTCACTACTGAAAGTTGGCCATCGCTTCTCCCGGTCCACTTCCTATGCATTTTGTGACACTCGTATGTATATATGTGTACTCTTTTGCTTCCCACCCCCGTTTTTTATAAAGGGGATCATCCTATCTGTATTACTTCGCAACTTGATTATTTTTCCGCTCACTACTTTAGAGGTCTTTCCAGGAGGATCCCTGTTGCTCTTCCTCATTCACTGGAATAGCTACATAGTATTCCGTATTATGGATTACCATGATTTACTTAACCCACTTGACCAGGCAGTTTCCCAGCAACACAGATCATTTGAAAAAGTAAATTATCCATGGTTACTGAGTGGTAAGCAAATAAATAATAAAGTCTAAATGGGAGAAGGTTGTCAAGGGCGGAGTGTTAATTGGGTTATAGGAAAAGAAGCAAGGGGATAGGGTGTCTCCCCCAGCTCTAACCCAGCGTCTCCTGCCTACAGGTGTCTGCTCCATTTAGTGTGCTGGTGTCCTGCTCTCCCCACCCTGTGCCCGTCAACTCTGCCCTCTTCCCTATTTTAGCATTTCCATCCATGCCCTTCAAGCCCTCTGACCACGTAACCACAACGTCTCTCTCCCCTGCTGTTCCAGGAAGGTTCAGATACAGGTTGCCTGAGTTCCTGGACCCTCGTGGCACCAGGGACAAGAGCTAGTTAAACCTTGCCAGCTAAAAGGTTCCAGAAAGTCAATCCGTGGCAACTCACATTCCACACAGGCATCTCACCGAGTCTTACTCAGTAAAACCCAAACACCCATTTTTGTTGAGACTTTGACGAGCCCTGAAACCACTGAGGGCCGGGCTTGCCTCGGCACACGTCTGAAATATGTCAGGCAGGTGTTTCCAAAGAACTTATGCTACAGGAAAATATATCCTGATGTAATCTGACTAATTTGGCTTTTGCCTTACTTTCAAGAGAACTGGCTATTTGTAATGGAAACAGTGCTCGGGACACTTCAGACGGGGCTTTGTAATGTGAGCTGGTAAAACCCTGCAGGTGCTACGGGGGCCCCTGTTTTCATTTTACGTCTCACTTTTGTTTATTTAATGTGTTTCTCTGGGAGGAAAAAAAAAGAGACCCGGGAGGGGTTTAACAAGTCATTTTTCATTTCAAAAAAAAAAAAAAAGAAATGGTTTTGTATTAAGAAAATTAGAATCGAGCGGGACCGCAGGAGCCCTGCGGGCGACAGGAAGCACACGTGGCCTGGGAGGATATGTTTCTTGAGACTAATTCCCCAAAGACGCGTGTTCAGGATCCGACATACCTGGGGCCCTTGGCAGAGGCATCAATTAGAGAGTGGGAAGCAGTGTTTTCCTTGCTAATTCTTGGCTACCGAATAGGGGTTACTGAAAGCTCCCTTTTCCCCCCTTGGAGTTAGGCAGTTTTGAAAAATTGTAAAATTATGAATTCGACTTTGTTTCCAATCAAGGGAGGGGGAAATGGTTTCCAGGGTGCAAAGCCCGTGTGCTGGGGGGAGAGTGCTATGTTTCACCCTCCGATGACAGAGCACCCACGGCCGGCTCAGGGGCACTTGCCCTGCCAAGGTGGGGGCGCCCCCAAACAGGAGGTAGGTGGGGTGAGGGTGGGGGGTGAGGGGTTGTGGAGATGCTGCTGCAGCACCTGTGCTAGTGAGCGGATTCTAGTTAGAAAGGACAGGAGGGAAATGAGACCAGCCCTGACTGTCCCTCAAGATTCATTTCATGCAGGTTGAGGGCAGTGGGTAGCAGTCATCGGCAGAGAAAACATGATGTATTTGTCACCTATGGCTGTCCTGTGCCCTGGAGATTGGATTCAATGAGATTCAAATCCCGGTTCTCTGCCCTCAATGGTGGTTCAGTGCTTGTACCACCCCGTGCCAGGTCCTGGGCAAGTGTTTTCACTCGTCCCTCTTTCTCTTGGTCCTTGTGTTTCCAAGAGCTGCCTTGGGACTGGCTCATGTCAGTCTGTGCAGGAAGCTCAGCCCGTTTACCACTTTCCACAGGAAAATCTGCCCCCAAGCACATCATGAGTTTAGGACCATTACTGATGATTGGTGAGGGCACAGGAAGCTACTGCACCACAAACCATTGTCTTCTCCTACCTTGCCGGTCTATCTGGACCTCCCTGGCCTTCCTCTGCCTTCTCCTTTCTCTGGAAGTTGCTCCTTTTCTTCTATGAGAGCGTGCCATCCTTGCATATTCAGGTCCCCATGGGGACTCACTTCCCCCCAACAAATACATTTGCCTTCCTAAGGAGAGTTCTGATGAATACAATGTTCTACATATACATAACTGTATCCATTTGTGTTTTGCAGAGCATTGAAATCATATAGCAGCATCATCCAGACCTGCAGAATCATACGTGATCATAGCCAGTTCACACTGAAAAAAGCCTTGTAGGAGATTCGCCAACCTAATCATTCAGCTTACAGGTCAGGAAACAGATGCCCCGACAAGGCAAGGGACTTGCCGAAGGTCACCTTGAAGTTGTGGTGGAGTTGGACTAAGACCAAACCCCCTGACTCCTGCCCCAGCACTCTGCTGCAAGACTCCTTCCCCAAATTCTTTCTTTCCTTTCTTTTCTTGATTTTCTTTTCTTTCTATCCTTCCTTCCTTCCTTCCTTCCTTCCTTCCTCCCTCCCTCCCTCCCTCCCTTCCTTCCTTTCTTTCTTTCTTTTCCTTTTCTTTTCTTTTTTGAGACAGAGTTTTTTGCTCTTGTTGCCCAGGCTGCAGTGCAATGGCACAATCTTGGCTCACTGCAGCCTCCACCTCCCAGGTTCAAGCAATTCTCCTGCCTCAGCCTCCCGAGTAGCTGGAATTACAGGCACCTGACACCACGCCTGGCTAATTTTTTGTATTTTTAGTAGAGACGGGGTTTCACCATGTTGGCCAGTCTGGTCTTGAACTCCTGGCCTCAGGTGATCCGCCTGCCTCTGCCTCCCAAAGTGCTGGGATTACAGACATTAGCCACCGCGCCGGGACCCGAATTCTTTAAAGACTGCTTTCAGGAAGGGACCTGAGTGCTGTACAGGCACATCCATCCGATGCTATGTCCTGCGGGCTCTGCCACCTACATTTCTTCCTCTCCTTTTCCACTGCCTTGGTGCCGGGAGGCGTCCGGGAGAGGAGAGAGAGTGACATAGTTTAATCTGCAGTCATTGCAGCTGGCTTGTTGGAAAAAATTAAGATAAAGCGAAAGAATATCTTTGAAAATGATAACACTCAGTATTTGGGAGGGTTAGTAGAGACACACCTCTTATACACTGCTGGTGAGAATCAGTACAATTTTACTCCAAAGTAATTTGGCAATATGTATGATGAATTTGAATAATATTCATATGCTCTGTTTTGCCAAACTGTTTTTTTTTTTTGAGATGGAGCTTCGCTATTGTTGCTCAGGCTGGAGTGCAATGGCACAATCTTGGCTCACTGCAACCTCCGTCTCCCAGGTTCAAGTGATTCTTCTACCTCAGCCTCCCGAGTATCTGGGATTACAGGTGTGCCCCACCACACCCAGCTAATTTTTTGTATTTAGTAGAGACAGAGTTTCACCATGTTGGTCAGGCTGGTCTCAAACTCCTGACTGCAGGTGATCCACCTGCCTCGGCCTCCCAAAGTGCTGGGATTTCAGATGTGAGCCACTGCGCCTCTGTTTTGCCAAACTTTTAAACTGAAGTTTAATATGATGCAGCTACATGCATGAGCTTTCACTGAAGTGCATGATGAAGTTTTACAAACTGAGCTATGCACCCATCATACAGATCAAGATATAGGATATTACCAGCATCCCAAAGCCTCTCTTGCACTCTCTCCTGATCATTACTTCCAAACAGTATCCAACACCCCAGATTTTATGACTATAGATAGACGTTTGTCTGACTTTGAATTTCATATGAATGGAAGCACAGAGAATGTACTCTTCAGCGTCTGACTTCTTGCAGTGAACATCATGTCTGTGAGATTTCTCTGTTTTCACATGTATTTTTTCTTTTTCATCGCCAGATAGTATTCCATTACAGGAATGAATATAATACTATTTATTTATCTATTCTACTATTGAGGACATTTGAACGGTTTCTAGTTCTTAGGTAGTAGGAATAATGCTGCTATGATATTTTTGGTCATGACTTTTCGTACACACATATATATGCATTTCTTTTCTTTTAAATTTTATTTTACTCTAAGTTCTGGGATACATGTGCAGAACATGCAGGTTTGTTACACAGGTATACATGTGCCATGGTGGTTTGCTGCACCCATCAACCCATCATCTAGGTTTGAACCCCTGCATGGATTAGGTATCTGTCCTAATGCTCTCCCTCCTTTAGCCCCCCATTCCCCGACAGGCCCCACTGTGTGATGTTCCCCTCCCTGTGTCCATGTGTTCTCATTGTTCAACTCTCACTTATGAGTGAGAACATGCGTGTACATGCATTTCTGGGAGGATACATTTGGGGTGAAATTTTGGGTCATGAAGTGCCTGTGTTCAGCTTTAGTAGGTACTGCCAACAGCTTTTCAAAGCAATTGTAGCAATTTATGCTGCCACAGAAATATCTGAGAGTTCTAGTAACTCTGCATCCTTGCAAAATTTGATGTCAGGTTAAAATAGTTAAACATACTCACTGTAGTGCTGATACCTCATTGTGGCTTTAATTAGCCATTCACGGACAGCTAATTGGCCATTTGGATATGCCCTTTTGTGGAGTGCCTGTTCACATTTTGGCCTTTTTGAGAGATGTCTGTCCTTTTCTTATTGGTTTGTAGGAGTTCTGTATATGGACACTATTCAGGTTCTTAAATAGGTGCATGGATGGCACATACCTTCTCCCATCCTGTTTGCCTTTTCACTCTCTTAATGATGTCTTGATGAATAACAATTCTTAATTTTTAAATGGTTGAATTCATCAATCTTTTCCTTTATGATTAATGTTCTTTGTGTTTTGTTTAAGAAATCTTTGTCTATCCATGGTCATAACTATACTCCTATGTTTTATTCCAGAAGCTTTATTGTTTTACTTTTTACATTTAGATCTATCATTCACCTGGAATAGAATTTTAAGAGTCAGTGCCCATATTTTCCCTAAGGTTGTACAACTGATCTAGCAACATTTATTGACAAGACTGTTCTCTCCCCAACTGCTTTGTAGTGGTGCCTTTGCCATAAGGCAGGTGCCTGGATAGGTTTGGGTCTGATCATATTTGTTATTCATGTCATTCAAATCTCACATCCTTATTATTTGTGTAAGTTTGTTATTCATGTCATTCAAATCTCACATCCTTATTATTTGTGTATTTATTTGTGTTATCAGTTAACTGTGACACATGTGTTGAAACATCCCACTATGATTATGGAATCCATTATTTCTCCTTTTAGTTCTTACAGTGTTTGAAGCCATATTATTAAGCTCATTGGCATTTAGGATCCTTATGTATTCCTGTTGAACTGACCCCTCTATAATTATGAATTGTTATTCTTTCTTTTTAAAAGATGGGGTCTTGCTGTGTTGCCCAGGCTGGGCTACAGTGGCATGATCATAGCTCCCTGCAGCCTCAAACTCCTGGGCTCATGTGACCCTCCTGTCTCAGCCTCCCTCAGCCTCCCAAGTAGCTAAGACAACAGGTGCATACCACCGTGCCTGGCCTGAATTGTCATTCTTTATGTCTTATAATACTTTTGGTTTTAATGTCGATTTCATCTGATAGGAGAGCTATACCTGCTTTTAAAAATTTCTACCTACTTATCTGCTTTTTTAGTATTTTAATGAATATATTTTTCCATCCTTTTACTTTCAACCTTTCTGGGTCTTTGTATCTCTTGTAAGCAACGTACCTTTAAAAATGCAGATTAACAGCCAGGCACAGTGGCTCATGCCTGTAATCCCAGCACTTTGGGAGGCCGAGGTGGGCAGATCACAAGGTCAGGAGATCGAGACCATCCTGGCTAACACGGTGAAACCCCGTCTCTACTAAAAATACAAAAATTAGCCAGGCATGGTGGCAAGCACCTGTAGTCCCAGCTACTCGGGAGGCTGAGGCGGGAGAATGGCGTGAACCCTGGAGGCAGAGCTTGCAGTGAGCCGAGATCACGCCACTGCACTCCATCCAGCCTGGATGACAGAGCAAGACTCTGTCTCAAAAAAAAAAAAAAAAAAAAAAAATGCACATTAACAATCTTTCTGTTTTAATTGGAGTACTTAGTCCATTTTCAGTTTTTGGCTTTTATGAGTATAGTTTCAATGAATAGTCTTATATAAGACTTTCTGTGGGTAAATGGTTTTTTTCTTGGGCAAATATATGGAAGTGAAATATTTGAGTCATAGGGTTGGTGTATTACTTTACTGTGTTAATTTTTTTTTGTTTTGAGACAGCATCTCACTCTGTTGCTCAGGCTGGAGTGCAGTGGTGTAACTGTGGTTCACTGCAGCCTCAACTTCCTGGGCTCAAACAATCCTCCTGCCTCAGCCTCTCGAGTAGCTGAGACTACAGGTGCATAGCACTACTCATAGCTAATTTATTTTTTGTAGACAGAGGGTCTCACTATGTTGCCCAGGCTGGTCTCAAACTCCTGGGTTCAAGCAATCCTCCCACCTTAGCCCCTAAAGTGTTGGGATTACAGGCAAGAGCGGCTGTGCCTGGCCTATTTTATTGTTTTTAACTAATGTTATTCAGGTATGACTTGCATATAATAAAGAGGAGACTTAAGTTGTACAGTTTGATGAATTTCAATAAATGTATACACTGATGTAACCCACAACCTAAATCAAGAGCTAGAGTATTTCTATTATACCAAAAAGTTTCCTTGTATACCTCCCCCAAGACATTGACTTAATTTCTATCATCATAATTTAGCTTTGCCTGGAATCACACAGCAAATCCTTTTTTTTTTTTGAGGCAGAGTCTCACTCTGTCGCCCAGGCTGGAGTGCAATGGTATGATCTCAGCTCACTGCAACTTCCGCTTCCTGGGTTCAAGCGAGTCTCCTGCCTAGGCCTCCCCAATAGCTGAGATTACAGGCATGCACCACCACACCCAGTTAATTTTTGTATTGTTAGCACAGATGGGGTTTCACCATGTTGGCCAGGCTGGTGTCAAACTCCTGACCTCAGGTGATCTGTCTGCCTCAGCTTCCCAAAGTGTTGGGATTACAGGCCTGAGCCACTGTGCCTTGCCTAAGTACTCTTTAGTCTTGCTTATTTCATGCAACACAATGCTTTTGAGACTCATTCATGCTGTTGTATGTTTCAGTAGTTCATTTAAAAAACGTCTGTATACAGTATTCTATTGTAGGTATATACCACAATTTATTTATGGACATTTGAGTTGTTTCCAGTTATTGTCTTTTATGAATAAAGCTGTTATGACCATTTTTGTGCATTTTTGCTTTGGCGGCCACTAGTTTTCCTTTCTTTTGGGTAAATACTTGGAAGTGGAATCGCTAGGACATAGCATAGGTGTATATTTATAATAAACTGCCAAGCTGATTTCCAAAGTGAGTTGTACAGTTTTATTTTATTTATTTATTTTTTTTTTTTATTTTTTGAGACAGAGTCTCACTCTGTCACCCAGGCTGGAGTGCAGTGGCGCAATCTCGGCTCACTGCAAGCTCTGCCTCCTGGGTTCAAGCGATTCTCCTGCCTCAGCCTCCCGAGTAGCTGAGACTACAGGCAAGCGCCACCACGCCCAGCTAATTTTTGTATTTTTAGTAGAGATGGGGTTTCACCATGTTGGCCAGGCTGGTCTCGAACTCTCAACCTCAAGTGATCTGCCCACCTTGGCCTCCCGAAGTGAAGTTGCACAATGTTAGGATCCCACCAGCGTGTATGACATTTTCAGTGCTCTGTCTTCCTTGCCAACATGTGATATTGCCGTACCATCTCATTATGATTTTAGCTTGCATGTCCCGGATGAGCAGTGATGTTGAGCACCTTTCTCGTGCTTATTGTCCATTCTTGTATCTTCTTCTTAAGTGTCTTTTCCAACTTATGGCACATTTAAAACAACTGAGTGGTCTGTTCTTTTCTTATTGATTTGTAGGAATTCCTTGTACATTCTGGATGTAAGTCTTCTGTCAGATACATGTATGATGAATAGTTTCTCCCAATCAACAGTGTGCCTTTCATGTTCTTAATGTGTTTGCTAATATTAGGGAAGAGTTGTTTAGAAGAAAAGGACCTCCTAAATGCCCAGCAGTGTTATGCAGGACATGGAGAAAATACTTAGGACATACTGCTGGATTCAAAAAGGAGAAAATACAAAGTTGTACTTGCAATTATGACTTTAACTCTTGCAAAATATGCATTGAAAAAAACTGGAGGAAAATATGTAAAATATTGCTTTGACTGACCGTGGGTAGTGAGGTCATGGTCCCCTGCTACTTAAAAAAATTACAGTAAAATACACGTAACATAAAATTCACAATTTTTGCCTATTTATTTATTTATTTATTTATTTTTTCTGATGGAGTTTTGCTCTTTTTGCCCAGGCTAGAGTGCAATGGCGTGATCTCGACTCACTGCAACTTCTGCCTCCCTGGTTCAAGCGATTCTCCTGCCTCAGTCTCCTGAATAGCTGGGATTACAGGCACCCGCCACCACGCCCAGCTAATTTTTTGTATTTTCAGTAGAGATGGGGTTTCTCCATGTTGGCCAGGCTGATCTCGAACTCCTGACCTCTGGTGATCCACCTGTCTTGGCCTCCCAACGTGCTGGGATTACAGGCATGAGCCACTGCGCCATTTTAAAGTAGACAATTCGGTGGCATTATCTACATCTCCACCACTGTGCAGCCATCACCGCTATCTAATTACAGAACATTTTCATCGCCCCAACCAGAAACCCTGTACCCATTAAGCAGTCTCTCCTTTCCCTCCTTCCAGCAGCCCCTGGCAACCACCAATATGATATCAGTTTCTATTCTCTTGCTATTTGAAAAACATACACTTTTCTGCTTTATTTTTTTCCTGGATTTTTGTTAATAAGTATGTGTTTTGATATGTGAAATAAAGCAGAAACCAAGAGCCACAAAGAATGAACAAGTAAGTTACATGGCATTGAGTGCTGAGCTGTATGTCAGAGGGGGGAGGCGGCGGAACTCATTTTGTGACGACAGCTAACATGTGCTCAGCTCTGACACTGCCTGCACGACTCCTCTAGCGTGTATCTCACAACCACCCTAGCAGGCAGGTTCTGCTATTATGCACCATACTACACATGGTGCAGAATCTCTTCCCAGATCTCAGGGAGTCCTGTTTTGTCTGACTCCCCCACCACTCTGGGAACTCTCATGTGGGCAGAGACCATGTTGGTTCTTCTCTCCAAAATATTGCTACTGTCCAGTACAGCCCCAGTTCATCCTTGTGTTCATCAAGAGTTGCTGAATGGATGTATGCACGTGTGCAAGACAAACTCCCCTCACCAGAGTTCTTAGCCCACAGCTCATCATCTCCTACTGATCGCTTTGCTGATCCCTCTCTACAGCATGACTGGCCACATCCAAGACACGACTTGGCTGGTGCGCTAGAGCAGAAAGAGCGAGAAGGGGTCTCTAGGTGCAGCCTTGAGTCACAGGCAGGCTGGGAGGAAGTGGGAGCTCAAGGACCAGCGACCGTGTCTTGAGCTGTGAGAAAATATCTGAACGGTAGATTCATTAGGTCCCTCCTGGCTTTAATGACCAGGGCAGCAAGAGAGAAGTAATAACGAGTGACATTTATATAGTGTGTTACGGTTTACATAGCTCTTGCATGCACATTACCTCATTTAATCCGGAAGGAGCACAGGGCGGGGTTGAAGCTCGTGGCCCTGGAGTTTGCCTGTCTGGGTTTGCATCCTGGCTCCAGCACTTACTGTGTGACCCTGGACTATTTAGGCATCCTGCATCCCTGTTCCCTTATGTGTATGATGAAGGCACTGACAGTAACTGTCTCATCATCACACATCAAATCATCACAGACTTGCTGTGGTGATTAAATAAGGTAATGCCCCTAAAGCACTTAGAATAGCACCTGGAGCATAGTAAACACTAAATAAAAGTTGGTGCTTATTACACAATCCTCTCAATAGGCCCGGGAGATGTATAGACATATCCCGTTTTATGGGCGAGCAGAATGGGACTCAGAAGGGTAGAGTCCACCTGTCTGAGGTCACATGGTGGAGAAGCAGGGGTGAGGGGCAGGGCTAGCACCAGGTCTGTTTGACCCCCAAAGCCTGGTTCTTTCAACTTCTTCATGCCACCTCCACTGATGTGCACTTTGTCTAGGCTCAAAGGCAGGAGAAGCTGTAGCAGGCTCATGCACCAGGGTATTTAAAAAAAGATCACTTGTCTAGATGAACTAAGGTCTCAGTGAGGTAGTACAGCTGAGAATGCACTTTCTACTCCACCAGCCTATGATGAAAATGTAAATAATTATCGTTGAAATGTTAACAACGTATTTTAATTTTTTTCCTAGCATTTAATTGTCCCCTTTCCGGGACAGCACTCCAGTATCCCTAGGAAGGCCACAGCTCCTCCACTCTGTCAGTGCTTCCATAGAGCTGACTCTATCCTTGGCTGGAGGGATGGGCAGAGGACACAGGTCTGGCCAATCAGAGCAGTGCGTCCCCTCAGCCACAAGGACTAGCTCAGGAATGGGCATGTGACGCAGTCTGACAGACAAGGCCCAATTGCAGAACTTTGGTCACAGCCATTGGGGAAGAGGCATTTCCTTCCTTCTGGCCAGGCTTGGCAGATATGATATCATAGCCTGGCACTTCTGAAGCCACCCTGCCTCACAGTGGGGTTGGCCTGCCTGAGAATGGGGCCAGCCCAGAGGCAAGCCGAGTTGAGAGGTGGAGAGATAAAGTCCATGTCCCCGAATTTTACTGAGCCTGGGACTAGATCTATCTTTTTTTCTATTATGCTGTCTTGTCCTAAGCATCTGCTAGGTTTCCACACTTGGCTTTATGGTCAATACACCTTCTTAATATCCCAACAGCTGCTCAGAGGAGGTGGGAGTAGCTTTATAGGACAGAGGAGGAAACAAAGGCTTTGAGGTAGGAAGTGACTTGGCCCAAGCGCACAGGGACTCCAGACCCTTTCTGCAAAGGGCACAGCCCCTGTACTAAGAAGGCGAACTCAGCGTCTGGATGAAGCCCTTGCCTTCTGTCGTCCCCTGCCCTCAGGCAGGGATGCATTCTCTCATGGGAATGTCACAACAGAAAGAATTTGGGTGCTCCAGGAAACGTGTATTCTTTGGCTCCATCCCTCATCCCCCTCAATTGTCCTCCTGACAGCCAGATTGGAGCCAAACTGGATTTATTGAATTTCACAACTTTGTTGAACCAATTTGTGGATTAAGAAAACAAAAATGAAATCCACATTTTTATTTGACACCATCAAAAATAGGACACACAGACAGGAAAGGGACATTCTGGCCTTGGAATAGATTGAGTGGAGCCCAAATCCTTGCTTCTCAAAGGTTTTTGTTTTTGTTGTTGTTGTTTCCCATCACCCTGCTTCTCACAGGCCTTTGGGAAGCCTGTCCCCACATCTTCTCTGAGACCTGGAATCTGGACCTTATGTTGAGGCTGGGCACCCACATCTGGGATGTGATTCCTTTCTGCCCTCACCCCATCATTCTCTCTCTCCAGTTTCCCTGCGATTTCCTCTTGGCCATAGCCTGGTGTAAGTTCCAGCATTTTTGTATCGCTGTTCTAGCAGATTTTCATTTTAGTGCCAATCCAAGCGCTCTATCCCTTCCTTGAACTCTTAGTTAGGCCAATAAATATTTATGTAGCTCATTGGCAATTAATTAGGTGCCTTTGGCACTGCATCCAATGGCTTGTAAATCGACATAGAGATTTCACTTCCCCCATCTTTGCTTCTTGGCTTTCCAGCAGAAAGACAAGCTAAGAGCGGACAGGGAACGTGATTTCTACTTCTCTGTATATGCGTACCCTACACGTAGTAGCATGCAATGAATATTTATGGCCTTATAAATTTAATCGGCATATGATTACTTAACAATAAAGTGAGAACTTTTCCAGAGAGAAAAGACATCATCTTGGCTGGGCTCGATGGAGGGTAGGCTATGAGGAGCATTGATTACACTGATTTAAAGTGAGGGCTCTGAGGCCAGACAGGTTAGAATCCTGGCTCCCCACTTACTGAGCATGTGATGGTAACCGTGATGCAATCTCTCTGTGCCTCAGTTTCTACCTCATAATCTAGAAAAAGCAACAGCACTTGACCAAACCCTAAAATAGCGATGAGGGACGCATCCTCTAAACGTCAGCTATCACGATTTTATTATTTCTTCCAAATAAGCCTTATGTTCTTAAGAAATACACATGCAGACACACAGGTAGTCTTTACCACATCCAGTTTTTGTCTAGAGTATCAGATTCTTATCTTTAAAACATGAATAACCTGAATGGTTGTGGCTTTTTTCTCCTCATTATACACCTTAAAGGAAGAAAAAAGGAGCTGATCAAAACCAATAAAAAAATACAAACAAAAGAAAAATCTGGAATAAACCAATGTAAGCAAAATAGGAGAACCTGAGGGAGTATGAGGAAGGTTGCCCAATATGCCCATGAAGTAAAAGAGAGATGGGGGAGATGGCCACCAATTAAAATTAATTAAACATTTTTAATGATCTCTGATGCTGACCTCATGCTCCAGGTGCCTGAAACAAAGAAAAGAAATGCAGATAATTGGATCTTCATGACATTTTCCCAACTGGCCACTTTCCCTGTAACAAGACCAAGCCTGTCTCTTCCATTGTACTCTCGTGAGCTACCTGGGTCAGAACCTGAAATCTTGGCGCAGAAGTCCTGTGGCCTGGTGAGTAGCTGTCTAGACCCAACTCCCTGGCTGGGTGGATTAAACTTACTGCACCCTGAGTCTCTGGGTTTCTTGCCAGCTCCAGCCTAGCAGTGTATGCCAAACCTCTGTTTCTCACCTGGAAAACTGCAGTGCTTGCTAAGTGGTCTTGTTTGTTATCCTCTGAAATCACCTTGTCTTGACTTTTCTACTTGTTTTTTATCTGTTTCCCCCATTAGCCTATAAACTTCTCATTCCCGGCAGCTGGCACATGCATGGCCCAATAAATATTTCTTGATTGAATGGAAGGAGCTGTGAATAGTGGCCTCCTCAAGCAAAGGACATTTTATCTCCCAAAGGGAAATCTACTTTGTTGATATGAAAGTGAGCTTCTTAATAGGTCTACGGGGCAACATTTTGCTAACCCCATTCAAATTATAACAGACTTCAAAGTCATAAAGGCAGTAATATGCTTCCTTTTAAGTGTGTAATTTGTATTTTTTTACACCCAGGAATGGAAAACAGGGAGTGAAATATCCCCCAATTATTATTTTGTGCTTTTGAGGCAGGATGGCCCACTCACCTGTGGGGACTCTGGTGGCCAAGCACCTCCCACCTCATTCTTGGCAATTGTTTTCATCTGCCTCCCTTCACACTGGCCCTAGCTCAGGTCTGGAATCTTCCCAGGGTCTGACCTCTGAGTGTCTGTCTCATGCAATTCTGCTGCCCTGGTATTGACTCTCAGGACACAGAAGTATACTCTCTGCCACATTCATGACCACCCTGGGTGACGTGTCAAGGCATCTTAGTGCAGCCCTGAGTCCCTTGGAGGGAAATGGCCCCAGTCTGCTTCCTGTTTGAGGTAGCTCTGTTCTGGATCACTTGGTCCTCCCCTCTCCCTCCTGCCACTGCTGATTGCATTGTGGTGATCACCCCAAGGTCATCCCAAAGGCAGGCTGCCGTGTAGAGCCTGGCTTGGCACAGGAGGCCCCAGCCAATGATCTCTGATGCTGACCTCATGCTCCAGGTGCCTGAAACAAAGAAAAGAAATGCAGATAATTGGATCTTCATGACAATTTCCCAACTGGCCACTTTCCCTGTAACAAGACCAAGCCTGTCTCTTCCATATGGGTCAGCCATATCCCACCCACTCCTCCTGGGATTTGACTTGGGGAATGTGGACAGAATCACACAGTCAGTAGAAGTTGGAAAGTAGGCGGAAGTGGCCACATGGGGTAGGGACATATCAGAGTTATGATGAATCAGAAGCAGAAGCCCCAAGTTGAAGAAGAGATACAAAGCTTGGAAGCAGGAAGAGATGGAGCGGACACACAAAGGAATCCAACACTGGAGAACGGCAACGTAAAGGTGGCGTGCTAGGGGAAAGCTCCAGAATTCCTGCAGCTGGGCGCTGGAGCCACCCTGAACTTTCAAAGACCTCCCTATTCCAGTCTCCACAATCCCAGGTCCTGGTATGTCCCTGGATTTGGGGGGAGATTCTGGCTCCTTTGTAGCACCACAATAAACCCTTATTGCCTGAGTTATCCCAAGTGACTCCCTGTTCTTTATGGGCTCACAAGCCAACACACCAAAAGTAGCCACCATCAATGGGTTGGGGGCCCACACCAGCACTGGGGGGGGACAGGGGAGGTTCCAAATAGCTAGCTCCTCTCAAAGGTTCTAATACCCGCAGAGGTGGTTTAACTCCTCAAAGGTCTAAGCTCCATTTTCTTTTCTTTTCTTTTCTTTTTTTTTTGAGGCAGAGTCTCACTCTGTCACCGAGGCTGGAGTGCAATGGCAAGATCTCAGCTCACTGCAACCTCTGCCTCCCAGGTTCAAGAGAGTCTCCTGCCTCAGCCTCCCAAGTAGCTGGGACTATAGGCATGTGCTATGATGCCTGGCTATTTTTTGTATTTTTAGTAGAGATGGGGTTTCACCATGTTGGCCAGGCTGGTCTCGAACTTCTGACCTCAAGTCATCTGCCCACCTTGGCCTCCCAAAGTGTTGGGATTACAGGTGGGAGCCACTGCGCCTGGCCTCATTTTCTTTTTTTTTAAAATGTATCCCCCAATTTTGTATACATATATAAAATATATATTTTATGAATATATTTATAAATGTATCATATACAATATAAACATATAAGTATATATAATATATAAATATAATATAAACATACATAACTACTCTATGGCAATATGTAACTATAAATGCAAGCAAATATCAATCAGACCTTTCCCGTAGAACTCTTGGTGAAATAGCTGGAAATGTGAAAAAATAGATTCTGGTCCCAACCTCCTGCCAAATATTCAAAGTGGAAAATTGGGATCATAATTTGCAAAGACTTTTTCCATCCCAAATGGCAATTGATTAATCCCTCCTGGCAAACAAATTGCTGTGCCATCCCCTGTAAGTCAGATGTCCTCTGAGATTAGTGTAATTGAAACCCTCATCACTATCCAAAGATTTGAGGTGGTTCTAATAATTGGTACATGTATAATAGCTCCATCAGAATAGAAAACAAAAAAGTCATAGAAAGGGGAAAATAAATAACCCAAAACAATGAGGCTGATAAAATTCCAGTAACAAACAACTATAAGTTTCCTGGAGGTAATAGGAAAAAGGGGAAGTCCTAGATAAAAAATGATCATTGTTTAATCAAAATAAAGTAATCAAAAGAGAAGGGTTTTCTTTTGGGACTGTTTTTAAAAATTAATTCAATCATAATTTCATCATAATGATACTGTTATTTTTGCTTATATACATATATTCCAGTTCTTGTCTGCATGCAAAATAGAAATTTGTTTTTAAAAAATATTTGAATAAGCAAAACATTCACATAGTTTGAAAACAAGAAAGTATGAAAAATATATGCTGAAAAGTTTCCTCCCATCCTTGTTACACATCTCCCAGTTTCAAATCCCCTCACTCCCAGGCAGGCTTGTATCCTTCTAGAGTTTTTATGCATATTTAATAACGTCATTATCATCATCAATATCAACAACAAAATATATATTTTTATCTTCTGCTCCCTTTTTGCACCTTAATTTTTTTTTTTTTTTTGAGACGGAGTCTCACTCTGTCACCTAGGCTGGAATGCAGTGGCACAATCTCAGCTCATTGCAGCCCCTGCCTCCTGGGTTCAAGCAATTCTCCTGCCTCAGCCTCCCTAGTAATTGGGATTACAGGTGCATGCCACCATGCTGGGCTAATTTTTTGTAATTTTGGTAGAGACGGGGTTTCACCATGTTGGCCAGGCTGGTCTCGAACTCCTGACCTCAAGTGATTCGCCTGTCTTGGACTCCCAAAGTGCTGGGATTACAGGTGTGAGCCACTGTGCCTGGCCTATACCTTAATTTTTTTCACTTAACTACATATCTTTCAGGCTTTCCCATTTTAGCAGAAGGAAAGTATCAGTCCATGTGGGCAGTTAAAATACCTTAGACTGCATAATTTGTAAATATAGACATTTATTACTCACAGTTCTGGAGGCTTGGAAGTCCAAGATCAAGGCACCAGCAGATTCAGTGTCTGGTGAGCACTTATTCCTCATAAAAGGGAACTTCTAGCTGTGTCCTCACATGGTGGAAGGGGCAAACAGGCTCCTCAAGCCTCTATTATTAATATAATGGCACTAATCTCACTAATGAGGGGAGAATCCTCATGACCTAATCACCTCCGAAAGGCTCCAGCTCTTAACACTGTCACATTGAGTATTAGGTTCCAATATATGCATTTTGGGGGTCACCCATATTCACACCATAGTAGAAAGCTTCCTCATTCTCTTTTATAGCTACATGATTGTTCATTGTCTGGCTGTACCATAACTTATATAACCAGAGCCCTCCTGGTATCATTTGGGTTGCTTCCATTTTTTTGCTACTGCAAATAAAGCTGGGGTGAATAATCTTATACACATGTAATTTCATGTGTGGGCAAATGCAGCTGTGGGATAAATTCCTTGAAGCAGATTGTTGGGTCAAAGAGAAAATGCATTTGTAAATTTGATAGCTATCACCAAATAGAGATTTTAGGAACGTATACTTCCACCAGCAGAGTCAGAGGGTTGAATGCCGCATAATAGCCACACACTTAGCCAGAGCTAGTATCCTCTTACCACACTCCAGGGAGGAAGGAAAAGGCATGTGAGAAAGGAAGAGCTATTTATCCGATACCTGCTCTGTGCCAGACGCACTCTGTATACACACCCTACATACATTGTCTTCCTATAAGGCAAAGTGTGTTTCCCCGATTTTTATATGTGAGGAAACTGAGTCTCAGGTTAAGGAAATTTACACAACGTCTCAAGAAAGTAGAAGAGTCCTGAACCTATGGCTGGCTCTGAAGCCCGTGTTTGTTCCAGGGGGCCACGTCATGGTGCCAGGGAGAATATCTCAGCCGGGCTCTGGTGTTCCGCCAACGCTGTTTCTGTCAGCATTCATGAATGTGAACAGCGGACTTCATTTCCCAACTACTTTATTTTCTTGCCTGACTGGAACTTCAAGAGTCAGAGCTCTGCCCCGCTTAGAGAAATCTCTAGCAACCCCTCCCCACCTTTGTGCTCTCTCCCCAGGGCCCAGGCCCACTCCCACAAGTGACTTTTATATGTGGAGCAGTGCTCCTCCTGGTGTGGCTCTCCCAGAAGAGCATCCAGCCACAGTTCCAGGTCCCACGCTAGCTGCTCCAGCTGCTGCACCTCTTCCTCTAACTTCTCCGAGAAGACATGCAACTTCTCCTTCAGCCAGTTCCTGATGGTCTTTATCGGTTCTTCTGAGGGCTCGTTGGTCTGATATTCAAGCCCCTGGAAGGCAGACACAGAAGTGGCATCCTGTGCTTTCTCAGATAGGACCCTCCTCCCCATCCCCACTGGTTTCAAAAAGATCCCTGGGCCTTTGCACATGCTACTCATTGTGCTCGTAGTACCTGTTCCCACCTTCTGCACTTGACAAGCGACTACTTATCTTTCATGACCCATGTTGCCAATGACACCTCCTCTGGAAAGCCTTCCCAGATTGCCTCACCTCAGTACCTTGCTGGACATGTTACCTGGGGAACTGCAAGATTCTGGTAGTAGTTACATTCTCTGATCCTTTCTGACACCTCCCAACTGCTTCCTGAAACAGGCACAAACATCACCTCTGAAGAGCAAATGAGCACTAATTGAAATAAACATGGTTAGTTATCCCAGTGTGATGAAGGGTCAGTGGGAGAAGGTGGGTTATGGAGGTCCCCTTAACATACAACCATCTTTGGAACACTCCACCAAGCTTCATGTGGATTTGGTTCCTTCTTTCTCAGATTCCAGAATGCTCACCCCATATCTCTGTGCTCAAGTACAGCACCAAGATCAGCAATGCCAACAGCGTCTAGGGTGCAAGAAGAGGAAGAGGAGGAAGAACATGAGGATGAATTCTCTCCAGGTCCCCCTGCTTCCATCACAAAGGGCCAGACATGGGAATGCTTATAAGACAGTTTTTTGAGTTTAACTTTTGTTCTAGTTATCTAAGTCACACTTACTTACTACAAAACTCCCAAACTTTGAAGAAATAGATAACACTGCAACTTACTGATGTTCAATTTGCATTTTCTCTCATGTAAACATTTTTCATTTTAATTGATCTTGAAAAGGAATCAACTTCATTGTGGTATAATTTACATATAATAAAACGCACACATTTAAAATGTATAGTCTGATGAGTCTGATGAGTATTGATGAATGTCTATACCTGTAGACTATCACCCCAATCAAGATGTAGAGCATTTCCGTCATCTTAGAAAGTTTCCTTTTGCAGTCAATTCCATCCTCACTCCTGCCCTGCCTGGAGAGAACCATTAATCTGTTTTCTGTCACTGTGAGTAGTTTTGCCTGTTCCATAACCTTGTATAAGTGGAATTACACAGTGTGTGTGCTTTTGCATTTAGTTTCTTTTGCTTAAGACAATGTTTTCGAAATGCCTCTATTTTTTTGTGCTCAATTTTATTGATGAGTATATTGTGTATTTTATTGATGAGTATTTATTTTATATGAACATAGAATATTGCACAATCAGTCTCTTTACCTGTTGATGGACTTTTGGCTTGTTTCCAGTTTGGGGCTATTATGAATAAAAGTGCTATGAACACTCATATACAATTCCTTATGTGAACATATGTTCACATTTCTCTTGGGTTAATATTCAGAAATGCAAATGCTGGGTTATATGGTAAATGTATGTTTAATTTTATAAGAAACCACCAATGACTTTTCTTTACCCACTGAGCAACTATATGTGTCCCCATTTTTGTGGTAAATTGCATTAATTGTGTTTTAAATATTGAGCCAAATGAGCTTCTTCAGTAAACTCTAGTTGTTCATGATGCATTAGCTAGCCTTTTTATATATCATGTGATTTGATAAGCTACTATTTTGTTGAGATTTCTTACCTCTATATTCAGAAGAGATTGGTTTAAAATTGTTTCTAGGCCAGGCGCGGTGGCGCACGCCTGTAATCCTAACACTTTGGGAGGCCGTGGTGATCACCTGAGGTCAAGAGTTCGAAACCAGCCTGGCCAACATGGCGAAACCCCGTCTCTACTAAAAATGCAAAAATTAGCTGGCCATGGTGGCCGGTGCCTGTAATTCCAGCTACTCGGGAGGCTGAGGCAGGAGCATCGCTTGAGCCTGGGAGGCGGAGGTTGCAGTGAGCCAAGATTGCGCCACTGCACTCCAGTCTGGGTGACAGAGCAAGAATCTGTCTCAAAAAAAATTTTTTTTTCTACACGTTTGTCAAGTTTTGGTATCAAGATTTTGTTGCCCCCTTAAAATGAGTTGGTAAGAACTCCCTCCTCCTCTATTTTATGAAATAATTTGTGTAAGATTGGTATTATTTTCATCTCAAAGGATTGATAAAATTTATTGGTGAAAACTTTTGGGCCTGTAGTTATTAAGACTATTTCTTCTTGAGTCAATTTTGTAAGTTGTACTGCCAAGGAAGATTTGTCCATTTCACCTAAGTTAAATGTATTGGCATCAAATTGTTCCTAATATTACCTTAATATTCTTTTAATGCCTGTAAGAGTCATGATAATAATCCTCTTTTATTCTTTTTAAAAAATATATATAAAGAAAAGAGGTCAAGAGAGGAAACAAGAGACCTCTTTCATTCTTGATATTGGTAACTTGTGTTTTCTTTCTATGTATGTTTTTTGTTGAGTCTATTTAGAAGTTTTCCAATTCTTAATTTAATTTTACCAATTAAAAATGGTTATTAATTTTATTGTTTGTCTGCTTTACATTTCATTAATTTCTGATTTTGTCTTTATTATTTATTTCTTTATACTATTGAGTTTAATTCTTCTTTTTCTGCTAATGTGGAAATTTTGACCATGGCTTTTAAAGTTTTCTTGTTTTTCAAATATGTGTGTGTGTGTGTGTGTGTGTGTTTGTGTGTGTGTGCATATTGACTGACATTGAATTTTCCCCAAACTCACTAGATGTTGGCTGAGTCAGATCTAGTTTGCCTTAAAGAAAGAATAAATTTCTTACACACCCAAGTATGTGAAGTGACATTTAGACCCAGTACTAAACAAGGAAGATGAAAGATGTGTCTAACTTGCCTCTTCCCCAGATAATTTTCTTTATAATACTAGCAACTACATTACTATTAACTTAAAAAAAAAATGTTACATAGCAACAACTGGTTGAGTTTCACAGACACAATGATAAGAGAAAGAAGTCAGACACAAAGGTATACATGGTATGATTCCATTTACATGAAATTCAAGAACATAGAAAACTCAGCTATGATGACACAAATCAGAATCACTGCTATGAAGGGTGGGATGCCAGGTGGGCGGAGCCCCAAAAGAGCCTCCCTCAGTGCTAGAAATGTTCCATAGTTTGATCTGTGTGTACACCCAATGCAAAATCATCACACTGTACATGTAATATTAGGGTCCTTTTTCTTTTCTTAACAATATTCTTTAGGAATCTTTTCATGGAAGACACACACTAATTGTCACAATCTTTAAAATGGCTGATGAGTTTTCGTGGCCTGGAAGCTCTTCTATGTGTCTAACCAGTCCTCTATCAATGTATTTTACAGGTTGATTTCTTCCCCGGCATTCTTGCTGCTGGTTTCCATACTGTGCTGCATGGAGGCAAAGGGAGGAACATGGACTAGGATTGAGTTTGAGTCCTTTTCCTTGTGTCGTCTTGGGGCCTGAGCCAAATAATTTCTCTGAGCCTCAGTTTCTTCATCTGTAAAATGGATTTTGAAATACACTGCAAAGTCTTTCAAAAAAGAAGAAGTGGCTCACACCTGTAATCCCAGCACTTTGGGAGGCGGAGGCGGGTGGATCATGAGGTCAGGAGTTCGAGACCAGCCTGGCCAATATGGCGAAACCCTGTCTCTACTAAAAATACAAAAATTAACTGGGTGTGGTGGCGGGCGCCTGTAGTCCCAGCTGCTCGGGAGGCTGAGGCAGTAGAATCACTTGAACCCAGGAGGAGGAGGTTGCAGTGAGCCAAGATCGCACTGTTGTACTCCAGCCTGGTGACAGAGCGAGGCTCCGTCTCAGAAAAAAAAAAAAAAAAAAAAAAAAAAAAAAAAGGAAACAATGGGACTCTGGTAGAATCAAGGTGGGAAATGCTGTGGTAAACAAAGCTATGCAGACTTCTTTGTTGCAGGACTTCTCAGAGCCTTCCTTACGTGAATGAGCAGCGTCAGTCTTCAGGAGGGGATGCGGGTATGCAGCCTTCCCCAAGCCACAGAATTCTGTAAAGAATGTTTCTAAAAGGAGCATTCCTGGGGTCTGGTGTCTATGGAACACTTTTTAGGAAAAGCCGCAGCATGATGGGTGCCCATGAAGGCCCCTGTTATACGCTACAAGGTCCAGCATATAGAAGGCGCTCGGTGCATGTATAGTAAATTAATGAGTGAACAAGTCTTTTGAAAACAGAGACAGCAGAGCTCATTCATTCATTGCTCTGCTTAAAACCCGTCAACAGCTTCTTCTTATCCTCAGAATAAACCCTTGCTCAGGGTTCTCATAGCAGATGAACCTGGTTTCAGGGAGTTCTAAAATCAGATGGATGTGTTTTCAAATCCTGATATGTCCCAGTTGTACGGCCCTTTTGCCTTTCTGGGCCTCAGATTACCCTCTGTGAACGAGGTTGATAGCATCTAAGAGATGGGGTGTGGATGCACCAGGCTGTGTGCAGCAAGCATTAATGTTTTCCATTTTGACGAAATCCCACATGAGTTTTGAATTTCAGCCCTGAGAATGAATCCTCCAGGAGCGCTCCAATTCAGGAGTATTATCAGTTCATTCGTTCATTCAGCATCTACTTGGCACCAAGCACCATGCTAGGCACTAGGGATTCAGCAGGGAACTAAACAAAAAGCCCAGTCCTCCTGGAACATACCTTCTGCTGGCAGTGCTGAGAATTTAATAAGACAGTGTCAGTGATGGCCCCGGCAAGAAGTGCCTAGGCCCCTAAACTGTGCTCCATCAGAGTGGGATCCAGGGACGGTTGGGTCCAAGATTCATTCCGGGCTTTGAGGGACTTCTAGTCTGTCTGGAGTGGCAAAAGGAGCCCAGATGGGAGGAAAGCAGCATGTACCTGGCCTGGCCTCACCTGCTTCTCGTCATCACAGTGGCTGCCCCTTCTCCGTTCAAGCAGCTGGGCTGCCACCTGCTCTGCTGCCACCTGCCTTCTGCTGTCCACTTGCTGGGTTGCCATGGCCTCAGATCTGGCTGCCTGGGTGGACCACACTCAACAGACAGAAGGGCACCCTTCCCCTCCCCCACCTGTGGTCACCAGGCATCCTGCAAACATTGAGTTCTGATGTCACAGAAGGTAGGGACAGCAAGGTTCCCACCTTTCCACCACCCTGATTTTTAGTCCCTTCCCTCATTTTTATTTTTCACATGAGTGTAGAAAACAAAGATCAGGAAGAAATGCATCAAAAGATTATGTTTCAGGATGATGATTTTTCTGATTATTTTCTTCTATATTTGCAAGTTTTTAATAAAAATGCTAATTCTAAAATATAAAAACAATAGTTTGGGTGCAGTGGCTCACACCTGTAATCCCTAGCACTTTGGGAGGCTGAGGCTGGAGGATTGCTTGAGTCCAGAAGTTTGAGACTAGCCTGGGCAACATGGTGAGACCATGTCTCTATTTTTAAAAAATTACAAAAAAAAAAAAAACAATAAAAGCTATTTTTAATTGAAAAATGTATGGAGATAATTGTGGATTCACATGCAGTTGTAAGAAACAATACAGAGAGATCCTGTGTACCCTCTATGAATTTTTCCCCCAGTGGTACAGTAATATCCTGCCTCACTGCAGTAGGAGATCACAGCCTGGATGTGGACATTGATACACTCTACCAATCTTACGCAGACTTCCCCAGTGTTACTTGTTCTCATTTGTGTGTGTGTGTGTGTGTGTTTAATTCTAAACAATTTTGTGTAGGTTTGCTTACTTAGGACAATAGTCAAGACACAGAAGAGTTTCAAAACTACAAGGGGCTTTGTGCTGCTTCGTGATGGCTGCTGCCTCCCGACCCCACCCACACTGTCCTTAACTCCTGGAAATCACTCATCTGCTCTCTCTTTCTAAAATTTGTTTATTCCAAATGCTACATAAATGGAATGAAACAGTATTTAACCTTTGGGGATTGGCTTTAAAAAAAAACATAGTATAATTCCCTGGAAATTCATCCAATTTGTTGCATGTATCAGTAGTTCATTCTTTTTGACTGCTGTGTAGTATTTTGTGATATGTGTATGCCATAATGAAGGACACGTTCCAAACCTGTTCAAAACCCAGCTGCCTCCAGTTTTTGACTCTTGCGAGTAAAGGTGATATGAACATGCTTGTACATGTTTTTGGGTAAACGTAAGTTTCATTTGTCTGGGATAAATGCCTGAGAGTGCAGTTGCTGGGCCATAGCATCATGGCATGATAGTTTTATAAGAAATTGTCAAACTGTTTTCCAGAATGGCTGTGCCATTGTACATTCTCATTAACAGTGTATGAGTGATTTGGTTTCTCCTCATCCCCACCAATATCTGTTTACACTATTTGTTCTTTTTTTTTTTGAGACAGAGTCTCACTCTGTCGCCCAAGCTGGAGTGCAGTGGCACGATCTCGGCTCACTGCAAGCTCTGCCTCCCGGGTTCACGCCATCCTCCTGCCTCTGCCTCCCGAGTATCTGGGACTACAGGCACCCGCCACCACACCCGGCTAATTTTTTGTATTTTTAGTAGAGATGGGATTTCACCGTGTTAGCCAGGATGGTCTTGATCTCCTGACCTTGTGATCCGCTTGCCTCGGCCTCCCAAAGTGCTGGGATTACAGGCGTGAGCCACTGCACCCGGCTGTTTTCACTATTTTTTAATTTAACCATTTTGACAGGTGTTTAGTAACATCTCATTGTGGTTTTAATGTGTATTTCCCTGATAGCTAATGATGTTTAACATCTTTTCTTTTTTTTAAATTTTATTAAGCAATTTTTTATTATTTTGCTGGAGACAGTGTCTTGCTATGTTTCCCAGGCTGGTCTTGAACTTCTGGGCTCAAGCAATCCTCCCACCTCGGGCTCCCAAAGTGCTGCGATTACCGGTGTGAGCCACCATGCCCTGCCCGAACGTCTTTTCATATTAGCTTATTTGCCATCTGCACCCCTTCCTCAGTGGAACATTTGTTCCTGTCTTTTGCCCATTTACTAATTGGATTGGTTTTGCTACAGTTGAGTTTTGAGACAGTTCTTTGCTCATTTTAGATACTAGTCCTTCTTAGGATATATGGTTTGCAAATTATTTTCTCCCAGTCTGTGGCTTATCTTTTCAACTTCATCACATGGACTTTTGCAGATAAAATGTTTTATGTTTTGATCCAGTCTATCACTTTTTCTTTTATGAATTGTGCTCTTTCATGGCAAGTCTAAGAACTCTTCACCTAGCCCTAGGTTCCGAAGATTTTCTCCTATTTTTGTTTTTTTGGTTGTATAGCTTTACGCTTCACATTTCAGCCCATGATTCATTTGGAATCAATTTTTGTATAAAGTGTGGAGTTTAAGGTTAATTTTTTTGCTTATGGATGTCCAGTTGCTCCAGGACCATTTGTTCTGTATTCTGTTTCATTGATCTATGTATCTGTCCCTGCATCAATACCACACTGTCTTGACTGCTGTAGCTTTACGGTGAGCCTTAATAGCAAGTAGAGTGATTTTTCCCACTTTGTTTTTCTTTGTCAAGATTGTTTCAGCTCTCACAGGGCTTATGCCTTTCCATATAAACTTCATAACAAAATACTTTGCCAGCTGGGATTGTGATAGGAATTGCATCACACCTATGAATCACTTTGGGGAGAATTATCATATTTACTATGTGGTGTCTTCTATCCCAGGAACACAGTATGCTTCTTCATTTATTTAGGTCTTCCGTTTCATTTGTTTTTTAACCAGCACTTTGTAATTTTTGGCATATAGCTTTTGTACATGTTTTGTTAGGTATATACCTAAATATTTCATATTCTTTGGACTTTCCTTATACTTTAAAAGCCCCCATGTGCCAAACAAATTTCATGTGTTAAGAAATCATCAATGTTCCACATTTTGTGAATTAACTTTACCAAAGTTCCACATACAGAGCTCTGACTGGCACCCAGATAACTTACATACGGAGGCCGGCTATACACTAGGCATTTCACTAGATTACTTTACTACAGCTTCTCTAGGCTATTAATTCTGTGGGTAGTGGGGAATTAAATCTGTCTTACTAAACATTGCATTTCTGATGCCCCTTACGCAGCCCGTTACATAGTAAATGTTCAGTAAAAATACCTGTTGAAAGGATGAATAATGAACGGTCTCAAACTGCAGGCTCTGAGAGGCCAGGAACTTTGTCTGGTGAATACATTTTTGTATTCACAGTACTTGGCTCAGTAAATATTTGCCGAATGAGTAAAGCAGGTGGTATGATTTTTACGTTTTGAAGAAGCCGAGGTCCGGGGTGGCTAGGGAAGGGTATCGGAATTAGTGGGTGTCATGAACGAAGTACCTACTGTGCGCCTGACCCAGGGTAAGTCCCTTCCACACGTTATTTCATCTAATTCTCCTAACTGCCCGGCAAGGCCGGCACTGTTAGTTTCTGTTGGGAACGTTACTCTCCTTACCCAGTGGCACATACCCTGCCTTAGTATGGGTCTATTTAACTCCAACGTCTTCTCGTTTACCACAAGGAGTTAATGTAGTTTCAGCTAAAAACAAAGAAAGTGGCCATTCTTGTCTTTTGTGGCTTCACTGTCCGTAAGTAGATGTGAGATTTCCATTAGACTTTTTGAATATCCAACATAACCATCTTCCCTCCTGTCCTTCTGTGTCCAGAGTTTGTTCCTTTAGTGGCTTCACCGTCTCGCTGACTTCAAGAATGAAGCTGCAAACCCTCACGGTGAGTGTTACAGCTCTTGAAGGTGGTGGACCGAAAGAGTGAGCAGCAGCAAGATTTACTGTGAAGAGCGAAACAACAAAGCTTCCACAACCTAGAAAGGTACCTAAGCAGGTTGCCACTGCTGGCTGCAGAGGCCAGCTTTTATTCCCTTATTTGTCCCCGCCCACATCCTGCTGATTGGTCCATTTTACAGAGTGCTGATTGGGCCATTTACATCTTTTAACTAGACACAGAGCACTGACTGTGCATTTTTTACAGAGTGCTGATTGGTGCATTTACAATCCTTTAGCTAGACACAGAGTGCTGATTGGTGCTTTTACAATCCTCTAGCTAGACAGAAAATTTCTGGAAGTCCCCACTCGACCCAGGGAGTCCAGCTGGCCTCACCTCTCACTTCCAACTCCATGACTATCCCAGATTGGTGCGTGTGGCATTTCATGCAATCTCCACTCCTTTTTGCCTTTTCTGCATATCTTTATTATTATTACTAAAGCAGCTACGTTGTCTGGGATAAATATCCAGGGTTCGTCGTCTTATACCAGGTAAGTTTAGGACACGGACACACAAAATAGGCAAAAAGGGAGAAAGAAAAACAGCTCTAGAGACGGGGGGGGGCACTTCTCAGAGGAAAAGACCAGCCGGTGGTGGATGCACCAGAATTTTACAGTTAGGCTTGCGGAGGTGGTGTCTGATTTACATGGGGCTCACAGATTGGTTCCATGAGGTATGACAGTTACATAGCTGGGGAAGGCTAGCTGCCCCACCCTAATCTTATTATGCAAATGAACTTTCCCCTTAGCCGGGGCTGTCTTGTCTGCTCCTTAGTATACATGTGGCAGACAGAGAGAAGGGAAGACGGAGCCGCCATCTTGAACATGATTGGCACAACTGCAGCATCTATGTCTGCAGCTCGATTTTACAGGCTGTTCTTTGTCAGAAAGGAAAATAATTGGGGGCTGCTTTTCATTAAAAGGAAAACCTTACCGAGGACTTCTGCACCCTCACTATCTGACTAATTAGTTTCTTCTTAACTCCTGTATCATTACCATGTGCAACTAAGATATTTTGAGAGTTTTCTAAGTACTGGGCATTGTGCAAAGTGCTTTACATGCATTGGTTCACCATATAAATATTACAACTCTAGGTAGTAAATCATATTTTTGTCTCCATTTTACAGATGGGGAGACTGAAGCTTAGACTGAACACTTTTCCAAAGTTACTCAGCTGGTAAGAGGCAGGGCTGAGATTTGGACTCTACCATTCTTGTGACAGCACCCTGGCTCTTGGTGGCCGTTGGATACTGCTCCTTCCCTGGGAAGATTCAAGACCAGAGAAAGAAAGAGTCCAACCCAAGACAGTCCAAGGAAAGGTACCGAACTCAAGTCTCTTGCCTCCCACTTGAGGGCCCTCCAAAGGCCATTTGCATCATCTTGATGGTCTTGCAGGCACCCATGCAGTTGCTGGCTCTTGGGCTTTATCTGGTGGACACATTTGAAATGTCAAATGCAGGTACGTAAGGACTGCTCATTAAGCTAATTATGGCACATCAAAAGTAATGAATTATGGTCACAAAAAGTAATGAATTACAGTAAAAAAAATTACAGTCACACACAAAAAAAGTAATGAATTACAGTCACATTTTTCTAGGAAACATAATAAATTCTTCCAGGAAACTCCTTCGGAAGGCAGAGCTTCCAGGATTTGGTCTCAGGGCAGGGAGGAGAGGGAGGAAGAGCTTCCCCACCTGGCCCTCAGAGAACTGGCCCAGTAGCTGGTGTGGGCGGGGGACTGGCAGAGGGTCTAGTACAGCACTGGGTGCTTCACACTTCCTAGTAAAGGAAGAGGGAGAGGATGAGAAAGGAGAGAGAGGCCTTTGAAGGAGGGAATTAGGGAGCAAGTCAATGTGAGAATGAGTTGGCGGGGGCAGGGAATGAATGGAAATGTGTGAATGAATAAAGATTTCCAGGGGAATAACTAATCAGTCTTGAAAAATTACACTCTGCCAAGGGAGAAATCTGCCCCAAACCTAATAAGTGGAGACCAAGCAGTGCTTTGTGCTTGAGTCCTGTCTCCCAAACACACCTGGGTTCAAATCCTGGTATCATTGTAACATTCACTTGGGAAAGTGACATCATGTCTCTAAGTCTCAGTTATCTGAAAAGTGAGGCCAATAATAATAATATGTGTCTTACGGGGTTACTGGGAGCGCTAAACGAGATGAACTAACTGGATAGTGCCTGGCTCAAACTGGAACCTCAGGTAGTTTCTCTCTCTTCCCCCCTTCTCCCTCTCTCTCTCCTTCTTTTCCTCCCTCCCTCCCTCTCTCCTTCCTCTCCTCTCTCCCTCTCTCCCTGCCTTCCTCGCTTCATTCCCACTCCTGCCTCCTTTTCTCCTCCTCACTTCTCCAAGTATTTGATGGGCTGCCCCCATGCCAATTCAATTTAATTCTCCCAGTAATGTAAGATTGCAAAGAGTTTATATGAAAAGTCTATCCAGAAAACTGATAGAGATGACATAATTGGCAAGCCTGTACAGGAGTGGGTGGGGACTATGGAAGGAAGAGGACTGGATGGCTTCATAAAGGAGGAGGTGTTTTTGGCTAGCTGGAGGGGAGAAGAAAGGATGTCTGGGGAGACTGAGAATTATGGGAAAAGACCTCACAACCTGGGCCTGAAACCAGAACCCAGTCCTAGCCTGGGTCTGGTGCCTGCCTTTAGTCTACAGAATAAAGACTTGTATTTATAACAAACATTGCAAACTCAGATGCATACAGGTACTGAACAGTTAATAAAATGAGAGAAGTAGTCTGGGTGTGAAACGAAAGGGCATGGTGGGGACCATGGCAAAATCATAACACGTGTGTCCAGAAAGGCCAGCCAATTGTTGCATGAGAATGTGGGGTTCAGTGTGGTGAGAACTTCTGATTTATTTTCAAGAGAAGTAAGAAATTCAGTCTTTTGTATGAAACCTCCTGGCTTGTAAATGTTGGCAACAAATTCAACTTAGAAAAAAATTCACTTTGTGAGCCCAACGTACGCCATCAATTTGTGAACTCTCTTATTGTGTGTCTGCTGTGCTCAAACGAGGCTTGTCCCTAATCCTCGAAACAGCCCTGCTCTGTGGAGCTTGCTACCTGCTATGGCGAGCCACAGAAGCCCCTATGGCTAACTAAAATTGGAAACGGCCAGTCTTGGAGAGGAGAGAGGGACCTCCTGAATTTGATGGGAAGGCTGAAACTCCAGGGAGAAGAATAGCCGTTGGGACCATGGGCAGGGGCATACCACAGGCAGACACTGAACCAGAAAGGAATACTGGGGTAAATGTATACCCTGCGTGGTGGGATTCCAATGCCATGAAAGAATTCTAAATTCTCTTGGTGTCTGTGTTAGTTACTATGGCTTCTATAATGAATTATTACAAACTGGATGGTTTGAAACGACAGAAATTAATTTTTTGTAGTTCTGGAAACCATAAGTCTAAAGTCAGTAGCACTGGGCTGAACTCTCAAAGCATGCATCTGGCTGTGCTCCCTCAGGGGGAACCCATTCTTCAACTCTTCCAGCATCTGTGGCTGCCAGCATTCCTTAGCTTGTGGCTACAGCACTCCCATCTCTGCCTCCATGGTTACATTGCCTTATCCTCTTCTCTCTGTCTCTATCTGTGTGTGTGTGTGTGTGTGTGTGTGTGTGTGTGTGTGTGTGTGTGAAATTTTCCCATCTCCCTTTTATAAGGATTCATAGGATCATGCTGGGGCCCTTTGGATAATCCAGGAAAATCTCATCTTTTTTTTTTTTTTGAGATGGAGTCTCGCTCTGTCACCCAGGCTGGAGTGCAATGGCATGATCTCAGCTCACTTCAACCTCTGCCTCCCGGGTTCAAGCAATTCTCCTGCCTCAGCCTCCCAAGTAGCTGGGATTACAGGCACTTGCCATCATGCTTGGCAAATTTTTGTATTTTTGTAGACAGGGTTTCACCGTGTTGGCCAGGCTGGTCTTGAACTCCCGACCTTGGGTGATCCGCCCGCCTCGGCCTCCCGAAGTGCTAGGATTACAGGCATGAGCCACTGTGCCCAGCCAAATCTCCTTGTCTTAAAACCCTGCATTTGATGACATCTGCAAAGTCCTATTTTGCAATATGAGGTAATATTCACAGGTTCAAGGGATTAGGATGTGAGTATCTCTTGGGGGCTTTTCTCAGCCCACTACTGTGTCTTTGGGATGCTCCCTGCAGATTCAAAGCTCTGGGCAAGGACAGCTGCTAGGCTGAGGTAGGGAGGAGGCTGGAGGCTTCTGCTGCTCTTGAAGTGGGAGACAAGGCTGTGTCACCCCCAAGACTCATCTGATGGGTGATTACCTCCAGGAAAGGAGGGATGGAGCAGCTGAGTGTTGCCGCTCTCCCCTCCTCCATTCTGCACTGAGATGGAGACCTAGTTCTGAGAGGCTGGGGGATGTCCGAGCTCTCGGCCCCAGGAGGGCAGGTCTATCTCCCTCTCACAGTCCGTGGCACTCCAGAACTTAGCGCAGCACCTGCCACTGAGTAGAAGCTCAGTGTTTGTTCACAGCCTGCTGCCTCCAGGTTCTGTTCTCTCTCACTGTGGCAAGCAGAGGCTGGGAGGCCAGGCCAGCTGAGGGGCAAATGTACACATGAACACACAGCCTTGGCATAGGCTTGCCTGCTAGGGCCACAGGCCACACCAAAAATACCCTTCTGCATGCCCCGTAACCAGAGGGCTAAAGAACTGCGAACAGTGGACCAAAAAGGAAAAAAAAACAGGATTAATTTATGAGGCGTTCGGCTGCCTGGATGGCTCATTGCATACCCGCTCTGGCGATGCTGCTCTGTAATGTGCTTCTAGACTTACTGTACTTCGACATCCAGGGGCCCTTTTGTAACATGCCAAGTATTCCGCTGTTATTGTTCTAGGCACCTCCTGTTGGTCATTGGGCTAATTTATTACAGTCGGAATTTCAGGACCAGACACAACTCTTATTACTCACTGCTTCGGAGAGGGAATAAAAGAGCAATTGATATTTGGAAAAATGAAAAATATGTCCAGAATACTTTGGGCTCTGAGGCCAAGAAGGAAAAAAAAAAAAAGGAGGGGGAAGCTGGAGGGAAAAATAAGGCAGGCTCACCCCGTCATGCACTCTGTCGTGGCCTGTCTTGGAGACATGGAGTCTAGAATGTCTGCAGACAAATGAATCAACGGCAGGGCTCTGAGAATTCCTCAGGCACCTGGGCCCTTCCGCCCATGACTTCAGCTGCCACCTGCAGGAGCAGGACTGGAAAAGGTTGGAGTGTGAAGCGCCCCTCAATTAGTTGAGTGTGTTAAATTGGGTCTTGGGTTGGAGGGTGAGGGAGAAACCCCAGTGGGGTTGTTGAATTCCTCAGTTCGCTTGCTCCCGAATCCAAGACTCTTATGGAAAATTAACGTAGGAATAGAATTTTGAGACGTGACAGCCCAGATGCTTGATTTCAGGACTGATAGAATCTGAGGAGTAAGCATGCTCTGTACATGGGCATAGAGATGATGATGATGTGCTCCTGAGACCCTATCAGTGGTCTTCTGGTGGCTTGAAGGCAAGCATCTCCCATGCCATTCGAGACCCTTTGCCTGGTGCATGTGGGTGTGAAATGTGTGACTTCGCTGTTCCTGGAAGTCCTGGTTGAACGCGGGGTTTTTGGCAGACAGAATGGCTTCTGCAGATGCAGGAAAGTGGGGGATGGGTTTAGCTCTGCCCTGGCCAACAAAAACTGCCAAGAGTGACGATGTACGTGAAAGTGAAGGGGTGGTTACATGTGCCTCGGGCGCGTTGTGTTGTGGTCTGGGGCTTGGGCTGCAGAGCCTGGCATCCTGAGGACAAATCTCACCCCACCCCAACCCCCCCTCCCCCGCTCACTGTGAGACCGTGGGCTGCACGCTGTACCTTGAGAGGTCTCTGTTCTTCCATCTGTAAGGTAGGGATAAAAATACCTGCCTTAGGCCAGGCACGGTGGCTCACGCCTGTAATCCCAGCACTTTGGGAGGCCAAGGCGGGTGGATCACCTGAGGTCAGGAGTTCAAGACCAGCCTGGCCAACATGGCGAAACCCCGTATCTACTAAAAATACAAAATTAGCCGGGCATGGTGGCTCATGCCTATAATCCCAGCTACTTGGGAGGCTGAGGCAGGAGAATCGCTTGAACCCGGGAGGTGGAGGTTTCAGTGAGTTGAGATCACACATTGCACTCCAGCCTGGGCAACAAGAGTGAAACTTCGTCTCAAAAAACAAAACAAAACAAAATGAAATACGTGCCTTATAGGGTTGTCGTAAGGGAAAAAAAGATACTGTGTAAAATTCTGACGCATGGCGATGATAACGTGGGCTTCCTTTTCTTGCACATTCATTTACTGTTAAGCACTGAATTAAGCACTTTGCATTCATTCCCTTATAGAATCCTCGCAGCAACTCCATGAGATAGAAACTAAAACCATGTCTGCTTTACAGATAGAAAACTGAGGCTAAGGGACATTGGGGGCCTTACCCACAACTCCAGGGCCTGAGTTCTTAACATCTACTGCCTCCCCTGGAGATCAGGGTCTTCAGGGGAGGCACTTACGGTAAGTCAAACTGGAGGAGACAGACTCAGGCAAAGTCCACCACTGCCTCCTCTTCCTGTGGCGATGGGGAGGACCACTGTGTTTTCATTTGAGCACAAGCTAGAGTGGTTGCAGGACTAACAAGATCCTTTCACACGGTAGAGTTACCCTCAGAGGGGCAAGGTCTGCTCCAGGAGACACGTGACAGCAGGGCCCGAAGGAGGGGGAGGTGGGGGTTGGGGGGAATGCTCAGTTCTTGGTGCTGGAGTGTGAGGCAGCGCCCTCCTGGTCTATTCCAGATGTTTCTTTCTCTCTCCAATTGTGTACATTTGAATTTGAGGAAAGAAGGTGGCCAAGGGCCCACGGGATGGGAAGACCCTGTTAGAGGGGCGGCGGGCACATGGTGCTCCCAGCAGATCTAGTGAGGGCTCAGTGTCTATTTGTCAAATGAACGTGGTGGAGGGCGAGCATCTGGAGTTGGTAACTAGCAGTCTAAGGTTGAAATGGCTTCAAGACAGGATCAAAACATCCGTGTATGGCATGTTTCTGGGCTGAGAATCCTGCCTCTGTTCTGACTTCATTCTCTGACCACCAGAGGCCCGGCATCCCTTTCCCCAGGGGTCTGAAGACAGCTGGGGTCTCCTGAGGGGCCTCCTGGGTCTGCACTTGGGAGACCTGTGGGTCAAAATTTCAGGCCACGTTAATAAAAACAGAGTGGGCCTGTAGACACGGCCCAAGACAAGGCTCCCACAGACCTTGAGCCAGTTTGTTTTTGTCTTAAGCTGTTTTGAGTTTCTGGCAGTTGGGAATAGAGGGATTCTTGACACAATAGCTGCATGTCAGGTTGTGCTTTTATAAGGAACACCATGAAACTCTTCTGCATCCAAGACACTTCCTGGGATTTGTGGGCGAGCCTTGAGACCAAGTTCAAAGGAGCCTGTGAAGGAATTGGAGGGTGGGGTGGGGTGGGGCAGGGCAGGGTAGGGACAGTGTGCCATGGGCCTACGCAAGATAAACCCGCAAGGAACTTCAAACCCACAAGGGGCGTGGGACTGCTGAAATCCAGGATCCCCTCGGCCATCCGAGGTGCAAGGCCCATGGGGATTGGGGGAGAGGTCCGACGGTGAGCTGTGCAGCCGAGCAGACCTGGGTTCCCATATTGTTTCTGCTAACTGCCTGTGTAACCCTGCGTGGGCTCCTTCCTGTCTCTCTGCTGGCTCAGTTTCCTCATCTGTAGAACAGGAACAACATTACTGTCTATTTCACAGGCCATTATGTCAAGGTGGAGCAAGCATGGGATCTCTGAATGGGATGGGCCAGGGTGGAGAGTGACAGAGCTGCATGCCATCGATCCCTGCTCTCCATGCCAACAGCAATCGCAACAACCAGGTGTTAGGACAGTAACAGCTAATGTCACCAAAATCTTGATTGTGTTGGATCTAACAAGTTTGATCTCACCCAATCCTTACAAATGCCTTCTGAATAGATGCCATTTTTTTTCTCTTTGTCAGACAAGAAATCAGACACAAAGCCCATAGCCACCAAACCACACACTGCCTCCTGCGAAGTGCACACACAAGAAATGCACAAATGGCGTATGTAAATTCTACTCACCATTCAAGGCCTGGCATGAGCCCCACCTCCTTGGTGTAGTCCTCCAACCACAGGGATGTCTCTTTATCCATCTGGACTGCAGACAGATGTTTAATTTTTTAAAATAAGTTGTCTTAAAAATTAGGAGCTTTCTCATACAATCTAGATTTCACGGCTTTTCTTGAAGAATGAGCGATCTGGCCACAATGACCTATGTTCCTGCATGCCAACACTTGCCTGAAGCTGGGCAGCCTAGCTTCCTTTAGATGGGGCCTGGCTGCTCTTGCTGGCTACTGGACACTATGCCTGCCTGGTCTTGAGGGCATCTGGCTTGAGTCTTACCCTCTATTTGGTTGTCTCATCACAATGCCTTGAATCATTGGCAAACATTTTCTGTGCATTTTTCAGTCTGCCCCGTGAGGGCACCAGCTCCCATGTGAGGGAAAAGCCTTCCACATCTTCAGAATCCCTCCTGTCTGGGGCTGTGTGGGCCCCAGGGCGCATGCCCTGTAATTATCTGTTAATTGGATTAACCAAAAGCAAGCAGCCCTAGACAGGGGGCTCAGAAGGGATTCAGTGACCTCAGAGGAAGGGATTCAGTGACCTCAAAGGTCGTGCATCTCCAGTGCTCTACCATGGTGGACGTAAGACTGGTGTTTATCCAGCCCTTGCTGTGCAGCAGTCATGGTGGAAGGAATCATGGGAGTATCATCTCATTGAGCCCCCACCACCTCCCTGAGACTGAGGTCAATGTCCGCATTCTACAGATGAGGAAAGTCGGACTCAAGAGAACCGAAGAGACCCGCCTAAGGTCAGAACCAGCTTGCTGGCAGGAGAGTCAGGATTCGAACCCAGGTCTGTTGACTCCCACATCTGACTCTTTCCACATACTCCCTGGGCCAGCTCTCCACGCCAGGCCCCTCTCTGCCAAAGAGAAGACCTTTGCGATGTTTTGTGTCCTTGAAGGCAAACCAAAAGAATTCCCTACAACTCGCTGCTGGCATTTCAAGTATTGGTTTATGGGTTTCTTGGTGAGAATGCATCCAGGGGCCTATCACCCTTAGTGAAATAGATACTTTTCCAATCAAAGAGTCAAACCAGAACTTGGCTTCTGAGAAAACCACTTGTCTGGAATGCTTGCCAGCGACCAGACGGTCCCACAGTTCAGATTTTTAAAACTGTCTCAAATGTATGGAGAGACCTTTAGGGTGGAGGGTGGGAAAGGCACATACCTTGCTGTGGAAATACATAGACGTTCAAGTCGTCAGGACTCCTTGGCTGGCCAAGGTCAAGTCAGCCCTTTTGTGGCGTTCTCAGGAGTCTCGCTGCCTCGCTGAACCCAAAACGAGCTTTTATTTTATGAGACTTTTCTTTCATGAAACAAAAACAGTAATTAAAGAGAAAAACCTTCTATAAACAAGTGTCTATAGTTCTAGTTTGCTTAACTTTTTCCAACCTTATGAAAAATTGGAACTGAAATCGCCTTCTGAAAGAAGGTTCGGGAAGTATTTTCTTTCAGGTTCATTCAAAATAGTCACACCTCCTTCTCCACCCCTTCCCGAATGCTGGTGTTTCCAATGGTCTTCACCATATCCTGAAACTAATAAAGTGGTGTGTTTTCATTATCTCTCACCACAATAATAAAAATATGCAAATGACTCTGAATATAGTTTGTGACCTAAACCCTCACCCCACATCTGGATGGAATCTGAGACCCTAAATGGTTCAACCATTTGGACTGAAGAGGTTGGTTAATTCCATCCAAGAAGCAGTCATAGGCTGGTTAGGGACTGGTTAATTCATTCCAAACGGTCAACTGAGGATGGTGAGCAGACATAACCTGTGGTTCAGAAAGGTTTCCCTTAACCCTTCCTGAATTTTGATCTGAGGTTTATACAAACAGAAATTATGTGTGGGGTGGAGTGCAGCCAGGAAGTCTCTGAGAAAACTCCATCTTACACATTTTCTTTGAGACGGCCAGACATAAATCTTTGAGGATATCCGTCTTCCTACCAGAGTGGCTGGATTTTTATGGTTACTACACCCTGGTTAGATTTTAATGGATAAAATACTTTTTTGAGTCCAAGGAAAGGGCTAGTATTCCCTGAGTAGCTAATACAGTCTTTCAAGCAGAAAGGAATGACTATTTTTTACAACTCAGAGACTGTACACTACCAAGGGGTGAAAAGGGTGTGTGTGTGTGTGTGTGTGTGTGTGTGTGTATCTGTTTGAGTGGATGAATGAAAGAATGGCACTTTTGGGATATATTTGCACTTCTTTTCAGGATAAGCAAGTTAACTTTCTGCCTCTAAAATAATAGATTAAGCTGGGAAATAGGTTGGCTACCTCTAAGCTAAAGTAAGGTAAATACGTATTTGTCAATTCAAACTACCCTTCCCTGTACCCTTAAAAAATCACTAATAATAACAAAATGTCAGTTTTTTAACCCATGCATTCATTATTGGTCCACATACTCAATCTCACCCCCTGCTTTCTCCTTCACTTCCTTCTCTCAAATATTTATATGAGTACCCACTACGCGCCAGGCACTGCCTTAGGTTCTCCCGAAGTTCCATACGAAGACCACTCGGAGAATTTGTTGACCATACCAAGCCAGGTTTGTTGTTTATTGTTTATTTTTTTTCTGAGACGGAGTCTCGCTCTTTTGCCCAGGCAGGAGTGAAGTGGCGCAATCTCGGCTCACTGCAACCTCTGCTCCCTGGGTTCAAGTAATACTCCTGCCTCAGCCTCCCGAGTAGCTGGGATTACAGGTACCTGCCACCACCACGCCTGGCTAATTTTTTTTTTTTTGTATTTTTAGTAGAGGTGGGGTTTCACCATGTTGGCCAGGCTGATCTCGAACTCCTGACCTCAGGCGATCCACCTGCCTCGGCGTCCCAAAGTGCTAGGATTACAGGTGTGAGCCACTGCACCTGGCCTAAGCCAGATTTATCAAACTTGTTGGGCAAGGAAGAGCACCACCGTCAGAGAGTCTCATAGTATCTTAAAAGGGGATGAAATTGGAAATCATCATTCTCAGTAAACTATCGCAAGAACAAAAAACCAAACACCGCATATTCTCACTCATAGGTGGGAATTGAACAATGAGATCACATGGACATAGGAAGGGGAATATCACACTCTGGGGACTGTGGTGGGGTGGGGGGAGGGCGGAGGGATAGCATTGGGATATATACCTAATGCTAGATGACGATTTAGTGGGTGCAGCCCACCAGCATGGCACATGTATACATATGTAACTAACCTGCACAATGTGCACATGTACCCTAAAACCTAAAGTATAATAAAAATAAATAAATAAATAAATAAAAGGGGATATTAGCAAAGGGCACTTATAGGGCCTTAGGGAATGGAGATTTGAGGGCGCACTGCTGGGCACTGTGGGCACAGACATAGATGACCCAATTTGACTTCAAGGAGCTCACAGTCTGCAGACTGTAGGCAGACTGTCACACTATAGTATAAGTGTTATGGCAGATACCAGGGAACATGGAGGAGGGCCCCAGCCTGAGGTCTACGGAGGGGGCCCCCAAAGAGGGCCTCTGAAGGAGTTAAATCTTAATGAAATGCGCTAGTAAGAAAGGCATGGGGAGGGTGTTACAGGCCAGCCTGGGGAATAGCTTATGCGATGTCAGGGAGCCCTCATGGGGCATTTGAGGAACTGCAAATAGTTTAGACTGGCTGCAGGAGGGCAGTGGTGGAAGACAAAGTCACAGAGGGCAGGAGGGGTCTGATCATGCTGGAGCCTGGACGTCCAGTTAGGCAGCTGGGGTTTTATGCAGGAAGGCTGTGGGGATGGCTTTGGAGTTATATGAAAGCAAGCACAGAGGAGAGAGCTCTGGGTGCACTGGTTAATTAGGCAGCACCCTTGGGAAGGTGAGGTGGATGGATTTGGAGAGAAGGAAGGAAGACGTTTTGCATCATAATCGTGGTTAAGATGTGGAGGGCAGAAAGCATGGGTGTTCAAGTGCGGATGATTTGCTGGGCACTGCTGGTGCTGGAGATGCAGCAATGCAAAAAGACAGAGGAGGTCTCTGCTCCTGAGAAACTGAGTTATTCATTCCAGTCATTGGATCAGAGTATCAGTCATCCTTTGAACCAAGAGAAGTTAACTTTTGAGCCAGACGCAGTGGCTCACGCCTGTAGTCCCAGCACTTTGGGAGGCCGAGGCGGGCAGATCACTTGAGGTCAGGAGTTCAAGACCAGACTGGCCAACATGGTGAAACCCCATCTTTACTAAAAAATACAAAAATTATCTGGGCATGGTGGCACATGCCTGTAATCCCAGCTACTCAGGAGGCTGAGGCAGGAGAATCCCTTGAACCTGGATGGTGGAGGTTGCAGTGTGCCGAGATTGTGGCACTGCACTCCATCCTGGGTAACAGAGCGAGACCCTGTCTCAAAAAAAAAAAAAAAAAAAAAAAAAGTTAACTTTCGAGTGCCTACTGTGCAGCAGACACTTTCTTTTTCTTTTCTTTTTAAAATGTTTTAATTGTAAACTAGAATAAAGATCAAGAAAAAAAATCACACAAAACAAATGCATACCCTCTGAATCATTATTAAGTGGACACCCTTGTAACCATCACCCAGTTCAAGACATAGAACTTTGCCAGCCACCCAGAAGCCCCTCCATGTGCCCTGTCCTGAAATCAAACCTCTCCCTCCTCCCAAAGGGAACCAGTATCCTGACTTTTGGAGTAATCTCTTCCACACTTTTCTTTATGGTTTTATCACCCAAATGTGCAATCCTAGATGCTATACTTTAGTTTTATTCATTTGTTAAAAACATATCTCTTTGAAATATCTTTCATTTATAGGTTCCCCCTATATCTTTTTATTTTTCTTATGATTTTATGTGTTCAAGAACCTGGATTGAGTGACCTGTTTGTTTTTCCACACTTGGGATTTTGCTCTTTTTTGCATTCTCTTGGCGCAGTTGGACATGTTCACCTGTCCCATATATTCCCTGCTAATTGACAGCTGGCAGAGGCTTGATCAGATTCAGTGTGTCAGCAGGACTAGAGGTGGTAGTGTGTACTTATCATCAGGAGGCTTAGAATCTAATTTTTGCTTTTTTTGTGATGTTGGCAGCCATTGCTGCCCAGTACTAGATCTGTTAATTGATTGGGGGTTGTGAAAATGGAGATAACCTAATGCTACCATTTTGTCTTTGTATAGTGGCTAGAATATTTTTTTAAGAAGTTACTTTCCCTGACTTGCTGTTTGATTTCCTGTTTGAAAGTATATAAAGGGAAAGGCAGGATAAATGTTTGTTTCCTTCCTATGATCCACTAAAAGCAACAAATTAGTTTTAAAAATATAATTAAAGGCTGGGTGCGGTGGCTCACGCCTGTAATCCCAGCACTTTGGGAGGCCGAGGCGGGTGGATCACAAGGTCAGGAGATCAAGTCCAGCCAGGCTAACACAGTGAAACCCCGTCTCTACTAAAAATACAAAAAAATTAGCCGGGCGTGGTGGTGGGTGCCTGTAGTCCCAGCTACTCGGGAGGCTGAGACAGGAGAATGGCGTGAACCCAGGAGGTGGAGCTTGCAGTGAGCCGAGATCGCGCCACTGCACTCCAGCCTGGGCGACAGAGTGAGACTCCGCCTCCAAAAAAAAAAAAAATATATATATATAAAATTAAAAACTCACAGATTTAAACATAGTTGATAGGTTTCCAATTCATTGCAACTTTCAACCTTACTGAAGCTCCAATTATTCTATATTTGGCAAGTGGAAGCCACTTCACATTGGCTTCTGGTTCCTTTTGATATAACTTAGTAGCCTTTGATAGCTTTGAAGCTGTCTGGTATGCAAGATATTCCATGCTCATCTAGTATATTTCCAGGTCCAGGCTTGGAATCAGCCATTTCTCCCAGGAGCCCTGTTTCTACTGATAGGATGTGGTGTTTAGAGACCACAATCTGAGTGTTCTTGTTGTTCATTGTGACAGGGCTGCTCATTGTTCCTAGACCTCTTCCCTGAAACAATACGTGTGTACGTGTGTGCATGCAGACACAAATACCTTGTGAGTTTATACTGATATGTCCAATTCAAATTCAGCACTTCAGAGATATTACTTAGGCTTCTCTATGTTATATTTGTATCTGCTTCCACACCGAGAACCCTGGTTCTTAAGGACACAGCAGTTGGTAAAATCTGAATAAACCATAATTACTCATTTGCTTTGTTCCATTTCATACATACAACCATCGCAAAATAACAATATTAAAGTTACCACCATGGATTAAAATTGCTGAAACGGCTCATTTTCTTTCATATAGTAGCTTCACTCTTCTTCATTAAAAAAAGAAAAGAAAAAAAACTGTTGTACTATATCCACATAGTCAGATCAAAGAACCATTCTCTACTATCATCTTTCCCTTTTGACTCTCATTTAGCCTTAGTTCTATGCATAGTTGTCCCTTCTGTCATTTTTGTTGTCTGAAGATCATTCTCTAGTAGATTCCACAAAAGGCTCATGGGAATAATATTTCTTGAGTTGATAACAGTTTGTACCCTTTATATTTGAAGGTTAGTTTTGCTAGATATAAAATCCTTGGCTCACCTTTTCTTTCCTGTGTCTTCTGGTATAAAATGTTGGTGTCAAAAAGTCTGATGACTATCACATTTTCTTTATCTTATAAGTCACATGTTTTTTTATTTCCCCATATGCCTGAAGGGCTTTCTTTTTTCTTTAATGTTCAGTGATTTTACTAGAATATATCTGGTTTTTGTCACGTTGGGTCAATAAAGTCTCAGGTACGTGGTGTCATCATTCAATACATAGTTTCAATTCTTTTTAGTTTAGGAAATTTTTGAATCATGGATTCTAGCATTTGTTCTGTTACTTTAGTTTTCTTCCTCTGGGAATTCTTTTATCCATATGTTGGATCTTCTTGGTCTATGTTCAGTGTTTGCAACTTCCCCTCAAATTATTTTTAGTCTCTTTTTTAACATCTTTATTTTAAAATTATTTCTCTTTTTCATATTGTATTTATCTTAAGGCATTATTTGCTGTGTTGTCTGCACTGTGCTTCTTCCAAGTTTAGTCTTCATTTATAAAATCATTCTTTTCCTTTATTTCTAATTCTGTCTTGAGTTCTGCCATCTCACTTCTGAGGTTTTAAATTTTTGATATATGTGCTTCTATCATTGTCTTAAGGTCTTTTATTTATCTCAAAATAGTATATTAGAATTTTTATTTCTTTTTAAAGGATTTTTCTGGTGTGTTCTTATTAACTGTAGAATTATTTTTCAGTTCTTGAATCTCTTTTTTCTTGCACTAACACTGTACAGCATTTGTCCTTAATGTCTTTAATGTTTATCCTTTTTATGTTAATTTAATTTTCCTGAACTCCTAGAAAGTTAGTTGTTCTTTTATAACTTCTTAGGTTCCTCTTCTGTTATTTTCATGTAAAGTAAAAAATTATAGGATTTTGCTTTTTGAAACTTCTTGGCTATGTTCTCCTCTTTCACTTTACCTGTACTTTTTCAATCCTTTATCTGTTTCCCCTGTCCTATTTAATTTTGATTCTTTTCCCAGAAGTTTCTCCTCAGTGTTGGATCCTGTCCCAGAAAGGAGTTCTGGTGGGTCCATTCTGAGATTGTGTAGGAATGAGACTGCACCAATCTCTCCCTTGCTTACTGGTTCTACTCATCCCTTTTGGAAGTCAGCAAAGGCCCTCCTAGGTTCAGCTGCTGTGGCCAAGTTGGTCTGTCACACTTTCTCATGAATGCCTCTTGGCTATTTTAGGGTCCTCTGGTTCTTGGGGCCATTAGATGCCTTGTTGCTTCCATTACTTTCTCTTTAATGGAAGCCAATAACATGTAGCTCTTATGGCTATTGGTGCTCTGGGGTTTGTGGGCATTCATTTTTACCTAGTTTGTTTTAAAGATTGTACGTGGGTTTGGGGTTTTCTACCTGGTTGCTCTGTTTTTATACGGGGTTTGGGTACATCCAAAGCTATATTTCCATCATCACTGCCCTCAACCTTTTAGAAACCATATCTACCTTATGTGATAAATGCATCATCATACAACAGTCCAATGAAATAGCTATTATTTTCTCTCTTTTGCAGAGGATGTAAGCAAGTCTTCCAAAAGAGGGAAATAATGTATTCCTAAGTGGCAGAGCTATGATTTGAATCTGTGGAACCCTAAAATCGTCTATAGTGTAACAAATTCTTTGACCTTCATTATTCCTGTTTTAAGCCACCCAATAAATATTTAAATGCCTGCTTTGTTCTGGGCACTGTAGAATAAGCAGTGGACTTAAAATAGGAATAATAGTAGTTATAACAAACATATATATGGAACAAAAATGTTCCAGGCTGTGCGCTGAGCACGTTACACACTTTATTCCATTCCATCCTCATTACCACCAGAGCTCTAGATAATTACAGTTGAGCAAACTGGGGTTCAAAGAGGTTAATTAATGTAAAGCAGATTGTGTCACATTATCTTGCTTAATAGTTCACAATGACTCCCTATCATACTAGAAGTCAGATTTAAAATCTTTAATCTACTTTAATCACACTAGAAGTCAGATTTAAAACCTACTTGACCTGGCCCCTGTCTACCTTTCTGACCCTATCCTAGACCACTCTCTTCCCCATCCCCATGCGCCAACCACCCCGACCTTCTTCAAGTTTTTTGGCTGTTCCAAGATCATTCTCATCCCGTTCCAAGATCATTCTCATCCTAGGGCTCTCGTCTCAGCTGTTCCAGCTGCCACATGAGCTGTCCCTGAATGTCAGAAGCATGGTGCCTTCCTGTGGCTTCAGAGAGACCTTTCCCGACCACCCAGCATAAAGTAGCCCTTTACTCATCCTCTTTCACCTCATCCGATATTAATTCTCTGTGTACCATTTAATATTATGTGATGACTTTGTTGTTTATTAATTTACTTACTGTCTCTCTACACTCACCAAATTATAAGCATTATAAGAGCAGAGATTGCCTTATAAGCATTATAAGAGCAGAGATTGGCTTATGAGCATTATAAGAGCAGAGATTGCCTTCTGAAGGCAGAGCCTGAGTCAAGGGTTTAGGTGCAAGTAGATCTGGGAGGTGCTCCCAGAAAGGAGGAGGGAGAGAGCAGGGAGAGTGGAAGCGGGAAAGAGGAAAAGCCAATGCAAGGTGTGCTGCTGAGATTGTGGCTGGAGGCAGCAGGGCCTTGATTCCCCTAGGGTCTCAGAAAAGTGCACGAGATGTCTCCCAGACTTGCCTACATGAAGGATGGGAGGCTGGAGGGTTATCTGCCAGCTTTTGCCCCCATTGATTGAAGGCAGCCCCCAGGAGTGTTAGCCCTACACTTCTGTGCTGCATTTACAGAAGGTTCTAAGAGGCCCCTTTTATGCCAGAAAATTTCTTGGGGCGGGGAGCAGAATGTCCTGCAGTGCACCTGGTAGGTGGGAGGCTGCAAGCCCGAGGTGATCTTGTACGGAAGTGTCTGCTGTGGCTGTGGCTGAAATAAGAGGGCAGAAGCGGGGATGTCACTGCAGGGCCCACACTTGCTGTGCTCTATGAGGACAGCCCAGGCTGGAAAGAGGAGCCGGTGCACTAAGACGCAGTGGAGGCAGACGCTGGGCCTCTGAAGTCTGGTTTTTAACTGCCAGGCTACACAGTGTATGGTCCTTACCGTTCTCAATTTCTCCAATTTGGGCAGAGTAGGGAGAGAGACATGAAAAAATGAAAGGGAGACTGCTGTCCTCAGCTGGAAGATGTGGGAAGAGGAGATGAACTCAGGCTGAATGGAGAAGGTGGGAATGGATCTTGGAATCATGCGACCAGCTACTACTTTACGGAGCACCTACCATTTGTTCAACAAATGCTTTCTCTAGTTTTTACAACTCTAGATTAGAAGTATTTCATTCTGATTTTACAGATACCTGTGGCAGAGGGAGTTAAAGAGGCTTGCCCCGGCCACATGGCTACCAGGAATTTCTGCTCAGGCCTCCCTGACTTCAGGGTTGAGTTGGCCTCCTTGGTACATGGAAGAGCCACAAAGAGGGTTGCGCATGGCCCCAACCTCTCCCCCTATCCTGCTTGGAAATCTGGCTCAAGGGCCATCAGTACTCAAGCTGGGTTGGGCTGGACTGGTTTTCTTGGGTATTCGTGTCTTGGGTATTTCATGATCCTTACTGGAATACCTGTGTTCCCACACCGAAGGGGAGGTCAGCAGTGACTTCCTAGCCACGAGAGGGGTCCAGACAACTCGTGACATTCGTTACCTGTGCAAGTGACATTCGTTACATGTGCAAAAGGCGGGGCCAGGGGCTCACACGATTGAGCCCCAGATTACTTAGTGAGGGAGGAATGGAAGGGTTTCCTTTCTCCTCCTTGCTCTGCTCCCCTGGACCCCAGCAGCTGGTGCAGATTCAGATAAGCATCTGCACTTTGGGAAGCTGATTCCTACTGAATCCAGCCTCTGCACCGTCTGAGGTCCACCCATCCCTAATTTTCATATGAGTTATATTAAAGTGTCTGATGGGAAAGTATGTCTTGGTTTAAAAATAGAATAATACAACAATAAATCAAGAAGAAAAAGCAAACTGAAAAAATGCAGAAAACAGATGAAAAGAAAAGGGAAAAAGTGAACGGTATAAAAATACCCTCCATGCCAGGCACTTCAAATGTGATTTCCTGTGGCCTGCACTTTGAAAAAGCCTCCTGTTATGCCATGTGCCGCCTCTGAAGGCCAACGGGGCAGACCAGAGAGGCGTGTTGAGACTTGGAGGCCAGGGCGACATCTGACCTGCTTCTGCTCCAGACACATACACCGAGGACACGTCAGATGATTTTCCGCTCGGTGGAACTGAGCCCCGTGGGCCTGCCCCACCCACCCCGTGCCCACCCGGCTCTGACACACTTCCTGTTATGGGCGACAGGGCACACAGTGGGGCCGCTCGTTGGGGCCAGGGCGCTGGCTTCCCTGTGGGTTGGTGCAGACGACTTCAAAAGCCGCGTCTGGCACGCGGAGAAATGATTTAAAAGTGAACTTGGGTGTCTCCCAATCCAACCTACTCCAAGTAAGTAGAAAGAAAACATACATTATCTCATGTTAAAGAGCAGGCTTCTTTGAAAGCACTGCCAACTATTTATGAAATCCTAACTTATTGCTGAAAAAAGCCCCCCGACAGTCCTAGCAACCACTGGCAAGGCCAAGAGGACATAAACATGATGCCGGGGTGCCAAATTCCAAATTGGCTAGGACTGCATGACAAATTTGTAATTCTAATCAACCAGAATCTCAAATGTATGCCCCAAGAATATACTGTGTGCATCAGGGATGCACTTGTCTGATATTAAATTATGCCAAAGAAAAGCAAAATAAACATCTTTTCCAACAGGCTGATTTGGGAGGGGCGAGAGGTGGTGGTATGTGAGTGGAAAAAATAACATTTCAATAACAGGAGAGAAAAAAGAACTAATCAAGACATGACTGATGCAGGCTGTGAAATTGTCCAATTCAGATGTTTGATGCTGAGGAGTTTGCTGTGTATCATGGGACTTGGAAGCCTGGTTGGGGTGGAGTGTGGGTGTGGACGGAAAGGGATTCATAGCCCTGGGGGCACCTGACACAGATGGCTTTGAACCTGAGAAGTGTCCCAAGATGGATTGGGCTCATATTTATAAACCACTAAAATGTTTCTGGTTTGCCAGGCAAGAAATTGGCAGCAGGCATCCGCTAAACATGTGTATGTGTGTGTGAACGCTCGCGCGTGTGTGCATGTGTGTGTGTGCACACGTGTGTCCTGGCTGTCAGCTTGAGGCCAGCTGCACTTGATTAGTAATCTCCAGCATGCCCACAAACACGCATGTTTTCTTAAGGGGATGGATGCCCTTAAGAAAATGCAATTTGTTAACGCCGTACTGTGGATCTCAGCTACTTTTGCCATCCTTCTGTGCCTGAGAATGGGATCTTGGGAGGGGTGCCACATGGGGCTGCCTATTGAGTGTGGGCAGAGGGAAGATATGTGCTTAGGACTCTGCCCCTTTGTCACTGCACTGATTCCACTCCAGGGATGAATAAAGGACCCACATGGCCAGCAATTAGAAACTCCCAATTTCAAATCCTGGCTTTGCCTTTGAGGAAAGAAAAAGAAGGGACCAGGCACTGACTGCTGAACTTATACAATTTTTTTTAACCTCTTGGAACCATGCACTGGGGGAGATATTACTTCTGTTCCTTTCTTAATGTCAGGATTAGTAATGATTAAAAACAAATTTGAGATATATCTGTTGTAAGTGCTATAGGCATTATTATTATGAGTATTATTTTTATTGAAGGAAATGAAAACTTCCCATTTCAAGCTATCCTCTGAATTAGCTCCGCCCTGATAACGGAAATGTCTGACATTTGTCATTACCTTGGGTTATGCATTGAAAGTTCATGTTCAAATGCAAATCCTACCAGAGAAGGAGAAACATGTTAAGGCACGTCGTATGTCCCTGCTCATCTAGCAATGGCTCTAAGGCAGAATTCCTAAACTTTTGGGGTCATGGAACCCTTTGTGACTCTGATGTGCCCTCACAAAATGCACATCCCTATGTTCACATGAAATTTACTTGTAATTCCATGGTACTAATGGATCCATTGACATAGAAATCCAGAGATCTTATATTAAGATCTTCTTGGTCTAAAAGTTGGAAACAAACTGGATACATTTTGAAGAATGCCGGGAAGGTCAAGGGCAATAGGCCCAGCCTTGGAGGGCAGATGAATATGCTCATGCATAGAGAGGTGAAGTGACCATCTCAAGGTTATGAAGCCATAAAACGCGGGAGCTAGGACCAGGATCAAGGGCTACTGGACTTATTGCCCTGTGGAGTCCTGGAAGGCACCAAGGAAGCCTGGGTTCAATACTCCACTCTGCCACTTCTGTGTGACCTTGTGCAAGTAATTTAACTTCCTTGGGCATGTCCTCTAATCTTCAGCTTCTTTATCTATAGCCATGACATAACCACATACTCAGGCTACTCATCTGTTAATGGAGATACTAATATTTACCTTAAGAATTCTATATGATTTTGACTATTGGTAATATATGTGAAGCATTTCATAAATGATAAAGCTCCATATAAATTCCTAGCATTATTGCTATTGATGCTGAAGGACAGGTGCTAGGGTCTAAATATTTGTGTCCCCCATACATTCATAGGTTGAAATCAAATCCCCAGTGTATTGGTGTTAAGAGGTGGGGCCTTTGGGAGATGACTAGGTCATAGGGGTGGAGGCCCTGTGGATGGGATTAGTGCCCTCCTGAAAGAGACCTGAGGAACCTTGTTTGCCCTTCTGCCACATGAGGATGCAGCAAGAAGGTGCTATCTATGAAGCAGAGAGCAGGCCCTCACCAGACATTGAATCTGTCAATGCCTTAATTTTGGATTTCCAAGCCTCCAGAACCATGAGCAATGCATTTCTGTTGTTTATGTCATCCAGCCTAAGATAATTTGGCAACTTGAATATGGCAACTTGAATAGACTAAGGTAACAGGGAACCTAAATATATGGCAACTTTTGTAATGGAAATTTAATATTGAAAAATTAGGACACTGTAGTCTAAACTATTCTAGTTCAAATCTGGACAAAATATACAGGAAAATTATGGTGCAATTTCTGCCATGGGTGCTGTGATGACTGATCTGAACAGTGAAGGACTGTGAGTATATTAGTTAGGAATCTTTCTATCATGATGAAAATCCACCTCAAAATGGCCTAAGCCAAAAAAGGGAATTTATTGGCTCACATGTTTGTTTCTTTAGTTTATTATTTCACTTTGTCTTCAATCATATGGTCTTGTTTCTTGGCATATCTAGTAATTTTTGATTAAACACTAGACATGGTATCAAAACATTGTAGAATCTCTAGATAATATTATCTTCTTCCAGAGAAAAATTCTTTCACTCTTTCCTATGCTAGGCAGATAGAGTGGGGGCTGATCACCTTAATCTAATGAAACTGAGGTGAGTCAAGGCTAGGTTACAGTTTTAGTAAGGTTCCATCTAACTGTTTGTTTCTAGTCCTCCAGGACTGCCAGTTGAGAGACTGATGTGTTCACTGGAACTTCCTTCCCCTAGTAAGGCCTAAAATTCCAATCCTTGTCTCTCTAGCACTGTGAGATTGCCGAAAACTCTATCCTGCTTTTAAAGGGCTTTCTGTTTAGCTTCAGAATTCAAAAGCTCTGTTGGTTTCTCTGTCCCCAAACAGAGTAAACTCTGCCCAGGAAAAGTCTGGATTCTCATTCTCTCTCTCTCTTTTTTTTTTTTTTTGCATGCCAAATCAACAAACTTTTTCCCCAAGGAGAAAGTAGCTTCACAATGCCAAATCACTTTTTTACACTTCCTACTCTCTGACTCTTGTCTCCTCTAGTTCTGGTTGTTTCAGCAGATTTCCAATACTTTTAAACAGGTTAAAAAGGAAAAAAGGGTTTTTGTCTGGCTTTTTCAGCTTTTCTCAGAGGGAGTATAGCAAAAGTCTCTGGATTATGTATCTTAAAAGCCTAAGGATAGATTTGGAACTACAGAAACAGCTGAATCCAGATGACCAGTGATATTGTTAGGCATTTTTTTTCTTTCTTTCAGCTCCATTTTACTCTGTATAGGCTTCTCAAACAGCATTTCTGCTGATGTTGCAGAGAAGGTCTCTAGAAACTCCAGACTTATAGTAGATTAACAATCCTGGTAGAAAGAGAAGTCCTCTTTCTCAATAGTCTCAATAATTGGCCTAGTTTGGGTCATGTGTCCATCCTGATTCAATCACTATGGCAGGAGAATAAAATATGATATCTTTTAAGGCCTTGTCACATACCTACTATGAAGTCCAGGTGTGATCAGCTTCAAATGATCCGCCTAACTAAACATGAGGGCAGAGTGGCTCTCTTGGAAAAAAAAAAAGGAGGTGTTATTTTTCCAGAGGGAAGGGGAATGGATGCTGGCCAGTCTACAGATATCCTCCACGGTGAATGTTGTGCAAATGAAGGCAAGACTGAGGTGTGGAAAGCATTCATCTGCCTCTTCACCCCAGCTCCTGTCATCATTCTCAGAGATCCCTTTTCCATTTAAACAACTCATCCAAACACCTCAAAATTCCTGGGCCTTTGTAACTCTCATAACTTTCATAACATTACCTCCACTCCATTTCAACCTCACTCCCTGCACTTGGTCACAAGCTGAAAATGCTCATGTCTCATCCTCTGGCCCCCCACACTTCATGCGTGCTCTGTGCCCCCTGAGACTCCTAGGTCCTTGACCTTTCCATTTGTTAGCTACACATCACCCACCTGGCAAGCCCCCAGCCCTGTGATGATGCCACTCTCTACCTTTTCAAGTCCTCAAGTGGCTTGAAGCTAGAACTCATGCAGCTGTGAAGACTGGTGCCATCATGAAAACACTGCAGTTTCTAAAGTAGCTTTGTCTTTTGTCTTGGTTTCTTTTTTGTCTTGTTTTTATTTAATCTTCCATATACTTCAAAGATGCATTCAAACCTTCACCATCTCCTTCACAGCAGCCCGTGGAGGCCATTAGGGGAAATCTTTCACAACTTCCTATTTTTTAATCCATACACTTTTTGCACCTGCACTAGAGAGGGCCTCCATAGGTTTTGCTTGCTCAGTATACATGTCCCTTTCTTCCGGTAATAGTGACTCAGTTTTCCTTTGGGAAAACACTTGCTCTACTCAATTTGTCTGTTTTGAATGGGAGTGATCATATCCTTTGAATTTGGGTGTTCAATAAAAAGAGTCAATCTCCCTGGCCAGAATGACTGTGTTTTGAATAGATACAGGGCCAAAGAGTGTCCAATGAGAAACTACCTCAGGAATGATTCAGAGTGAGAAGTTTACATTCTGCTGGGATGACTAAGCTAGGAGGGTAAAGTTTGTGCATTAATCACGAGTATGCTTATACCATGAGGATAGGTCCTACATGAGACTGGAGCCATCACAACTCTAAGAGATGAAAAAAAAAGAAAGAGAGGGAGCCAATGATGTCATCTGAATCCCTAGATCAAGCTATTCCTGAAGGTGCTGCTTCTGTACTTTTTAGTTAAAGGGGCCAGGAAATTCCCTTTTTCTGCCTAAGTCAGTTTAAACTCGGTTTCTCTTACTACTAACCAAAAATGTCCTGATCAATGTGCACACATACCCTTATCTTCTTTATTCAGTACCAGGAAACAATACATCCAGTCTTTTTCAGATTAACCTCTCCATCAGTGCTGTTCATTTATTCAACAAATATTTCTTGAGAGCCTGCCTTCAGTCAGACATTGTTCCTGACACTGGGGAATACAGTAGGAAACTAGATGAGATCTTTCCTTCATGGAGTTTATTGTCCAGTGGGAAAGAAGAAGAAAATGAAAAAGATTAAAAATATAAAATTCGAGCTGTGATAAATGCTATGATTGGTGCTAAGATGGAGAATGGCTGGGTGGTGGAGGAGGAGGAGTGGGAACACTTTAGTCATCTTTTTAAAAATTGCTGGTTTAATTTTTCTGTGGTCAGAGGACATACTCTTATGATTATATTCCTCTCATATTTGTTGAGACTTTTAAAATGCTTGTTTTATATTCCGTGTGCACTTACGTGTATTCTGAAGTTGTTGTGTATAGTGTTCAAGAAATGTTAATTAGGTCAGTTTTGTTGATAGCATTTTTAAAAGTCTGTTGTATCCTAATTGATTTTTGTCCACTTCTTATATCAGTTACCCGGCGATGTGTTAAAATCTTGGCTTATGGGTAGATTTGTCTATTTCTGCTTTTATTTGTTTATTTATTTTTAAAATAAGAAACAAGGTCTTTCTCTGTCACCCAGGCTGGAGTGCAGTGCTGCGATTATAAATCATCGTAGCCTCAAACTCTTGGGTTCAAGTGATCCGCCTGCCTCAGTCTCCCGAGTAGTTGGGACTATAGGCATGAGCCACCACGCTCGGCTACTGTTCTTTTAAACTTTTTTTTGTGTGTTTTTTGCAGTCTACTTTTGCTATACATATATATTCTGAAACTGTATTATTAAGTGCACACAAATTTTTTTTTTGTCTTCTTCTTGTTGAATGGATCCTTCCATCATCATGAAATGTTCCTCTGTATCTCTAAGTCCTACTTTCTGGTGGAAATTCGCTTTGGTGGTATATTACTACATTAGTGTAACCACACATTTTTAAATGTTAGTGTTTGTATAATGTGTATCTAATAGCTGCAAATAACTGGTTTTACAGTGATTATTGAGACCCAAAGTATTCCACGTAAACAAACCATGTCTTAAAAGTTTGTTAATTAGCCCTTTCTAATTAGCTGCACTCCAGTTGCCACAGGCTTGCCTTTACTATTCACTCCAAGGATCCAGGTACATTTCATTGTCCAGCAATAAATATTTATTAATTACGAGACAGATATTTCAGAAATTATCAGAGAATCTTAGAATTAAAAAGAGTTTGGAAAAAAACAAAAAGATGAACTCCCAAGGAAGATATATAGTCAGATAAAGAGAATTAGTTCTAGAGGAGGAGAGCCTTGGGGAAACTTCTTGGAGGATATTTGTTTAGGGATGGGAGCTTGAGGATTCACTATGTCAATAGGTGAGGTTAACAGAGATAACAATTTTCATCGAGTAGAAGCTTGAATAAAGAAACAGAAGCAAGGACACAAATAAAAAGTCCATTTTAATGGAAGGTTGAGACAATCAAGATGAGGCTAGAAAGATAGGTCAGCCCTGTGGTGAAGAGGCAAGAATATAAACTTCAGGAAGCTCCATGATGTACGAATTCACTAAGACTCACTAGAGATACTTGAGCACAAAAGAGCCATTATTAAAACTGCTGGAGTTTCGTCTTATTGGTGTGTAATGTTTGGATTAAGAAAAGCCAGTTAGGAAGGTGAGGGGAGATGAGGGTCAGTACTCTGGGGACAGAAGTTCGATGGAGAGGGTAGAGGATAGCCCCAAATAAGAAAGAAAAGCAGCAGATATTAAGCTTTGATTGATAGGCCACATTAACTGAGAGATGTGGTGTGTGGGGATGAATAATACATATTTGTGTGTGAATAGGCATATTTCTGAAATATTTTTGTTGTAGTTAAAAATATATAACATAAAATTTTCCATTTTAATGGTTTTCAAGTGTACAGTTCAATGGTATTGATTACATTCACGATGTTGTGCAACCATCACCATGATTTATTTTCAAAACTTTCCATCACCCCAAACAGAAACTATGTAACCATTATGCAACAACGTCTCACTCCCTGGGGGCATAGAGTCCACTTGTTACAAGTGGACACAATTGCACTCAACAAAAAAGAGGGAAAGGAAACTTCCCAGAAGCCCCCAGCTGCTCCTCCTCTGGTCTCATTGGCCAGGATTGGTCACACATCTGTGCTCCAGCTGCAAGGGAGGCTGGGAAAGCAGGTGACTGGCATTTTCAGCCTCTTTATAGGGATATGTGCTCTGCCAGAAACGACGAAGGGAAGGGGAATGTGGTTGGGAAGAGGGCCCAGTATGAAGAGCATTGAGGCCTGGCAGGCATGAGTGCTCAGCCTGCTCTGGGCATCAGTTTCACGTTACCCAGAGGGAGAGACTAGAGAGAGTTTCTTAATCCAGGGAAGCTCCCTAAGTAAGAGGGTGGTTAGGTGAGTGCCTAACTGCAACGTGACAGAAACTATGAAAAAAAAGATGCACACAGCTTTATCTTCCTTTTTTCAGCATCAGGAGACAGTACATCTCTGTTCCTATTTAAAATTAGCCTCTTGGCTGGGTGTGCCTCATGCCTGTAATCCCAGTATTTTGGGAGGCTGGGGTGGGTGGATCACTTGAGGTCAGGAGTTTGAGACCAGCCTGGCCAACATGGTAAAACACCATTTTTACTAAAAATACAGAAGTTATCTGGGCATGGTAGTGCATGCCTGTAATCTCAGCTACTAGTGAGGCTGAGGCAAGAGAATCACTTGAACCCAGGAGGTGGAGGTTGCAGTGAGCTAAGATCATACCACTGCCCTCTAGCCTGGGCAACAGAGCAAGACTCTGTCTCAAAAATAAATAAAAAAAAAAATAAAATAAAATTAGCCCCTCTACCTGTGCTAGTGATTAATTAAGTCATTCTTTTATTCCACAACATCTCTTGAGGGCTCATCGTGTATCAAGAATCATTTATAATTAGTATCATCATTACATTCTGTCCTATTCATGGTCCAGCACAGTGCCTTGTACATAGTAAGCCCTTAATAAATGTTTGTAGGTTTGAACTGATTTACTGTAGGATGTACTAGTTACATCTATCAAGTTTTGGCTCTCTGTAAGATTAAAGCCAGACACATTTTAAAAAATCTTTTTATTTAGGTGCGTCTTACATACAGTAAAGCATATGGATCTTAAGTGGCTCAATGGTCTTTTAATGTATACCCTGGGTAACCAATACCCAGGTCAAGACATAGAATTTGTCCCGTACCCTAGAAGACTTCCTCATGCCTTGACACATTTTTGAGCATATATACATGAATAAACAGATTTTACAATTTTATTATATGTTTTCTTTTATAAACAACCATTAATGTCCCAGAATAAAAAAGGGAGGTGCACAAGAAAGGTCAAGCACAAAGCTGAACTAAGGACATAAAAATCTTCAATGCTAGTTGACAGTTGGTATTAAATTGTTTGACTGTTCAGAATCAGGAATCTTCTACTTAACTGAAGAGATGTGACCCAGGAAATTCTGCTGTCAGGTGAATTTCTGTAAAAAATAATCTTTTCCCATCAATTCCTACCATAAAATTGGAAACATTCTCTGGGGATCCAAATACTGGCCTCTGGCTGTAGACTTACATGTAAAAAAAAAAAAAAAAAAAGCGATTCTCTGATAAAACTTCACCAATAACACTCAAAATGTTAATTAAACTCACAAAACTCAGAATTCTCTGCAGAATTCCAAAGGAATTTCAAAATCATAGCCCTGGGAGTGAAAATGCAGTAAGGAATCTTTGGTAATGTCATGGCCTCATGTCATAACCTTCTTGCAGCAGAATAATTCCATGAGCTAAGAATTCTGGGGGCTTGGCTTTACGGGTAGTGGGTAGTGGGTGGTGGGTTCTTGGTACTAGTAGTGTGACTGACGTCAGTTTGCTTTTCTGAACCACAACTAATTCCTCTCCAGTTTTAAGATACAAATATAAAACTCCTCTCTATTTGACAAGGTTTTTTTTTTATTATTATACTTTAAGTTCCAGGGTACATGTGCACAATGTGCAGGTTTGTTTACATTTACATTAGGTATATCTCCCAGTGCTATCCCTCCCCCCTCCCTCTACCCCACGACAGGCCCCGGTGTGTGATGTTCCCCCTCCTGTGTCCAAGTATTCTCATTGTTCAATTCCCACCTATGAGTGAGAACATGCAGTGTTTGGTTTTTTGTCCTTGTGATAGTTTGCTGAGAATGATGGTTTTCAGCTTCATCCATGTCCCTACAAAGGACATGAACTCATCCTTTTTTATGGCTGCATAGTATCCCATGGTGTATATGTGCCACATTTTCTTTTTTTTTTTGAAGTTATGCAATCAGATTCATTTATTATTATTGACATATGTCTATCCTGCTGAATTTACCCTTTTACTATTATGAAATATTTCTCTAGTCTTTTATAATACATGTTTTTTAAAACCTGCTTTGTCTAATATTAATATACCTATTCCAACACTTTTTGCGGTGGGGATTGTATGCTTAATTTTGTGAGTTCTTTTACTTTCTTTTTATTATTATTATTATTATGCTTTCCAGTCTATCATTGATGGACATTTGGGTTAGTTCCAAGTCTTTGCTATTGTGAATAGTGCCGCAATAAACATACGTGTGCATGTGTCTTTATAGCAGCATGATTTGTAATCCTTTGGGTATATACCCAGTAATGGGATGGCTGGGTCAAATGGTATTTCTAGTTCTAGATCCTTGAGGAATTGCCACACTTGACAAGGCTTTTTTGAGAGTAAAGTGAGGTAATACTTAATGGGTTTTCTTGTTCATTTCTTTTGTTAATTATACACTTGAATAATATCTATTAAGAATCTTCTATGTACCCAGTACTGTGCCAGAGTATAAAGTGATGAACAAGATGGTCATGTTTTCTGCTCTTGTGGAGTTTACAATCAATTGTAGAATAGAGACATCATACAATTGTGCACAGAGCTCCATGTGAAATATGATATGGAAAGGTAGGCAGTCAATCAAAAAAAAACTTTGTTACAATAAGAAATTATAAGAACAATACCTATATGACTTTTACACAGTTTATTTTTACTGAAAATATTCACATATACATTCAGTCACCAATAGTGTGATGTAGGAAAGAGTCTTTTGTGGCGTCTGACTTTGCAGAATAAAGTTCTGTATCTTTTTTCTTTAAAGTGAAACAAAATATGTATGAATTAATACAAGTGCATAATCTTTCTAGAATTTTGTGGCTCTTGTTGCCAGTTGTTTGGAGTTTTCTCCTCACCTCCATCCAACAGATATGTTTTCTGAGACTTGCCTTTATTGATTCTTTCCAAAGTGGTCAACTTAGAAACAGCAATGTTTCTTTAATGCTCTTATTTCATTCGTTGGCATAATATTTAATTAAGTTATGTAATGACAGTACTGAATACATCTGCCATAAATGATTTAGACAGCAAATGCAATGGTCTCTTGGTCAGTAAACAACTCACATGGTGAGAGTGGAAGTTTTTGGGGTTGCTGAAGGATACCTCTATGGGACATAATGCATTTGTCTGCAAGGAACAGAATCTTTAACTGAAACAAGTTTTAAGCTTTGCTTTCAAAAAACTCTCAGTGCATAGTAAAAAAACGCATTTTAAATTGTCCCTTAGCACATATGCAAGAGTATAAACTGAAGCAAATTTTCACAAGCAGCACTTACCTTTACTTTATGTGATGCTACCTAATATTTTTGTCTATTCTTTCCTATTTTAATTCTATTAGAAATGCTAATCATGACCCACTAATATAATCTCATGTCTCATTAATGGAGTGCAACCCACAGTGTGAAAAACACCAGCTTAACCCAATAGGACATTTATTATTTTATGTAGGAAGATGTCTAGAGACGGAGAAGCCCTTGAGATGCTGCAGTAGCTCAGCAGCCTCCTCAAGGTCACAGGTATTTTCCATAGACTTCTTTCTGCGATCTTCTGAGAATTAGGAGTGTCTCCGCTCATGGTGCAAAATGGCTTCCACATCTAGCAGTTGTTACAAGTGGACACAATTTCACCCAACAAAAAAGAGGGAAAGGAAACTTTTCCCAGAAGCCCCCAGCTGCTCCTCCTCTGGTCTCATTGGCCAGGATTGGTCACACGTCTGTGTTCCAGCTGCGAGGGAGGCTGGGAAAGCAGGTGACTGGCATTTTCAGCCTCTTTATAGGGATATGTGCTCTGCCAGAAAAGACGAAGGGAAGGGGAATGTGGTTGGGAAGGGGGCCCAGTATGAAGAGCACTGAGGCTCGGCAGGCATGAGTGCTCAGCCTGCTCTGGGCATCAGTTTCACGTTACCCAGAGGGAGAGACTAGAGAGAGTTTCTTAATGCAGGGAAACTCCCTAAGTAGAAGGTGGTTAGGTGAGTGCCTAATTGCAATGTGTCAAAAGCTACGAAAAAAAGAAAAAAAAGATGCACAGCTGTTATTGGTTCATATTGCAGGGCACTTACCTGGGCCAGGGAACTGGGGAGGCCTCTTCAGGGAAGCGACTCTCTTAAGCCAGTAAGGGGAGACGGACCATGGTGGTGGGTGGTGGGAATGGTGTTCCAGGCAGAGGGAAGAGCTCACGAGAAAGCTAAGAGGAAGGAGGGATCATGGCTGAGGTGGCATATTTATTCTACTAGTTGTCCATCTCCTGTGGGCCCAGCCCTGTACTAGGCATCAATGGCTAAGAGAGTAATGGGACATCTCCTGCCCTTGGGAATGTCATCGTCCATTAGGAAGGGTGATGTATGAACAGTCGTAACTAGAAACCAAGGGGAACGTATGCCTTCAAAATGCTATGTTATCTCTTAGTGGAGGGGACTCAGGGGCCTTCCTTGGCGGCACCTAATAGGTAGGATCCGCATGTGTAGAATTAGCAGGGGTCACGCCTTCCAGTGGAAGGGCCTGCTGTGAGCAAAGGCCTGGAGGCAGGAAGGCAGAACCAGGGGTCAGCCACTTGGCTGGAGGGCTGGGCGCCTGAAGGGGAACCAGAGGGGGTAGGGCAGGGAAGGTTAGGAGGTGGCTCCAGCCAGCATTGTCCCAGCTTCCTGCATTTAACCCCAGCCATCTGCAGCCCCAACCTTGGCTAACCCTCCTGGCAGTGAGTGTGACACTGGGCCCTAGGAGACAGAAGGAATGACTCAGGCTTTGTTCTTGTTTAGCGTATTTTTTTGCCCAAAGCAGAGTGACTCCCAGGGAGAGGCCCTTGCCTGGCCCTTCTTCTTGGCACCAGCGAAGGCGCTTGCCTCTCCAGTCTCTTTGGAGAAGGACCAGTCTCTGAATGGTCAGAGTCACTGGGTCTCGTGTCTCCCAGGATCTGCTGGGAGGGCTGCCAAGGTGGCACAGGCCCTGCTAGGAGGACCTCTAGTGGCGGTGAGGCTGGGGGCTGGGACATCCATGTTCCCTGCCTGGAGGGGATGCCCAGGCCTGAAAGTCATGGGTGATGGCCCAGGCGGAACACTCAGGGCCCGAGAGAGGGGATGATGGGAGTGCTGGTGGGCAAACCTTTGTGGCGGTCTCTGGGAGGCCTAGGAGGGGCCACCAGGAAGTGAGTTGAACAGTTTCACCTTTATGTGAGGTTTCTCAACTGCTGGCATTTGGGGTGGGATAATGCTTCACTGGCAGGGGTTGTGGGATTTTTAACAACATTCTTGCTCTCTATGCACTAGATGCCAGCAGCATGCTTCTCTAAGTTGTGACAACCAAAAAAACTCTCCAGACATTGCCAAATGTCTCCTGGGTTGGTAAAATTGCCTCAGTCTGGGAATTAAGACCTTAAGGTGAATAGAGAGAAATCTCAGCGCTTTCCTGTACAGGAGCATTCTGCTAGGACCACAGGAAAAATTGCCCACCATTCTGGGACCATGGAGATGATCATTTAGAGATGGCAAAACTAGAGACCACTGAGGTCAGCTGCTTGGCCGGAGGTCTGGGCACCGGAAGGGGAGTCACAGGGACTAAGGCAGAGAAGGTTAGGAGGCGGCTCAGGCCAGAGCCTCGTGGGGTCTGTGGGGTTGGTCTGGGCTGGGGTGATGGCAGAGGCAAGGGAGGGCAGTGATGGGTCTGAGAGGTGTTTGGGTATTAGGTTTGTGGAAGAGGGAGGAGCTGAGGGTGGCTTCTGGTTTCTGGTTCAGACCACTGTGCAGACTGCTGTTTCAAGAGCAAAGACAGGGCACTGGGACAAGGAGTAGCTGGGGTCAAGTGGCTGCGGGGACGAAAGCCAATACTCTGAACTCAGGCCTCCTTCTCTGGTCATCCCCACCCTCTCCAGCCCTGTCTGATATTTGTCCCTCAGCATCTCTGAGAACCAGCCCCCATGGCTGCTGCCCTCCAAGGCAGGGAGAATGAGCAGAGGCTTGATGGGTCACTGCCCTGGCTGGAGCAGCCTCACATCTTTCCAGCAGAAAGCTGGGGCTCTGGCTATGCTGTTGCTACCATCTGACATTAGTTCAATTTGGCTTCTTGTGGACCAGAGCCTGGGGGAGGGTTTCTAGTCAGGTTGTTAATGGCTGGGGGAGGAATGAGGAGCTAGAGAAGATGTCACTGCCCCTTCCCTGAGCATCACATGAGAGAAGGCCTTGGCCTTAGAGGACTGGACTGGAGGCAGCTGGCCCTTTAAGAAGAACTGTTCTCAGCAGGACTTCCGTGTCTTTTGGGAAAGGGTAGGTTTCATGAGCAAGGGTGACCTTCTATGAATGCTGGGCTCCTTTGGTGAAGTTGCTCTTCTTGGGAGTTGGGCCTTGGAAAAAGGGATCTGCATGGTGGCCACGAGCCAGAACTTTGGCTGGAGGAGAGTGATGGCTTTACACTTGAGCTTGCTCTCCGCTTCCTCCTCCTCTCTCCACTGCTGTCCTTCTACCACTCTTACCTCCTCCTTTTTCTCAGCAGCATTTGACTCTTTCTGGAGCATTTGGCCCCCCTCCAGGCCTTCTGAGGTCTGTCAAGAACTGAGTCTGCCCTTGCAGACAGAAGACGTTGAAATGCAAAGGCAAGCTGTCCAAACGGCAATTCGGGAGGCAGAATTCAGCACTAAATATATACTCTAAGGAGCCCAGTGACCATCTCATCGCTCTGAGCCAAGGCAAGCATACGCTTTCTGTACCGTTGCACGATTTGTTCCCTTTGCCTTCAATGCCCCTTGTAGTAGATGCTTGACATTGTCTTTGGCCCCCAGCAGCTGAATGCCCTTCCTGTGAGTCTTGGTGAGTGCAGAGTCTATTCCCTGGAATAAGAGCTCAGAATTCCAACTCCTACTTTCTCATCCTGTCTTGCAGCTAGGGTGTGGCATGTCACCCGGACTCTACTAATCAGATGTACTTGGCATGGCCTTGACATCAGGAACTGTTGAAGCAGAATAGTAGGGACCCGGGGAACCCCCTGTGGTGATGGAAGCTGTGGTGTCCTGTGCTGGGGGTGAGGTGGCAGTGATATCCTCATTGGATCAGTTCTGTGACATGCTTTAGGGCAATGCTCTCAGCTTTGTTGCCTAGAACGTGGTTATCCATCCCTCCCAGCAGTTTTGAGAGCTCCTGCCATCCTTTTAATGAATTATTTTCCTGTTTAAAAAAGCCAGATTCAGCACCTATACTTGCAACTATGAACTCTGACTAGTATGCCCTTCTCTGTAGAAAATGTTTATGTTCCCTGCAGATTCATATGTTGAAATCTTAATGCCCAGTGTGATGGTATTTGGAGGTGAGGTCTCTGGGAGATGATTAGGGCATGAGGGCATGGCCCTCATGAATGAGGTTAGTGCCCTGTAAAAAAGGCCCCAGAGAGCTTCCTTGTCCCTTCTACCATGAGAAGACACAGTGAGATGTCTATTTATGAACCAGGAAGGGGGTCCTCACCAGACACCGAATCTGCCAGCACCTTGACCTTGGAATTCCCAGCCTCTAGAACTATGAGAATTGATTTCTGGTGTTTATAAGCCACCCAGTCTGTGATATTCTGTTATAGCAGTCCCAGTTGACTAAGGCACTCTCTCTCTTTCTTCCAATGTTTGGCAAACTCCGACTCATCTTTACACAATCTACTCAAATAGCACCTCTTTCAGGAAGCCCTCTTGGATTCCTCAGGCAGTGAGTAGCTGCCAGGTGGAGCTATTATGAGGGCCGTAGGAGGTCAGGAGATAGTTCAGATGCACTCACTGAAAACATGTAGATAATTTGTCAGTCTACAGGGCAGTACAGAGGGGAGGAGGAATTGGAAGGGGAGGTAGTAAAACAAAGTGGTGACAAGCTTGAGCTCTGGAGTTCAAATGCTGGCTCAGACACATGCTGGCTGTGTGGTTTTAGGCAATTTACTTAAAATCTCTGTGCCTTAGTTTCCTCCTCTGCAAAACGGGAGCTACTACAGGACCTATTTCATAGGATTGTTGTGAGGATTAAAAATAACATGAGACGTCCTTTAGAAGAGTTCGTGGTGCTTGGCAAATACTCAATAAATATGAGTTGTAGTTTTGGCAGGTAGCAGGGTGCAGCATCAAGTCAGGACATGTAAGTTCCACCCTAGCCTGGCCATCAACTCCCTGGGGTCTTGGCAAAGCTGTTAGAGATAAAGAGAATCCTATTTCAAAGCAGCTTAAGCAAAGGAAATGGAAGTCTTTCATGGGACCTGAAAGTGGAAAGTAAATAGATGGAAAGTCGTGAAGGCCCGGAACCAGGAAATGGAAGGTCAAGGTCACCAGGCAACTATGTACTCCATCTTGCTCTTCTTTTCTGAAGCCAATCAGTTTATCTTCTGTGCTGCTTCTTACATGTGCACACATGAGCTTTCCATGTCTTTCTGTGTACATAGCTCCCAAAGTTATGTGCAGAAACCATCTAATGGTCTCTGAATCTCAATCCTCAATTCCCAGCAGAGAGTCTCAGATGAACTCAGCTTGGATGAGGAGTCCATTCCTGGTCCAGTCAGCTGTGGCCGGGAGGTGGGGTCAATGTGGTACAAACCTGAGCTGGGCAGACTGGCCCTCTCTCTGTCTCAGCTCAGACATACATAGAAAGGTTTCATGAACATATTAGTTGGAATGGTTTCAGCTGCAAGTAAAAGAATACTCAACTAAAAGTAGTTTAATTATCAAATACCTTTATTCTCTTCAATAACAAGAAGTCTGGAGTAGGTGTGTTGGGATTGGTTTATGGCTCAACCTTGTCATCAAGAAGCCAGCATCTTTTTGTTCTTCAGCTCTGCCGTCCATAGCCTGTTGCTTTTTGTTTTTAGACTTGTCATGTCATGGCTGCAAAATAGTTGTGGTGGCTCTAGACATCACGCCTTCACTGGACAGTATCCAAACCAGGAAGTACAAGGCCTTTCCTCCTGCATCGATTTCTTTAATTGAGGAGTCTGTAAGGTTAGAGATTTCTTCTTATATTTCCATTGGTCAGTGCTGCATATGCAAAGGAACCTGAGAAAATATCTGCCATTTCCAACTTCTACTATTGGAGAGAAAATTCACCAGGAAGGAAGAAAGTGTAGGAGAATAGCTGTTGAATAGGCAACTAACCATGTCTGCCATAGTCAGAGTCATTCTAGTCTAGTCAACTGCCAAAGTAGGGTCATTCTAGAAAATGCCATTCATTGCTTAAAATAAAAGCATTAAAAGTAATACTCAGTGTTGTTTTTGCTGTTAGAAATTTAGAAATCATTCATGTACAAATACATCATATCCAAAAGGCTGTGTTTAAGTCTATTTCTTTCTAAGTCTCTGCAGTATACATGTCTGTATAAAGTTGAGTTTCTCAAAAGGACCGGTGATGTGCTGGCATTGATTCTGGCTCTACTTGGTGCTTTTCAGCGATTCAGAAATGTATCCAAAGATGTTTTTACTTTGACTTTCTTCTTTTCATGGTAAGAAGACACTTCTTTAAACAGCTCATGGGCCAACACTAATGACTAACGTGATGGCCAAGACTAAAATGGATGCGCATGACTGCTGCTCACCATCTGTGGGGAAGCAGGCGGAGCTGGCCTACTTTTCCTTTAGTGCATGGCTTTGTTCTTATCTGTGAATGTTTGTAAGTAGAGGAGTTTCAGTGCAGATGTGAAATTGTTTTTGAAATATTGGTGGCTCTTATAACTTGTGTTCTTTTTTTTTAAGAAGCTTTTCTTTGGTTTGATGCTCACTGAGGGTAGAAAGAAAGCCCAAAGGAAAAGATGCAAGGGTCCTATAATGCAATGACTTCCTCCGCCAATGCATGGGTGCAAAGTCACAAAGTCACAGATGGCTCGTTTGGAGACCCTGAGTTCTTCATTCTAGACTGTAGAAGTCATCAACATGCCTCGTGGCAGAAGGCTCTGGTAAAGGGAGCCCAGGCTTTGAAGCTAACTGTCTTGGGTTTCATGGCCATCTCTCCCACTTCTTTGGCTAAAAGACCAGCAATGGGCAAGCTCGTCCTCAGTTTCCTCAACTTGAGCAATGTCAAATCCTATTTCTTAGGGTCTTGGGGTGGATTGTGGAAGTTGGCGGGGTGACTACTTAAGGTCCTTTCCAACCCTGAGCTTCTGATTCTGAAGATTGGAGTCTACCTCCAACATCATGATTGTCTCCTCTTCTACCTCCTCTATCTTCTTTTCCATTATCATCATGATCATCATCATCATCATCATCATCATCATTATCAACATCATCATCATCAACATCATCATCATCATTATAATCATCATCATCACCATCCCTGAGTGTAATGTTGTCCTAGGCACTGCCCCAAGTCCTCTACCTATTTAAATTAATTGAATCTCTGTGGCGAACATGCAAGGTAGGTACTATTACTGACATCTCACAGATTAGGAGGCTAAGGCTCAGAGAAGTGAGAGGATTTGCCCAAGGTCAGCCCAGTTGGTAGGTGGCAGAGTAGAGATCAGAACTTCCAGGCTAGGATTTGTTTTATTTAGAAGCCATTCTGTCCCCTTGTTTCCAGTGCTTCTCAAGGAGCCCATGTTCCTCAAATAAACATGCCCTAGAATAAAGCTGTAGCCCCAAGGACCAGGCCTAGGAAAAGCTTTCGTGCAGACTCAGTGGTTACCAGCCTCCTCTTATAATCAGATAACCCTCCTGGAGAAGGAGCTTACGGGTCTTCTCCCCAAGTGGCCTATGCCTCAAGTGGATTTTACTCCCATAGGGGAACATTTGGGGTTTTTGCCTGCTCATTATCCATCCTCTCTTCTTTTGGTGACAGCACCCCAATTTTTCCTTTGGGGAAATCACCTCAACTCCACTCTTAAAGTGTTTGAGGAGACTACCTCCTCTCTTCTCTCCCCACTTCCCACCCACATGTTAGGGGTGGTCACATAATCTAGCTTTGATGAATCAGAGTGTTCTCATCAGACCAAAGTTCAAGTTGTCTAATGTTCTGCAATCCTAGGACTTTTGTGAATCTGTTGGGGAAGACAGCTTCTTTTCTGCTGGTGGGCTACTGGGTCCACTAAATGTGAAAGGCTTTCTGAGAAGCTGAGGCAGAGGGGTGACGGAAGACACACGTGAGCACCTGGATCCATCAGTTCCTGAAGCCAGTGCTGTCTCCTGTAATGGGAAGAGTCATGACTGATATGCTTAAAATATACTGATTGCCCCACAAATTGTGCTAGAAAAAAATTGTTTCATATTTTCGTGTTCGTAGGAGATTGTCATCCCCACCCTCCCACCACAAGCTCAAACACTTTTTTGGTATGTAACTTTGGTTTGGAGACTGCTTCAGTTTGGCTCTTTTTGATGCAAGTAACTGTTAGTTACCTCCTGGAAAGGGAGACTCACTGAAGGAACTCCCTTGATGGGAACTGGAATTGGGGTTCAGGCAGGAACTGAGACAGCCCTGGAGCCGGAGGCTCTATGTGTCTCTGTGGCAGTTCTGTTTCTCTCTGCTCTTGTGCACTCTGTTCCAGTTTCATTAACTGGGGCCTCTGCCTTCTCATGAGTTCTGCTCCCTCAAATCTCCACGAGCAGATGGTCCACCACAGCCCTGACTCCAGCATGTGATATCCTTTCCATTTCGGTTCTCACTGGAAACTCCCCAAGGAGGAATAGGATTAGCCCAGCTCATCCCTTCCTGACACATCTCGGGTTGCTGGTTGGTCTGTGGATTCCTAGGCCTGCTGTCCATCTCAGGTCCCGACAGCTGTGCCTGGGGTCCTGGGTAGGTCTGATGCCATGCAGTATTGAATCAACTGTGCTGTCACGTGGCTCACTTAAGGCTTCCCCTTCAGGAGGAGCTGTGAGGGGGCCATGCTGGGGTTGACATCTCTGTGTGAAAGAAAGGCTCTATTTGGACCATACCTAATTGTCAGTGAGTCATAGGAACATTTCATGGGGGGCTCAAATTACTCTCATGGAGCTATAGCTGAAGTGGGAAGATGGACAATGGATGAGAGGACACTCCCATTTACACTAACCATGGTCAGTGATGAAAGATGAGTGACTGTCCTAGATAGCTGTGGGAGGGCCCATTGCAGAGTGTGCAGTCAAAGAAGGCTTGTTGGAGGAGACGTCATTTGAGCTAAAGTTTGACCAAAGGATCCAGATGGATCACTCTGGTAGGCAGAGAAACAGCATATCTAAAAGCCCCAAGTTGGAAATGAAACTGTATTTGAGGAACTAAAAATGATTTTGTGACTGGAACATTCTGGGTGAGAGAGAGAGAGTTTTAAGATGTAGTCAGAGATGGCCAGGTGCAGTGGCTCACACCTGTAATCCCAGCACTTTGGGAGGCCGAGGCAGGCGAATCATCTGAGGTCGAGAGTTCAAGACCAGACTGGCCAACATGGGGAAACCCCGTCTCTACTAAGAATACAAAAAATTAGCCAGGTGTGGTGGTGGGTGCCTGTAATCCCAGCTACTTGGGAGGCTGAGGCAGGAGAATTGCTTGAACCCAGGAGATGGAGGTTGCAGTAAACCGAGATCACACCATTGCACTCCAAACTGGGCAACAGAGGGAGACTCTGTCTCAAAAAAAAAAATGTCGTCAGAGATGTTAGCAGGACTCGTATCACACTTAGGTCCTGGTCCGACATCGATGTTTTATTCTGATTGCCACAGGAAGGTGTCGATAAGGATGATCCAATTTGTACTTTCAAGGCCTGTGGCCTTGGGAAAGTCATGTTATATCTCTGAGCCTTTTTTTCTCCTCTGTAAAATGTAGATGACAATTGAGCCAATTTTTGAAAGACCCTGTAAAGATTAAATAAGAAAATGGCTAAATAAGATAAACCTGTTTGAAAACAGCTGCGTCTTGGCAGACATCTGTAAAGATTTCCTTTCTTCTTTTTTTTAGAAAAGAAACAGGAAATTGTCATCCATCAGCAAACTCTCTTCTCCCTTGACCAACCTAGGTACGTTTTGGACTCATGGTTTCACTTTTCTATTCTCTCAGCTTACACCCAGATTTGGCTATTGTATGCTCTCTTCTCATTCGTGTGTGTGTGTGTGTGTGTGTGTGTGTGTGTGTGTGATGGAGTCTCGCTCTGTTGCCCAGGCTGGAGTGCAGTGGCACAATCTCAGCTCACTGTAGCCTCCACCTCCTGGGTTCAAGCAGTTCTCCTGCCTCAGCCTCCCGGGTAGCTGGGATTACAGGTGCCTGCCACCATGCCTGACTAATTTTTGTATTCTTAATAGAGACGGGGTTTCACCATGTTGGCCAGGCTGATCTCGAACTCCTGACCTCAAGTGATCTACCCGCCTCAGCCTCCCAAAGTGCTGGGATTACAGGCATGAACCACCATGCCTGGCCCCTCCTCATTCTTTTGTTGAGAACTTTGCACATAGACTGTTTGGGAGTATTCCATCTCATAAATCTTTTGCATTGTTCATCATTCTGAATCCCATTTCCATTACTTCAGCCCTTCTCGGGCAGCGTTCCTTACCCTGTTTAGCATTTATGTCACTTGCCTTAAATAGACCTTCTCTTAATTTCATCTGAACTGTTATGCTTTATGGAGATTTTTAGCTGAATGGGGGAGGTTGTGATTTTATCGTTAACCCCATAGGGAGACAGATCACATTTGTGAGGATATGTTGGAGAGAACCTTGGAGTCAGAGAGAACGGGGTCCAAGCTCTTGTGTTCCTTTTTTCTGGCTGTCAGGCCCTGGGCAAGGGACCTCACCAGTCTGACTCCCAGTTTCCTCATCTACAAACATGAGGATATAAATAGTGCTGACCTTGCTGGGTTATTGGGCCTGGTCTTCAATGATGTTAGTTCATGTCTCTGTCTACTGCTCCCTCCACCCCCTGCCTCATGCCTTGTTCTTTGACCTTGGCATTGATGATCTTTGGTCTGATTCTTGGCATGCACCTTTTCAGAATCCATGAGCCTCTATAAGCAGCTATTCATGTTCCATGCATTGTGGTCTTTGGGATTAGGCTGACTTGGGTTCCAATCCCAATTCTCCTGCTTAGCACTTGTGTCACTTGAACTCTTGGAGACTCACTTTCCTCATGGGCCAGTGGGAGATATTATGAGTATTGCTATGGCTGGAATGTGTGTCCCCTCCAAAACTCATATTGAAAGTTAATCCCCAATATGGCAGTATTGACAGGTGGGGCCTTTAAGAGGCCATTGGGTCATGAGGGCTGTGCCCTCATAAATGGATTAATGGGTTATCATGGGAGTGGGACTGTGGCTTTATAGGAGGAGGAGAGACCTAAGTTTCCAAGCTCAGCCCCCTCACCATGTGATGCCCTGAGCTGTCTTGGAACTCTGCAGAGAGTCCCCACCTGCAAGAAGGCCCTCACCAGATGTGGCCCCTCTACCTGGGACTTCGCAGCCTCCATAACTGTAAGAAATAGATTCCTTTTCTTTATAGATTGCCCAGTTTCAGATATTCTATTATAAGCAACAGATAATGGACTAAGACAAGTACCAATCTCTGAAGTTATCACAAACATTGGCTGAAATAATATTCTGGAAACACTTAGTGTAGAGCCTGGTATATTGTAAGTTGATCAATAACAGGTATTGCTATTACACGTTATAGGAACACTAGACTCTAAACCCCTGGAGGCAAGGACTGTGTTTCTTCATCTTTGTACACCTTTATCCTTGAAAAGGGCCTGAAACACCGTGGGCCCTCTGCTGGTTTCAGATCCTTCCATCTCCTGTAACAAAAACAGAGCTGCTTTGCGGCCAACTTGGCCAGAACACTGGCATCTCCATAAAATCCTACCTGTTACACAAATGCCACTTTCTAAGATCCTAGAGACAGGGTGGGATCATGAAGTGAAATGCCTCAGGACTTCATTGAGTGACCCAACTGCCAGTTGCTGTTGGGAGGATGGGGAAGGTAGGCGGAAGCCATGACCCCAACGGGGGCTTCTCTAAAGGGAGGGGCCTTGCTCCAGAGCTGGATATCTTATTTATGTGTTCTCATCTCAATATTTTTCTGAGAACCTTCTTAGAATTTCACTGGGAGTCAAAAAACACATTTTGCCAAATTCAGAGGCCTTGTAACCACAGGGCCTCAGCCTAGTGACCAAACCGAGACCAAACAGTAACCTTCTGGTGCTGTTTACAGCTGGCAAAAGACCACTTTGGGCTTCACAGTAAAAAGAGTTAGAAAATTGTATGAAAAGGCTCAGAAGACTCACGGACATCAAATAGCTCTAACCAAACCAATGTAATTAGTTAAGTATAAATGAATCAGAACCATATGGCTTAAATGCTAAAGGAAAAAGAGTTGGAGGAAAAAATGTCCTTTGGGATTTAATCAAACAAAAATTGCTGGAAAAATCGTTGATGTCCACCAAGCTCAGACCCCAACTGGGTGCCCTCCAATCCTGCTTTAGCATTTCTCTCCTTCCCAAGGTACTCGCCGTGAAGCAAGGGTGACTTCTGGGTCCTGCTCTCTTGATGCTGGGCGTCATAGGGATGGAGTAGGTGTGGAGTGGGCACTAAGGCTCAGGGAATCTGGGGAGCACTGAGAAGGGGTGCCCAAGTCAGCCCTTGGCAGACTGGGAATGGCTTCCCTGTGGAGATGAAACTGAGCCAGGATTACAAGTAGACGAGGGATTGTGGGGCTGGGGTGGAGTGGGCATTTTGGAGGAGGCAGTGGCGTATGCACGTGCACAGAGGATAGACGAAACCTGGGACGATCATGGAACTGCAAGAAATTTGGAGTGGCTGGTTCTCAACTCATGCCTTCCTTCCCTGGCCACCCAATTAAAGGCACACGGCCTCTTCCATTCACTCTCAATCACATCGCCCTGTGGCATTCTCCTAGCAACACTTTTCACAGAAAGAAAGAAATGCTCTCATCTCTTTCTTTCTCTCATTGTTATTTACATTCCCTGGCATGTAAGCTTCTTAAGAGAAAGGCTCTTGTTTGTCTTGTCCCCCCACTGTGCACTGTGGTTCTAGCAGCTAACACAGCATCTGACTTGGAGTGGCTGCCCAGTACGCATTTGAAGAATGAATGAATGGAAAGTGAATGAGCGAATGGCTGGAGAGTAGAAGACGTGAGGGATGGGGAAAGAAGAAAGACTGGAGAAGTGGGCAGGTGCCAGGCCTGGAAGACTGTACGTGGTGCTAAGAGGCCCCTGAAGGTAATGGAAAGCCAATCAAGGGTTTCTAGGAGGATGTGATGAGGATGCGATAAGGTAACACTGTGTTATGTTGTTGGGAATCAGTGAAGGTGGGAAACCTGGAACCCTGGAGAAAATGAGTGACAACCAAATCCTACGTTTGTTTGGTGTTTCCCCATCATCCCTCAAAGGGTGTGTAAGATAGTGAGCCATGTAGAATAAGTAATTAATTAATGCTGCGGGTTAATAAGGGGTAGATGACTCTCAATTGCTACATGCAAGCTGTTATTTTCTCATTTAGAAAAAGGATCTTGTGGCTCACTGTGGAAAATCATCTTCCAGAAAAAAGAAAGAGACATGTATGTCGGCTCTGTCTAGAATATTTTCTCTGAACCAGAATCTCTTTCCGTAGGGTAGCTGCCCTTGGCAACTCTCGGGTTACAAGAAGCTGGGCAGGAGATTCCTGTGACATTTCAGCAGAGTCACGAGTGGGTGGGATGGGGAAGCTCCGAGCTGCAAAATAGGTAAGTTGCTCAATGTCCCTGGAAAACCTCCGAGGACAGAACTGAGTGTGATTTGGGGGAGTATTTTAGGTTCAGAGACATCTTTATGTTAGGCGAGAAATTCATGCCCCAGGCTCGTGGAGTTGCTCATAACAGTGTGTTATTGCTGGAAGCCCCAGAGGAGCTTGGACTCAGCTCCCTTAACAGGGGGCTGAGCCTCTCTGAGAAAGCTGTTTACTTCCCCAGACACATCAGTCTCACTTACCCATGTTTATTGCTTCTGCTCCTCTGCTTTACCCTCCAGGCCTCAGGTGCAGGAGAAGCCAGTCCTCTTCTCTAAACAGAAGACACTGCAATCACCGTAGCTAGATCTTCCTTAGTGTTTGCCATGTACCCGCTCTCGTTCCAGGCGTGTTCTAGGTGTATCATCTAACTGGGCCTTCAGAGCTCGGAAGCTCAGAGAGCTGAAATCACTTGCTCAAGGTCACACAGTCAGTACAAGTGGAGGTTTGAGCACTGCGCCTCTTAGAGTCCCTCACCTCAGGTGATTTTAACCCTTACATATGGAGCTTGCCAGAAACTCAAGCCCACCCTTTTCCTCCACACCATGTAACTCTGCCCTGGTTTTATCAAGAAGCACCTGCCTTCTCTTCTGGATTTAAATAGTAACGTTTGTGGTGAGCATTTGTGGGCTTGGGACTGTTCAGTGGCCAGCAGCACTTCCATTCCCTATGGAGACCCACCCTCCATTGTGTGCCATCACGGCACAGTGGGTGATGAACTTGCCCCTTACACAGAAGCACAAACACCCAGTTCTCCCCCTCTCTTCTCCAGCTGCAACCAAACGGTATGCACATAATCCAGGCTAGGGTAGCCACATGTTCCCTCCAGGACTTGGACCCTTGAGTGAGTGATTTGGGGCCGGGAGGAGCGGCTGGAGGCTCTCCAGGCCAGCGGCAGCGGTGGCGTGCTGGCCACCCATTCTCGTGACCTTGCTAAGGCCCCTGTTGCTTAACTCTCTGGCAAGCCCTTGGTTTCTGGCCATTTTCCAGACTTCATCACTCTTCTCTGCCAATTCTATGAGCCCCTGATAGCCTTCCAATAAATTCCACTTGATTACCACATGGCTTGCAATCAAGAACCCAGCATAACACACAACCACTTATTAAATACTAAGTAAGAGCCAGACACTTGACATGTGACATCTTGTCAGATCCTCAAACACCCCGGTGAGGAAAGCGTTATTATCCCTGTTTTCCAAATGAGGACACTGAGGCTCAGGGAGCTGGGTGATGTGTCAAAAGTTGCCCAGCTGCAGAGTGGCAATGCTGGAATTTGAAGCCAGGCTTTTCTGATTCTGAATTCCATGTTTTCTTACTTGCCTTTTTCTTCTGCTCCAGCTTGCAGTGCCTCGGAGAGGTGGCGCTGGCTAGCCTGGGACTTCCAACATACAGCCTACATTGATGGCCTGAGACTTGTGGCAAAAAAGACTTTCAAAATCTAATTTGCTCACATACATGAACACCTGCCAGGAAGGAATTTGAGGCCTTTGTTCTAAACATGGAAAAGCTGAGTTCATTTGCCCCAGAGGGGGCACCTGCAGGGAAAAGGAAAAATGGTTTTAACCCTTTCCTTGAGTCAGAAAATGAGGCCACCAGATTCTCCTTTCATCCTTCAAGTATCAGAAAGGTCTGTGCTGTGAATTCCACAGATGAGATTCATTGCAAGATGTGAGGGCAGAGGAAATCCATGGAAATGGTGAGTTCTTTCATATTTGTGCCTTTCTATTGTCAGTTTGGGGATATTTGAGAGAAGTTTGAGCTGCGTATGAAGAACCCATTTACTTTTATGCAGCTTTCTGGGGGAAATTTTGGAATTCCTCAAATCCAAGAATTTTGAGATTTTAGAACCTCCAAGAGGCCTGACCTGTTGAACAATCCCCCAGCCTTCATGCCCCAACCGCCTCTCCAGTGACTCCTCATAACTATACTTTATTTTTTTCTTTATTCTCTTTTTTCGAGACAGGGTCTCACTCTGTCATCCAGGCTGGAATGCAGTGGTGTGATCATAGCTCACTGCGGCCCTGATCTCCTGGGCTCAAGTGATCCTCCCGCCTCCGCCTCCCAAGTAGCTGGGACTATAGGCATGCCACCACGCCCAGCTAATTTTCTATTTTTTATTTTGTAGAGTTGGGTTTTCACCATGTTGCCCAGGCTGGCCTCGAACTCCTGGGCTCAAGCAATCCTCCCGCTTTGGCCTCTCAAAGTGCTGGCATTACAAGTGTGAGCCACCACGCCCAGCTTTGTACTTTCTTAATGATGTGAAAAGACATCTGAGTAAATCTGTAGTTGAGAGTGCAGGAAAAAGAAACCCTATCACACACTCTTTTGTCAACCGAATTGCAGAAATCCACATTCAAACTGGATGCATGCGTTCAGCAACTGGAAGCTGAGTTCATATTTCATTGCCCAACTACCCTGACCACTTGGGAATCGCAGGTTTGGAAGGACCCACAGCCATTCTGTGGAAATGGATCTGCTTTCAGGACCGAATCTCAGACTTCTTGGGGAAGGTTTCAGTGGCTGCCTTTGCTGTGCAGACCTGGAGATGGGTCTGATGATCGGACACCTGAATTATCTGTGTGGCTGAGTTTCAAGAAGACCTGCTGGGGTGAAATGAAAATGGTGCCTACTAGAAGCCCCAGTGGCTTTGCTGGTGGAGGTGAGCATAGATCCTAGAACTATATCCTGATGCTTCTCACCATGTGGTCAAGCTCTGGGTAGTGTTTGGGCTCCCATGTATATGTGAAGTTCATTCTTTTTTTATAGGGTGGCAAACATTGAGCTCTATCTACCCCATAGTAATAAAGGATGGCTTTAAAGAACAGAAACCCATTTAAAATCACTCATATAAAAGGGTGACTAACTGAGGATTAAGAAGGGGATTCTCATCAGAAGAAAGCACAGAGAGTAAAGCTCAACCTGTGGGAACTAGAAAGCAGGCTGACAGCTCGTCTTCCCATTTCTCCCTTTGTGGTCCCATCTCTGCTCTCTCTGGGAGGCAGCAGGCCAGCCTCCCTGCCTCTTTGTGGTTTCTTTATCTTTTTCCTTTTTCTTTCTTTCTTGCTTTTTTTTTTTTTTTTTTTTTTGAGATGGAGTTTCACTCTTGTTGCCCAGGCTGGAGTACAATGGTGTGACCTTGGCTCACTGCAACCTCCGCCTCCTGGGTTCAAACAATTCTCCTGCCTCAGCCTCCCGAGTAGCTGGGATTACGGGCGCCCACCACCATGCCCAGCTATTTTTTTGTATTTTTAGTAGAGATGGGGTTTCACCATGTTGGCCAGATTGCTCTCGAACTCCTGACCTCAGGTGATCCACCTGTCTCAGCCTCCCACAGTGCTGGGATTACAGATGTGAACTACTGTGCCTGGCCTGTGGTTTCTGTGTCTCCACAAGTTTGGCCTCCACCAAGATTTTGGCACCACCTCCTGCCTCATCTCCGTATGACTCTACAAGTTCAGCACCATCCACCAAGGCTGCTGGCTCTGGGGCTCTCTGATGCTTTTGGTGGGGACAGTGTATCGGTTATCTGTTGCCACACTAATGCTGTGTAACAATCATTAACACTTCAGTGTCATACAACAATAAACATTGATTTTCGCCCACTAGTCTAAGGGTTGCTAAGTGGTTCAGCTGCGTTGACCTGAGCTTGGTGGGACTTGCTCATGTATCTGTGGTCAGCTTTGGGTTAGCTGGGTGGCTTTGTAAGTCTTGGATAGGTGCTCTCATATGTCTGGACCTCACCTCAGACAAATGGGCTGACTTGGCGCTGCTCTATGTGGCTTATCCTCCAACAGGCTAGCTTGCTCATGTCCTCATACAGAAGCAGAGATGCAAGCAAGTGAGAAGGTGGAAGGACTCAGGTCTTGGGCCTTACTCTGAGAACTATAACACCATTCCTTCTGCTGCATTCTCTTGTCTAAAGTAAGTTACAAGGCCAATCCAGATTCAAGGGCGGGGGAAACAGGCTTCACCTCTTGATGAGAGAAGCTACAAAGTCACATTACAAAGGGCATGGCTACTGGGAGGCATGAGGACTTGGGGTAATAATTACTTGTGTAATTGTTCTGTCACAGACAGGGGATCTGATTGGCTCTCAGCAGGCCTGTGGATTAGTTCCGTTTGGTTCAGGTGCTATCTGAGGTTTGGAGGTGTGTGTACATGGAGTTGGGGAAGGGTCAGAAGAGATAACAGCAGCCCCAAGAATAGAGTATTTAACTTTGGCACAAGACACCCACTGTGTGTTATATTCCTAATCAGATTAATTGGTTGAGGAGCGGGTTTCAAAGAAAACCGAACTGGGCCAATCACAGACTACCCTAAGGCTGTTATTTAAGCCACTCTGATAGGCATTTACCCTTTCCTTCTGAGTTGGGGCCTTAGATGAGGGAAGTTCATAGTTACAGCAGCCGTTTTGCCATCTTGCAAACTCAGGAGGCCAGAGTGGAACATAGAGACAGAGAAAGACCAGCTCCCAGGGTCTAAGGTGCTGAGTCAAGCCATGCATGAAACCATCTGAGCCTGGACTCTTTATTGACACACATTTTAGCTTAGCCCATTCTAGGTTGTGTTTTCTGTCACTTTCTACCTAATGGGTCTTGACCGGGGTCCTGACCAGGGTCCTGACCAATTGCCACCTTTTTGGGGACAAGGTCTCGCTCTGTTGCCCAGGCTGGAGTGCAGTTGCACAGTCACAGCTCACTGCAGCCTCAGTCAATATTTCCAGGAAAGTGGCAGACATGTTGATTACATGAGTGTAGACTCAACGTTTTAAGGATTAAACCATCACTAGTTCTGGGCCTATCACCATATATCACTGCAGAAATAAAGCCGATATACTTGGATGTTTGCATTGCGTTATATAACTGCTAAAGCCTATTTAAAAATATCTCCTCATTATTATTAATGTAAATTATCATATAGCTCACATTTCCCTGGACACCGTGGATATTCCTGATATAGGGTAGAAAACAAACAAAAAACAGAACTTTGCCACTCATCAGGAGCTCCCCATCTCTTAGTCTCATCTATCTTATCCATAAGGAGAGAGCTGGGCAAAAAGCTAGCCGAGTTACCTTCTGTGTGAGTGGGTACACAGCTCCTTCCCATTTCTTCTGCCTACAAGAACAATAGCTGCTATTAGGTGCTTACCCTGGGCTAAGTACCTTACATGCATTATCTCTTCATTGCATGTATCAAAATGTGTAATTGCATGCTTTTTGACTTTTAATTTTTTTTTTCCTGGAGACAGTGTCTTACTCTGTCACCCAGGCTGGAGTGCAGTAGTGTGATTTTGGCTCACTGCAGCCTTGACCTCCCGGGCTCAAGTGATGCTCCTGCCTCAGACACCCAAGTAGCTGGGACTACAGGCATGCACCACCATGCCCTGCTAGTGTTTTGTATTTTTTGTAGAGATGTGGCTTCACCGTGTTGCCCAGGCTGGTCTCAAACACCTGGGCTCAAGTGATCTGCCTGCCTCAGCCTCCCAAAGTGCTGGGATTACAGGTGTGAGCCACTGCACCTGGCCGACTTTTAAGTCTGGTGTAATTTCAAACTTATTGAGAAGTCACAAGAATGATGTAAAGAATCCTTGAATAGATGAGTTCATGTCCTTTGCAGTGACATGGATGAAGCTGGAAGCCATCATTCTCAGCAAACTAACACAAGGACAGAAAACCAAACACCGTGTGTTCTCACTCATAGGTGGGTATTGAACAATGTGAACACTTGGACACAGGGCAGGGGGTGTGGGGCTGAGGGAGGGATAGTATTAGGAGAAGTACCTAATGTAAATGACGAGTTGATGGGTGTAGGAAACCAACATGGCACATGTATACCTATGTATCAAACTTGCACGTTGTGCACATGTACCCTAGAACTTGAAGTATAATAAAATAAATAAATAAATAAAAAATAAAAAAAGAATCCTTGAATATTCTTTACCATGATTCAGCAATTGTTTACATATAGCCCCTTTGCTTTGTCATTCATTTATTTATTCATTCATTCTCCTTTCTCTCTGCATATATATATATATATATTATGTCACTTTGTCCCTAAATACTTCAGTGTGTCTTGCTTGTCTAAGAAAAAAGGTGTGCTCTGATATAACAACAATGCAATGATCAAACTCAGGAAAATTAACATGAGTATAATTCTGTCATCTAATCCACAGACTACATTCAAATCTTATCAGTTGACCCAACAATCTAGTTGTTAATAGCCGTTTTTTCCCAGTCCAGGAGCCAATTCAGGACCAGGATTGCATTTATTGTCATGTCTTTCAGCCTTCTTTAATATAGAATAGGCCCTCTGTCCTTCCTTGTCTTCCATGCTTATCACCCTTTTGAAATACAAGACAGTTACTTTGCAGAAGGGCTCTAAATTTGAATTTATCTCCTGGTTCCTAACAATTATATTCACATTATGCATTTCTTGGCAAGAATACTACCAAAGTGATGTGTATTTTTCAAGGCCTCAAACTGGGAAGCACATGGGGTTCATTTGTCCCAGTGTTGGTGTTGTTACTTCTGCTCACTTGGTTAAAGAGCTGCCTACCAAGTTTCTTCACTATAACATTCCTCGTGAGAGGAATTTATGTTGTTGCATGTATTAGTAGTTTGTTCCTTTTTTGTGCTAAGCAGTACTCCATTTTATAAGTATACCATACTTTGTTTATTTATTCTCCTGTTGAAGGATATCTGGGTTATTGCCAGTTTGGGGCTATAATGATGAAAGCTGCTATGAGGATTCATGTGTAAGTGTTGTTGTGAACATATATATTCATTTTCTTGGATAAATACCTAGAAGTGGAATTGCTGGATTATAGGGTGGATATATATTTAACTTTTTTCATGTTTTTTGTAGTAGCCTTACTGAAGTATAATTCACATATATTTGTTTATAAGAAACAGGCAAATCATTTTCTGATGTAGTTGTACCATTCTGTATTCCTACCAACAATGTATGAGCATTCCTATTGCTTCACATCCTAGCTTACATTTAAGGTTGTCAGTATTTTGAAGTGTAGCCATGCTAGTGGCCATGTAGAGGTATTAATATCTCATTGTTTTAATTTGCTTTCCTCTGGCTGACTAATAATATTGAGTAGTTTTTTCTATGTTCAAAGGTCATTTGTTTATCTTTCTTTGTGAAATGTCTTTTTGAGTCTTTTGGCAATAAAGTAATTAAAATATTTTTGTTATGGAGTTGTAGAAGTTCTCTGTATATTCTGGATACTAATCAGTTGTCAGATTTGTTTTTGCAAATATTTTCTTAGTCTTGTGTGTGGTGGGAAATAGGGGTCATTTTTTTTCTGATATAGATAACTAGTTGTTGCAGCACTTGTTAAAAAAATACTTTCTTTTCTCCAGTCTTTAGAACCTTTGTTAAAAAACAAAAACACAACAACCTGTTGATTGTATCCATGTAGTTCTATTTCTGAACTCTCAGTTCTTTTCCATGGAATTGTCTGTCCTTTTGCCATTTGTTATGGTCAGAATGTTTATTCCTCCCACCCATTCATATGTTGAAATCCTAACCCTCAAGGTGATGCTATTAGGAGATGGGACCTTTGGGAGGTGATTAGGTCCCTCATAACTGGGACTAGTGCCCTTATAAAGGAGACCCCAGAGGGCTAATTTGTCCTCTCCACTATGTAAGGACACAGCAAGAAGACACCAGACACTGAATTAATGCAACCTGAACAAAATCTATTGAGATTATGATTGGGATCACGTTGACTCAGTAGATTTGTTCAGGAAGAACTGAAAACTGATTATGAATCCCAAGTCTTCCATTTCATAAGCATGGCATATCTATCCATTATTTAGTTAAAAATATTTCTCTTAGCAATATTTTGGTGTTTAGTGTAAGGGTCTTACACACCTTTTGTTAAATTTATCCCTAAGTATTTACTTTTTTGATACTGTTGGAAATGGGCTTTCTAAATTTCATTTTTCAATGTTTGCTGCTAATATATAGACATACAATTGATTTCGAATATTGACTTTGTATCCTATGACCTTGCTAAATTCACTCATAGTTCTCAGAGTCATTTTATGTATTTCTTAGGATCTTCTATATTAATAATGATGTCACATTTAAACAGAAGTAATTTTACTTGTTTCCTCCTTCTTATCTTTGTGGCCTATTCTTGAATTATTACACTGGTGAAGATATTCACTGATACGTTGAATATAAGTGTTGAGAGAGACATTTTTGTCCTGTGCCTGATCTTAAGAAAAATATTTAATATTTCACCATTTACTATAATCTTACTTTTATGCTTTCTATAGATAACCTTCATCAGATTGAAAAACTTCTTTTCCTAGTTTGCTGAGAGATTTTACAATGAATGGGTGCTTAATTTTGCCAATGCTTTTTATTCATCAATTACCTTCTTTATTCTGTCAATAGAGTTAATTATGTTTATTGACTTTGGAATGTTAAACCAACCTTGCATTCTTGGGATAGACCCCAGTTGGTTATTATGTAATGTACTCTTTATGTATCACTGAATTCAATTTGCTAATATTTTATCCAAAGATTTTTGTGTCTATGTTTATGAGACAGATTGGTCTGTAATATTCTTTTCTTGTAATATTTTTGTCATATTTTGGTGTTAAGGTTATGTTGACTTCTTCAAAGTTTATAAAAGATTGATATTACTTTTCCTTAAATGATTTTTAATATTCACCAGTGAAACTATCTGTGCTTCAAGTTTTCCTTTTGGGAAGGGTTTTGATAATAATTAATTTTCTGTGTATGTAGGGATATTTGAATATTCCATTTTATCCTGCAAAGTTATAATGACATTTTTAAAAGGAATTTGATAATTTCATCTCAATTGTGGAATTTATTGCAATAAAATTTTTCAAAATATCCTTTTATCATTTTGATGTATTTAGAGTTTGTACTTATATACTCTCTTTTATTCCTGATATTGGTAATTTGTATTTTCTTTTTTTCTTGGTGAGAATTGCTAAGGATTAATCAACTTATTTAGTCTGTTTAAAAAAGCAACTGTTGGTTTTGTTAATTTCTTCATTGTTTGTCTGTTTTCTATCTCACTGAACTCTGTACTTATTTTATCTTCTATGTGTTTTGTATTTAACTTGCCTGCCTTTCCATAACATTTTAAGGTGGAAACTTAATTGATTTTAAACTTTTCTCCTTTTCCATAGAAGCACTTAAATCTACACATTTCCCTGTAAGTGATAATTTAGCTAAATCTAATAAATTTTGATATATTGTATTTCTGTTATTACTCAGTTCAAAATACAATTTGATTTGGTTTATTACTTCTTCTTTGAATATAATGATATAAATGTGTTGCTTAATTTCCAAATATTTGAAGCTTTCTAAATACTGTTATTACTTTCTAATTTAATTCTAGTGTCATCATAAAACATACTGTTAGAGTACAATCTTTTGAAATCCTCTGACATGTGTTTTATGGGCCTGCATTTGGTTATTCAACAGTAGTTGGGTGTAGTGTTCTATAAATGTCAATTAGGTAAATGTAGTCAATAGTCTTGTTTAGGTCTCCTATATTTTTATGATTTCTGTCTATCACTTACTAAGAAAAAGGTGTTAAAATGTCCAACATGATTTTTGAATTGGTCTGTTTCTCCCCCTAGTTCTGTTAGTTTTACTTCATGTATCTGGAAACACTGTTAATAGGCTCATTCACATTTATGATTGTTACATCTTCCTGATGAATTGACTCTTTTATCATTTCTAAACACCCTTCTGTATTTCTGGTAATTGTCCTCTCCCTGAAGGCTAGGGTGTCTGAAATTAATATAGCAATCCGGTTTTTTTTGCTTGTGGTTTGCAGATATATCTTTTTCTGTTATTTTTCTTTCAAGCCATCTGTGTGGTTACAGTTAAGAACTCTTTTTTTGTAGACTGCATATAGCTGGGTCTTCATATATTCCACCTTTTAATGGAAGTGGTTTTTTAGTCTATTGAAATTTAATGCAAATATTGATATGGTTGGATTTTGGCCTATTACTTTTTTTACTTGTTCTACATATTTTTGTCTGTTTTTGCTCCTCTATTTTTCTTCTCCTATATTATTTGGGTTAGTCAAATACTTCTTAGAATCTCATTTTAATTTTTCTGTTGTATTTTTAGCTATATCTCTTTGTATTTTGTAGAAATTGCTCTGGGGATTACACTATGCATCCTTAAGTTATCAGAGACTATTGAATTAATATTGTATAAATTCCCATAAGAAACATTATTCCAAGATTATAGTTTAACCCTATCCTTTGTGCCATTATTATAATGTATATTGCATATACACATGTGTAAATCCCACAACATATGGGGTTTTTTTCTTTAAACTGCCATTAAAAAAATTAAGAGCAGAAAAAATAATCTTTTACACTCACATATTTATTATTTCTAGTGCTCTTCACTCATTCTTGTAGATCTGGGTTTCCACCTGATGTCCTTTCTTTTCATCCTGAAAAAGTTTAGTTTATCATTTCTTGTATTCTAAGCTGACTGGCAAAAAAAAAAAAACCTGTACATTTTTATTTACTTGTAAAATGTTTATTTTACTTCCTTTTTGAAGGATAGTTTTGCTTAAGATCCTGGGTTGACCACTTTTTTTTTTTCTTTCAGTATCATAAAGATGCCCTTCCATTGTCTCTGGTCTTTATTGCTTTTTGTGAGAAGTTAGTAATCATTTTTATAGTTATTCTTTTGCATAGTGTTATTTTCCTCTGGCTGCTAAAAAGATTTTCTATTTATCACAGCTGTTTCACTGTGATGTGGCTGGGTATAATTGTATTTATCCTGCATGTGTTTTCTGAGCTTTTTGTTTCATTTTCCACAAAATTACTAGGTAAACGTGTTACACAGGTAGATATATTTTTACAGGCTATTGAAGCTCTGTTTATTTTATCTGCTTTTCCCTCTCTTTTCTACAGATTAGATAATGCCTATGATCTATTTTCAAGTTCACTGATTCTTTATATTTTCATCTCTAATCTGCTGTTAAACCCACTCAGTAAATTTTTCATTTATATATTATCGTTCTTAATTCTAGAATTTCTATTTGGTTTTTAAAAATAGTTTTAGTTTCTTGGCTGAGATTCCTCAACTATTCTATCATTATGACAGTGTTTTTCTTTAAATCCTTAAACTTATTTCTAATTCATGCTTTGAAATGCTCTTCTGCTCATTCAAACATTTGAATTGTCTTGGGGATGGTTTCTATTGCCTGTTTTCTTCTCTTGATTACAACTCACACTTTCCCATTTCTTTGTATACCTAGTAATGCTTCATTTTATACTGGAGGGTTTTTTTTTTGAGACGGAGTCTTGCTCTGTCACCCAGGCTGGAGTACAGTGGCGCGATCTTGGCTCACTGCAAGCTCCACCTCCTGGGTTCATGCCATTCTCCTGCCTCAGCCTCCCGAGTAGCTGGGACTACAGGCGCCCAAAACCATGCCTGACTAACTTCTTCTATTTTTAGTAGAGACGGGGTTTCACTGTGTTAGCCAGGATGGTCTCGATCTCCTGACCTCATGATCTGCCTGCCTTGGCCTCCCAAAGTGCTGGGATTACAGGCATAAGCCACCACTCCTGGCCTATACTGGAGGTTTTGAACAGTACCTTGTAGAGCCTCTGGATTCAGTTATCTTCCTTTGAAGAGTGTTATTATTTTTGTTTCAGCAAGGCATTACTTTGGTTAAGTTCAAACTCCAAACTCAGTTTTTCTTGTGTTGAATAACAGCTGAACTGCTCAATTTCTCCAACTTCCCAGCTGTTGCTTTTTGCTAAGAACCTTGAAATCTTCCTTACACATGCACAGTGCATGAGTCAACAAGAATTTGAAGTAGAGTTTTTAATTTAGGTTTTTAGGGGTTCACATTTCATTGCTCCCTCTTTTTCCACATTTCTTCTTCACTTTCTACCTTTCTGGCAGCTCCAAACTGCATCCTCTGACTCCTCAAGCCAGCTGAGGCTTTTTGCTTGAGTTCTAGCCACTCTGGGATACATAAACTGGAAAGCATTTTAAGGCAAAAATGGAGTCAACCTCCTTCCAGTTTCTGTCTTCTTTTGGTAAAAAGGTAACAATTGCCTTCAAATTGTTGTTTTGTCCAGAGTGTGTATTGTGACTTGCAGGAAGGTTATTATACTACAGGTTACTCTCCTGGAAATGTAACTCCCTGTAATTGTATATCAATATGTTTATTTATTTAATGCCTGTCCTCCTCACTAGAGGAGGCTTCATAAGGGCAAGGACCATTTTAATTTTGTTCACTGTTACACTCCTGTTGCCTGATATTTAGTAGCCACTCAATAAATAACAGCAAGATGAATGAATGTTACTTAATTCTCACAACTCCCACATCATCAAGTATTCATGCTCTTTTTCTCTTTCCCTTATTTTCTCTACAGATTTGCTCCTCCACTGGCTCTTCTTGTAGACACACGACTGCTACAGTATCAAGGGTCTGATGCAGACATGACAATGTCAAGAGGAAGAGGAGAGCCTCGCTCTTCCCAGGCTTTTGCTTTTAAGAGCAGAAAAACTTTCCCCAGAGTTCCACCAGCTCACTTCTCATCTTACTTCTTTGGCCAGAACTGGCCCTTGTGCCCATATTGTCAGTCAAATGCCGACAAAGGAAAGGGGCCACTATGAGTGGTTTAGACTTGGATTGGATTTGTCCTTATTGGATTGTCCTTAAGTCCTTTGAAAAAGAAGTATACAACAGAATGAAATCTTGACTCAGCTTTCAAGAATAAAGAGGGTGAGATGACTGATGGATGGCTAGCAAAATCAGATGTGGGCTCTGTCCTCATGGAGCATACAGTCAGAAGGGGAAGATTTACCTAATTACACTAACAAACTTATAACTGTGGTCAGTGTTCTGAAGGAAAGGAAATCCAGTTGTATGGTAACGTATAACAAAGAAACTGAACTAGGATGGAGATGGGGGTGGTAAGTGTAGTTGGGGAAGCCAGGGACATGATCTGTAAGATGGCTGGCCTGGATTCAAATTCCACTCCACTTACTTGCTGTGTGATTTTAGATTAGTCGCTTCTCCTCTCTGAGCTCAACTTCATCTATAACAATCTTTCCTAGGGTTGTTAAAGGATTGAATGAGCCACTCTATGTAACCACTTGACACATATTAGGCACTTCAGTGGCTCCTTTTCCAGATTAAAGAAGGAGAAAACGTGTATGTTTGGAGTTAGCACAAGACAGGATGATTCCTCATGTTTGTTTTGGAAAACAAGTCTTAAACTCACAGCCATGACAGAGTCTGACATCATCAGACATCAGGCGTGTTAAGAATTGCACTCTTAATTGAAAATGTCCAGAGTTTGTGATTAATTGCAATCCTTTTCAGATCCTTTCCCTAAGAATTTAATTTTTCTCCCCACCCACCCGGAGGTCAGGCTTTTAATGTAACAAGTACAATCAATCTTCCACTGAAGATGGCCTCTCTCTAGTGCAAGCTGGAGCAGGACTCATCTGGATTAGAAGCCTAGACGGTTTGGAGTCACCTGGTGAGGTTTACGTGCACAGCTGGGGCCCAGCCTACCTAATTAGGACCAGAGAGTGGTTGAGAAGGGGACCGGCGCGTATTCTAGGCGCCCTCCTCCAGTGTCTGTTTCTAATAATGGCAGAAAGTAGCAGAGGCGGCGGGGTGAGCTTGGAGCGTGGTGACATCATCCCTCCAGCTGTTTTACACATCTGTGACATGGCTCATTAGGACTCTCTTAACACCTCATCCTTCCCTGCTCCACACAGCTCCAGTTGCATGAGAAAAGGTGCTCTTGCATGTGAGGGGCCCCAAGACTGGGGCTGACTTCAGGGTCAAAGATTCGCTTGGGCACTCTACCAGTCATCAGAATTTTCACAGAGACACCCCCCCAACACACACACCCGCAGCATGCGCTCCTTGAAAGTGCTAATAGCTTCAATATGAGGCTGGCACTTCTGCATGACTGTTGGTGTTCAGGGCCAGCCTAGTCTTGGGGAGTAGGCCATCTGTAGCAGCTGCAGAAATGTTTTTGCTTATTTTGAGCATTCTAAGTTTTTCCTAGCCATGAATAACAACAATCGAATAAATCATCCCACAGTGTGTAGGATGGTCGTTTTTTTGTTTTTTTTTTTCAGCAAGAACAACAAAAAATGACATATCATGTACTATGGATAATACACATAAAAAATTCCGCCATATTTATAGGCAGCAGTTAACTAACTATATTTAGATATTTGAAACTGTCTTAAATCAGATGAATGATAAAAGCTTCCTGGATTTCAGTGGAAAGCCTAAATGACTAAACCAAAAAAAAAAAAAAAAGTTTTATTACTATGAAGTATAGTGCATATTCTGAAATAAAAGATATGTGATATTTATAAAATAAAAAGAGAAACTTTGTCAATAGACAGCATCATTTAATAAAGCAGGGTCCCAGATTTACAGACCTTTGTTTGAGTTCTAAAATTTACTAGGAAGGAGGGTGCAGGGGTGGAAGCCGTTCATTGTAGCTCTTTAAATTTCCTCACTTTTGAATGGAGATGATAAAATGCCCCTCACAGGGTTTTTGAGAGGACTAAAAATATAAGGTATGGAAAGTGTTTAGCATTGTGCCTATCACAAAGTTAGTGCTTGAATATATTAGCTATTGTCATTAATACTATTGCTATTCTTATTTCTTCTACAACTGTTATTGTTGAAATGCGAAGTCAAAATGGTACATTTTTATCAACTATTAAGTGCTATCATGTTTCAATTAATACATAATGTTATTGATTAGAAGATGATTATAGTATTGTCTCTAAGGAAGAAAAAAGGCTGCCTGTTAAACCATGGTTTAACAAATTCTGGAGTACGGGCGCAGTGGCTCATGCCTGTAAGCCCAGAACTTTGGGAGGCCGAGGCTCACGAGGTCAGGAGTTGGAGACCAGCCTGACCAACGTGGTGAAACCCCATCTCTACTAAAAATGCAAAAATTAGCCTGGCGTGGTGGCGCACGCCTGTAATCCCAGGTACTCAGGAGGCTGAGGCAGGAGAATTGCTTAAACCCAGTAGGCGGAGGTTGCAGTGAGCCGAGATTGTGCCACTGCACTCCAGCCTGGGCGACAGCGACAGAGCAAGACTCCGTCCGCCCCCCCTCCCGCCCCCACCCTAAAAAAAGAATCAAATTCTGGAAAGCATCAATCATCTCTCAGGCCTTTGAAAATGATCTAATTTTGTAGATCAAACCCTCTGTGCTTGCAGGTAGGCTCACGAATGCAGAAAGTGCATGCTGTGAGCCATGCTGTACACCTCCTCATTGTCCATTTCTCTTCTGGTATCTCTCAAGGTGTGTGGTCAGGTTAAGAGATTGAGACTTAAGCCAGGCAGGTGTTACTTCCTCTCACCATGACAAAACCTGGGACAATGAGAAGAGGATAGATTCTTTCCTCCCGAGGGTGCTGAGGCAGGATCAGAATCTCTCCCTCGGGTCTGAAACAGATCATATAGAAGGTTCAAAGCTGCAAGAACCATTCTGAAACCATAAGAATCCTGAGAACGAAGCCCACCTCATGCTAATTGTGGAGACCAAGCTTATTTGAGTTTACTTGAGCCCTTGGATCCAGCCGTGCCTGAAGACTTTTTAATAACAGGAATAAAAAATTCTATTTTGGATAAAGCACTTTGAGTTGGATTTTCTATTACTTGCAGCTTAAAAGCTGAAATGGTCCTATGTGATAAGGGAATGAGACGATGATTTTGAGCATTTAATCTAACAAGAACAACAATACTGTGCCTGAATACCACAACAGGGAATTAGGTGTTGCCTTCTGACAGTATATAAAAGAACTCATTTCTATCAGTTTCCTGTAATACCCATCAGAATTTCTGTCTCAGAATTTAATTTTCTGAGTTGAGCTTTAATGCCATACATGGACAGTCATATGGAATTCCAGAATGTATTTATTATAAAAATATCACTGAAGATATTGTTACATGTATCACTCAGTGGTGCTTTCATAAGTAAACTTCTTTCAGAATTCAGTATTAGGAGAAACCTGAGAGAAGGATATACTCTTCTCCTCTTCTGAAAATATGTGAATAACTAATCTTACATTCCTGAGGCTGGGTGTGGTGGCTTATGCCTGTAATCCCAGCACTTTGGGAGGCCGAGGCAGGTGGATGGCTTGAGCTCAGGAGTTCAAGACCAGCCTAGGGAACATGGAGAAACCCTGTCTCTACCAAAAAAAAAAAAAAAAAAAAAACAACACCAAAATTAGCCAGACATAATGGTGCACACCTGTAGTCCCAGCTACTTGGGGGGCTGAGGTGGGAGAATGGCTTGAATCCAGGAGGTAGAGGTTGCAGTGGGATGAGATGATGCCACTGCACTCCAGCCTGCAGAACAGAGAGAGTCTCTGTCTCAAAACACCGAACAAAACAAAAAACAAATAAACACAAAGAACTAATCTTGTATTCCTTTTTGCTCTGGCTGGCTGGAAGCTCAGAACCAGATTAAAAGGTCAATTTCAAGTTATTCACACTACCTTGTGATTGGTTCATCTTCCTTTTCTTTGGTTCTTCTGTGTATCACACACATCACATGTTTTTGTTTTATACCACCCCAAATTCTTAATGGAAGAAGCATGTTATAAACAAACAAATAAAATGTGTCCATAATTATTACCATTGTAAAAGTGATTATAGAAGAGAAAGAGCTGGTAACTACGTTAACATTTTCTCTAAGTTGAAACTGAAAAAGTAGGCAGAGGCTCTCAAATCCAGGTATTGCTATGAATTATAGGAGCTTTGCATTTTCATTCTTCTGATCCACACAGCTCTCTGTTTAATCTAACAGCTGGGGTCCCTGAGGAGATGAATGCTTTGCTCCGTGGCCCAGGGGTAAAAAAGTGATATGAATCTGACGGGCTTTGGCTGCTTACTTGCTATCATGGGACCTTGGACAAGTCACTCAGCTTCTCTTGGTCTGTTTTCTTTGGTGTAAAAGAGGAAATGCTTGCTACAGGAAGCTGTCGTGGAGAGTGAAGGAGATTCCGGATGCATGGTATCTAGCACAGTGTCTGGCAGATTGAGCCTCCAAAGGCCAGGCTTTGTCTTCCTTATGCAGAGTGCCACCTGCTTTTCTGTACCAGGGGCTTCTGTCTCTTTACAGAGCCACACAGAGTCGGATGTGACTGCTGCATCATATTGGATTGCACTCTGGCCTTGTGTTGGTCGATCTTTACCCCTTAGCCTTCATCCAGAGGCAGCCCAAGAAATAGCTCCGCATATCCTGCATTCCGTTCTTGTAGGGCTATTGTGGAGACTTGGTCCTCTATGTGATTTAGGGTACCCAGATGAAGCTCTGCATGAATTTTTATTTCAGAAATAAGTGTTAAAGAGAAGCTTTGCTGGGAGTTATTTTCTCTTTACAATAAATATTAGGCAATTGATGCTCCCCCACCCCTACTTCGGCTGCTGGGAAACCCAAAAGAAAAAACCTTGAGGAGATAAATGACTTAAACTGAGCACCCAATCTCTGGAACCATCAAGGGACAAGTAAGCTTCACCTTCTGGCATGGAGACACTCGCGGCTGTGGGGGAGGTGGAGGGCCAGCGAAGGGCGGTGTCAGGAGGAAGAGCATGCCGTGGGAGAGCCCAGCAGCCCTCAACATTATTTTCTCGAAGCCTTGACATCTCCCCGGAATGTAGGATTTTCCTCCTCTAGATTTTGGTGATTGCAGACCATCCTATAGCCAACCAACCCCCAAGTGTGTGAGCCACCCCAGCCAGGATCAGCAGAGCCACCTGGATGGCACACAGCTGACTGCAGAGGCGTGAATGAGCCAAGACCAGCAGAACTCAAGAGTAATAATATATACTTATTGTTTTAAGCCATTGAGTGTAAGGATGATTTGTTGTAAGAACAATAGCTGATATACTCTCCCAGTGTCTGTAGTTATGGGGTATGCAGTAAGTGCTAAATAAATGCCTGTTTGGTGGAATGAGATAGTCTCGTTAAGAACAATAGCTGATACATTCTCCCAGTATATAATGAGTGCTACATAAATGCCTGTTTTGTGGAATGAGATAGCCTCATGGAATGGAATTGAGGATCTCTATTATTATGTGGCTTTAGGGTATTTCCTAGCTGACTTCAAAGTTTAAGGAGGGAATTAGAGAAGAGTGTATTCATTTGACTGTGACTCAGGAGACGTGGATGATAGTCCTAAACTGCTGCCTGTCTGTGGTATGTGGGTCACTTCTATTGTAGGCACCTCAGTTACCTGACCTACAAAATGAAGGAGAGAGCCAGGCTGGCATGAAAGTCTCCCAGAACCTTGGCCACCATCAAGCACGGAACCTGCCCTGCAAGGATGCGGCTACCGCCAGAGCCACCCCTCTATAGATGTCACAGTACCTTCCTACTGTCCCACACTGTGCTGGTTGCTCCTACCAAGGCAGTCTCTCCATTGTCCCTCTTCTTGGTGTCACCAGTTCCCCGCTGATAATATGGAGAGATGGCTGGTGGTGCGCTGGCTATGTACCCTGTGAGGGAGGTGGAGAAAGTGAGAGTCTGGCCTTTCTAGCTTCAGTAGAGGGAGGTGGACCCCCCTGTCTTTCACTAAGAATCATGAAATCGGAGTGCCCCAAACACAGGAAGGAGGCTCAGATGCTGGGCAGCTAAACATAGGAAGAAAAATATCCACTACGCAAAATCCTTCATAACATCTTGAGAGTCCGAGAAGATGCTCTCAACGGGAGTCTGTGAGCCTTGACGTGGGCTCAGCCAACCAGGAGCTCAGCAAACATTGTAACTTTTCAGAAGTTGCATTGACCTTCTTCGGGAACTGAGCGAAGACAGGGGTTTAAGAAAATCCACTGGGCCTCTTATCCCCCAATCCCTGTGGCCACTGGACAGGGTTCCAAGCACATGCTCTGGAAATATGGGGGCTGTGCACCAATCCAGGGTAAACCACCAATTGAACAGAGCAGCAATAAACCAGGCTGACGAGATGACTTCAAAAGCCAGAGCCTCTCAATTACTGAGAAATCAACTGGAGACATTAGTCAAGCAGAGCTTAAGGCAGGTAACATGCGAAAAAGAGTGCCCTTGGTCGTCAAAGCCACACTAGCTGAGAGGCAGGACACCCAGCAAGCCTCAGAAAGCCCCAGCCCAGAGTGCAAATGCAGACCCTCTGCCCTGGCTTCAAACACGAGGAATAGTCCACTTCTTTCCTGGCACCTTTTTCTCCAGACTCATCCATTATTCCTTCTCCCTTCACTTCTCAAGAATCCAGGCCAGGCGCAGTGGCTCATGCCTGTAATCCCAGCACTTTGGGAGGCCGAGGGGGGTGGATCACGAGGTGAGGAGTTCAAGACCAGCCTAGCCAAGATGGTGAAACCCCGTCTCTGCTAAAAATACAAAAAATTAGCCAGGCGTGGTGGCAGACACCTGTAATCCCAGTTACTCAGGAGGCTGAGGAAGAGAATTGCTTGAACCCGGGAGGCAGAGGTTACTGTGAGCCGAGATTGCGCCACTGTACTCCAGCCTCCATCTCAAAAAAAAGAAAGAAAGAAAGAAAGAATCCAGCATTTTACAAGGTGCTGAAGTGATCAGAATCTGTTTCCTCAAGTGTAAAAGGGGTCAATTAGGCCTACCAAGTGGCGTTGTCATGTAAGGTTGAAAAAACCTTGGGGAGAGGGCGACAGGTCCCTTTGGGAATCTGATGAAAACTGTTGGTCCTCTTTCTAGGGGAAAATGCACACATGCTCAAACAATTTTGCGTCTAATTTCGTGAACCTACTGAAGTTCGTCCATAGAAACCCAGAGGACCAGGGCATGAAGAACTTGTAAGCCATGCCATGGAAGGCAAGACTTCATCCAGAGGGCAGTGAGGATACTACAACAGGTAGGAATGACTTTCAGCTCAGTATAAAAGAGGTGCAGATAACTCTGGCTTAAGCAGGTAGAGATTCATTTTTCTCTCTTGTAAAAGAACCCAAAGTAGGCAACTGACAGTTAACTGATCTCCTCAATGTTGTTAACATCCCAGACTCTTTTTTTTTTTTTTTAAATCTCTCAGCTGCAGCCATCCTTAGTACCTGTTTCCATCCTCAGCATCTCCTTATGGTCCCTTCCTGGTCACTGCTGCTCCAGCCATCACATTAGCATTCCAGTCAGGAAGAAAGAGGAATGGGGATGGAGAAGGGCCAAAAGACCGCACAGCTGAGTCAACCTCTTTGTAACTGTGCTTTTCTAGAAGCTCTTCTCCCCACCAGTGGCTCCCATCTCTATGCCTTTGGGCAAAAGTTTCAGACTTGGATCTGAAAGGGCTTGGAAATGTAATTTCTCAGTTGGGCCCATTGCCAATCCTATCAAAATCAGGTTATTTTCCTAAAGGAGAAGAGAAGAATGGGTAGGCACTAGAATATCGAAATGTCTCTTCTGACAAACGAGAAGCAGCTGTGGACTGTGAAGAGCAAGGCAAACAGGAGGTGGGGGAGGGGTGTGGAGGGGCCTGATTCCCGTCTGGGTGGGGCTACGGAGAAGGCAATGTGAAGGGGGAACCAAGAGGACTTGGTGATGGACAGGATGTGAGGGGGGAAGAGAAGGAATTGTCGGGATACATCCGTGTTCCAGCATAGACACCGATTCCACGCCAGAGCCAACGAGGGCCAAGAAGTGTTTAGGGGAGTGAGGAGAGGATGGCAACTTTAGGTAGAACTGGATTGGGACTGTGGGACCCTGGTCACTGGAAAGATGATGGTGCACTCTCAGAAAGTCGCTCTTACCAAAGGAAGTCCTACAGTATTCTTATTTTTCCTAGGATAATGACTTCAATGCTTTTTATAAAGACAGGCTTTATTTAGCAATGACTTACATAAAATACATGCATGTTTCAGGCACGTTTCAGTGAGTTTGAAAAATGTGTACACCTTTTGTGTAACCACCACCCCAGTCAAAATATAGAATATTTCTATCATTACAGAAGTTTCCTTCCTGAGCCTTCCCACACAATACCTACATCCCCTACTGATCGGGCTTCTATCACTATGCATTAGTTTTACCTGTTTTAGAACTTCAAATCAATGCAGTTACTCTGAAAATATCCTTTTGTGTCTGACTTCTTTTACTCAGCCTCATACTTCCGGGATTCATCACGTTGCTGTGAATATCAGTAGTGTGTTTATTACTCTGTTGTATGACTATACCACCGTTGGTTTATCCCTTCATCTGTCGGTGGCTATTTGGGTTGTCTTCAGTTTTTGCCTTTTATGAAAAGACTTATGAATATTTGTGTGCAAGCCCTTTGAGAACATATATTTTCATTTCTCTCAGTAAATACCTAGGAATGGAATGGCTTGATCATAAAGTATATGCTTAGTTTTAAAAGAAACTGCCAAATTGCTTTCCAAGGTGATTGTACCATTCTCCTTTACTATCAGTGGCACATGAGCAAGTCATTTGCTCTTTGTCCTTACCAACACTTAGTGTATTCAGACCTTTAACAACATTTTTTTAGCCTTTTTCAGTGGATATGAAGTAGTATTTCACTGTGGTTTAAATTTGTATTTCCCTGATGACCAACAATGTTGAACATCTTTATATGTGCTTATTAGAGATTCATATAAACTTTTTTCAGGGGCAAAGTCTTTGCCCATTTAAAACAAATTCGATTATTTGTCTTCTTATTACCGAGTTATAGAAGTTCTTTTAAATTCTGGATGCAAGTCCTTTGTCAGGTAATTGTTTTGAGAATAACTTCTCCAAGTCTGTGATTTACCTTTTAATTTTCTTAATGTTGTCTTTGGAAGAAGAAAAAATTGAAATGTTGATAAAGTCCATTTGTAATTTTTTTCTTATGGCTCATGGTTTTTCTCCTCATCTAAGAGATCTTTGCTTATCCAAAATATATAAAAATTTTCTCCTATGTTTTCTTCTAGCAATTAGAATCTTTTAACTTTTATAAGAGTTATATTTTATGCATGGCGTGAGTTATATTTTATGCATGCAACGTTTACTTTTTTCCTTATAGCTCTGTAGTCATTCTGTCACTAATGTAAACACTTGCACACTTTAATACTTTTTTATGAAATAACAATATACTTAAATACTTTCCATTCTTCTTCTTCTTGTTCCCCCTGCTTTGGTGGACACTTGCTTCATCTGCCTGTGTAGTAATCCAGCTCCGAGTTCTGATTTGCACCTGTTGTATTTGCATGTCCTGTGGGAAACCCAGATGGAGATATTCATCAGACTTTGGAGGGGATGACGCTCTGGAGAAAAGGCTGAGCTTTAGACAGAACTGGGAGGTGCATCAATAATGGCCATAGTCACATGTGTGTAGATCCTCAGGAAAACCACAACTGGGTTCTTTCTGGGTCCTGCATCCTCTCCTTTCTTCCCTTGTCTCTTCTTTCTACCAGCAGTAGCAACTTCCCACTACTACTTTCCTGGGGGCTTCACAATTTCTCGTTGGCTTCCACACCGCTAAAATCAGTCCCTTTATTCAATTCTCTGCTGACACCCCTTTGGACTGTGCCATCTGTTTCCTCCTGAGACCCCAAATGATGCACCCAGTTGCAGGTATTTTTAAAAGTTCAGTTTATTAAAAAGTCAGGTTTCTTGTTATTTTCCCTCATGCCAAACACTCAAGCACACACCTGCTAGGCACCAAACCAGCCCATAACTAGCTAAAGCTGAAGACTTCCATTGCCAAGCCTGGATGCAAAAACACAGATCTAGGTCTGCTGCAGGATATAGTTTTCTACTGGTAATTCCTGAACTCCTTCATGAAGGGAAGTCTTGTGGTTTCCATGGGGCACTAGACTGTGAGCCCCTCGAGGGCAGACATGGTTTCTGCATTTGCTTACCCTTGGCTGTCTAGCACCTGGGAGAGCATCTGATGCATAGTAAACAGTAAGCCCTGAGACACCAGAAACTCTGCAGTGTTATCGAGCACCATCAGGAAACCTCCCGGCACTCCCAGCAGCTGAAGATGGCACCTCCAGCATTCCATGGGCGAATACATAAGGACAATGTGGTGAGGGCAGTCAGCAGTTCCAAAACAGTATAAGAGAGGTGATGTCTTTTTGTTCTTACTTTGCCTACTCTGAACATATAAAGGAATTTCTAGTCATTTGCTCAAGGCCCCATTGGCTGTACATGGATAAGCCTTGGGACTGCCTTGGGGGTTCCAGGAGAGGATGAGAAAAGGTAAAACAGCAGGGTGGGTGGATGGCGAGCTGCAGGATAAAGCAGCATCCATCCCTTTCAGGCTGTAGTGTGGCTACTGTCTACCTTTCCTTCTGTGTGTGAACAGGTGCCCCAGACCTCCTTTAGATACCACCTTGGCCCTTTCCTAGATGTGCAGCCCTGGGCTCATGTCCCTGCATAGCCCAGGTAATTCCAGCTCAACAGGAGCTAAACAGGACCGGAGAATCCAAGATATTCTCCCTGTCCCTTCCTAAGTCAATGCTCACTGCCTTCCTTCTTCAGGCCTCACAGATTGGTGGCCTGAGGCCCATCTTCACACACTCTCTTATTCAGTGTCACCTTCCAAGCCACAGCCCTCTTAGTTGGGCCACAAGCCAACTCCTGCACCCATTGGTGTGGCCAGGGGGTGTAATGCACTAACTAGATTAGGCCTGGGCCATGCTTTCCTGGGTTGGCATGGAGCCTCATCCAAACCACATGGGCTGGGGGTGGGAGAGTGCTGGATCCTCCATTGCACATACAAGAGGAAAAGGGGAGGGATGCTGGGGAAGACATGAATGAAACCTCCTATGAGTTGCTTCAGGCCCTCTGCTATTGGTGTTTTAGGGAACAGGGATGGGTGGTATGAAAAACCTGGGTTCCAATCCTGCCTCTACCACTTACTTGCTATGTGGGCTTAGGCAAGTCCACTTATTGCAGCCTCAGCTGTCTCACTTCTAAAGTGGAGAACACACTTCCTCACTCTGAGTCTGTATGTGCAAATGAGCAAGCATGTGCACCCTCTTTGACACCCAAGCTGCTGGCAAACACTAAACAGTAGCAATTATGATTATAATTATTATCATTCCCCGGCTTGGGCCTCTGGGAGTCCAAGGATGGCCAAGGACCAGCTGCAGACCATTAGGCTTCATGTGGCTGACATCTGGGCTCAGAGAAACAAGTACTGAGGACGTGTCCAAGTCACCCAGGCCAGTCAGTAGGCTGAGCCCATCAAGCATCTGCATGAGGGGTGGGGCAGGTTTCTGTCCAGCTTGGTGTCTTGTGGCTTGTTGAATGAAAGCCTGTTAACAATCTTGTCTCAATGCACACTGGAGGGGTTACAGTGTCTGAGTGATTAGGGGTGAGAAGGAAGCAGAAGGTGGCCCAGAAAACTGAGGAGTCAGGGGAGTGGTTGGTGGGGTAATTATCAATGCCATCTATCTATCCAGCCATTTCTGCTGGTCAGGCCTTGTGCTAAATGCTTTACATCTGGGCAGAGACTGCAAGATATTTTCCAGTATCCATTCTCCCTTCTTGGGTGTAGAACCCCTGATTTTAACCTCAGCACATTGTTGTCCAGAATAAAGGCAGAATATCTTACCCTCTTCCTTCTTCCCAGGTAGAACCATGTTCTGGCTAATGAGATGTGAGGAGAAGAGATACATGCAATTTCAATATCATGCCTTTAAAAGGAAAGAGCATGCCCCTTTCCCTCTATATGCAGGCTGGAATGCAAACATGACAGCAAGCTACCTTGGGGCACATGGACAGAGCAATGCCTTAGAGATAGCAGAACAAACAAGAGGGAAGGAATCTAGGATCGTGACACCATGGAGCCACCATAACAGCCCAGAATTGCTTATGCCTGAATTCTCATGTGAGACATAAATGGATCTCCACATTGTCTAACATGAGTTCTGTTGCTGTAAAAGAGACCCTAACCAATACATATGCATTTTTGTAAGAACATGCTTCTATCTTAGGTTAAGATGAGAAAAGCGAGGCTCAGAAAGGTGTAGTAACTTGCTTAAGTGTATTAGTTAGTATAACACTAGCTGCTGTAACAAGTAGACCCAATACCAAAGATAATAGGGTCTTAAATACTATGAAGTTTATTTCTTGCTCACTTTACAGTAACAAGTGAGTAGGGTAGCCTTTTCTTTTCGACCATCTGGGACTCAGGATAATGGAGGTGCTTCTATCTTCAACATGGAAATTCCAAATTTGCCCTGGGGTCATCTCCATTCAGCCAGACAGAAGGGGGAAAGAGCACAGGGAAGGGTAGGGAGGTTTCATGGACCAATCTGAAACTGGCACACCCCTTTCTCATGTGTCATTGGCTAGAACTCAGTCACATGGCCAAATCTAACTGCAAGGGATGCTGGGAAAGGTAGCCTTGCTGTGTGCCCAGGAAGAAAAGGAGACAATTTTGCTGAAGAGCCAGCCAGTTTCTGCCACACTGGGCTCACTTAGCTAGAAGTTACAGAAGGTGAACGGTCAACCTGATTCTGAAGCTAAATGTAATTTGCATTCTCTCTGTTGCCTCCCAGTTTTGAAGCAAAGACTTTAGACTTTGTTTAATGTCTGTGATGGTGTTGGGATATGTCAATGTGGCTAGGCTACAGCCTCCAGTTATTCAATCAATGTGTTATCTAGGTGTTGCTGTGAAAGTATTTTATAGATGTGATTAATGTCCATATTCGACTTTAAGTAAGGGAGATTATCCTAGATAATCTGGGTGGGTCTGATTCAACTAGTTAAAAGGCCTTAAGAGGAAAACAGGTTTCCTTGAAGAAGAAATTCTGCCAGTGGGCGACAGCTTTGGCTTGTAGCCGAGAGCTCCAGGCTGCCGCTCTTGAGGGCTTGCTCTGTGAATTTCTGACTTCCCTGGCCAGCCCCCAAGTTGTGTAAGCCAATTCCTTGCCATGTATTTCTTAATGTGTATCTGCTAGTGATTCTGCTTTGCTGCTTGAACAATATCATTTATCCTCTTCCTATTTTTTGTCCCTAAGCTCCCCACCTGTGACAGTCCCTTATATTCCACTTCTGTTTACTAATGTATGCTACACATTTTTACTGAGCACTTATTATATACCAGTTACTGTGCAGCAAACAAATAAAAATGGTCTCTGACCTTCTGGAACAAGTGGAAGAGACAGGCTTCAATCAAAGGATCAGAGAAGCAAATGTGGAGTGACATCCTATGATAAGTGCTATGACGGAAAAGCTCACAAGCCTATGAGGAGAGCTGATATCATCTGAAGAGTCAGGGACAGTTTTCCTGATAAGTGACATGGGAACCAAGCTCAGAAGGAAGGAGTGCACTCAACTAAGGAGTGTGGGCATGGCCTAAGAAGGCAGGCATTCCAGGTGGAACAGCATGAGTGAAGGGCTTGACATGGAGGCAGAATGGCAGGTTTGAGGATGGAGATTAAGGTAGCAGGATGGGGGAGCTCAGAGCAGTAAGAGGTTGAAGGAAATGAGAGGCAGGCTGAGGGTGGGCCAGGCAGGGCCATACAGGCCATTTGGAAGATTTCAATCCTTATCTTAAAGCTCTGGGAAGCCATCGAAGACTTCTCAGGAGATAGGTGATATGACCAGGTTTCCCCTTGAAAGATGATCTGGGCTGCAGGTGGCAGAGAGGACTGGAGAGTCTCACAGTGGAGGCAGGGAGAGCAAGCAGGGTCTCACAGTGTCCCTGGGTCTTTCCTTTTATAAAGGAAGCAGCTGCTATAACAAGCCTAAGGACATGGACTTTTCCTCCCAAATACCTTTATGCTGTCCTCTCCGTCTCCCTTCTCTTTGCAAACTACCCATTCAGTTGTCAAAGTCCTACTCCAAGGCCAGTGAGGTAGGAGGCGGGACTTGGCAACGAAGGTGTCCTCAGACAACAGACCAAATTGATGACCAGCTAGAACAGGGGCAGCGCGGAAGCAGCTTTCCATAAGACATGCCCACCAGTGGGCCATGTCAGTTTACCATTGCCATGGCAACACTGGGAAGTTACCATCCCTTTCTATAGCAACCACCCCATGAATCGGAAATTAACACCCTTTTCCTAGAAATTTCTGCATAAACCACTCTTTAATTTGCATATAAATAAAAGTGGGTATAACTATCACAAACTGCTTCTCAGCTGTGTTTCATTGTGGGTCTGCCTTGGTTAGGAGACCATTAAGGTGGTTTTTTTTTGTTTGCTTGTGGTGTGTGTGTGTGTGTGTGTGTGTGTGTGTATGTGTGTGTGTATATGTTTTACTAATAATTATACAGTTAGATCAACTTTTCCTAAATGGTTTTCTACAGAATTTCAGTGCCAGGGAATTTTAATAGGTGCTGTAGACACACATGATTCCTTGATCAAATAATACATGAAGCAACTTGATCAAATAATATATGAATAATATATGAAGCACAGATCAAATAATATATAATAAACAAAGTTAAGCAGGTTTTTTTCCTGCAAGGAAAGCTGTATGTGCCCCATTGGATTGTGAAGCTCTAATTGGGAGATATATGGTCTACAGCATTTCCAAACTTATTTATTCATTGAACCAAGAGCATTGGGTCATTGGTACAACATACTTTTTGAAAAACTGGAGTTGAGTTATTTCCTTAGACTTGCATCTTTAACAGCAGCTTTCCCTTGTCTCAAGGGCAAACTCAGTGGAAACCCTTGAGTAGGGACCCAGTGAGGACCCTTATTCTTCTCTCTATTGTGCCTGCCTTCCACCCACAGTTCAGGGAGCAGGGCCTACATGCCAGGGTCCTGGGAGTCATGGCTGACTCCTCACTCACACTCGTCACCTGCATCTAATCAATCCCAACCCTTGTGGATGTCCCTCTGAGTCACTGTCATTTCTTGCCTGGATGATGGCTACTGGCCTTATGTAATCTCTTGGCCTCTAACCTTGTCTGTACCAATGTACTCCTCACACGGCATCCAGTCTGGCAAAAGTGAGTCCAACCATGCCATTGCCCAGTTAGCCACTAGTTTCTTCTTGTTCTTAGGGCAAAGCCCAACCCCTTGACAAGGCCTGTGGGGCCAGACCCTGAAAACCCTTCCAGTCTCATCCCAGCCCTCTGCCCTCCCTCTGTGACAAGGCCACCACCTGAGCTCCTCTCAGTTCTTAGAGCATATTGAGCTCTTTCTGCCCTGGGAACTCAACTCGTGCAGTTCCCTCTGCCTGAAACCACCTTTCCACCAGCTCTTCGCCAATCCAACTTGCTTAACGCTTTCAGATTTTGCTCAAAACAAGGCCATTGGGGCCTTAGGTTAAATTAGGCATGCTTCTATTATTTTCCTCCATTACACCAGTCATAATTTACACTTATTTCTATCTCCATTTTTAATATATGTTTATTTCTTTCACCTCTGTTTCCCCCAGCAGCATGTAAACTCCCAGAGGGAGAGCATGTCTGTTTTGCTCTCAGTCTTGTGACCAGTTCCTGCTGCCATGCAGCACACAGGAGTGCTTTGCATATCTGCTGAAAGAAAAGAAGGTGATTTGGGGTGAATGTCATGCTGCGGGTGTGCTGCTCTCTCTTCCCTGCACTTCCAGGAATACTTGTAAAATGTTCGTCACAGGCTCCCAGGGTGCCTGGGCTACCCAGATGCCTGGCCGGTGCCTGAGAGCCTTGGGGATGACCTGGAGTATGATGTCATCCAAAGCGTTTGCTCTAGGCTGGCTGATTCTGGTGTTGCTCATGGGAAAGATATAATTGGGAAAAGAGTATAAATTGGAAAGAGTAAGGCGACACATGTAAAATGTTTTATTTAGATCAGATCCTGTCTTAGTCCACTTGCACTACTGTAACAAAGTATCTGAAACTGGGCAATTTATACATAATAGAAATTTATTTTTCACAATTCTGGAGGCTGGGAAGTCCAAGATCAAGGCTCTCACAGGTTTAGTGTATGATGTGGACCTGGAGTCCATTTCTGAGATGACACCTTGCTGCTGCGCCCTCTGGAGAGGACGAACGCCGTGTCTTCACATGGTGGAAGGGACAGAAGGGCAAAAAGGGCCTAAGCAAGTTCCCTCCAGCCCATTTTTTTAAGGCAGTAACCCACTCAAATCCATTCATGATGGTAGAAGCCTCATGACTTAATCATTTTCCCAAAAGTGCCACCTCTTAATACCACCACAATAGAGGTTAAATTTCAACATGAATTCTGGAGACCATGTTCAGACCATAACAGATCCCTCAGCCCAATGAGATGGAAGCTTTTTTACAGAAAGATATTCATTTCAGGGCTCTTTATAAAAGCAACTAATTGAGGGCCGGGCGCGGTGGCTCACGCTTGTAATCCCAGCACTTTAGGAGGCCGAGGCAGGCAGATCACAAGGTCAGGAGATCGAGACCATCCTGGCTAACATGGTGAAACCCCATCTCTACTAAAAATACAAAAAATTAGCTGGGCATGGTGGCAGGCGCCTGTAGTCCCAGCTACCCGGGAGGCTGAGGCAGGAGAATGGTGTGAACCTAGGAGGCAGAGCTTGCAGTGAGCTGAGGTCATGCCACTGCACTGCAGCCTGGGTGATAGAGCAAGACTCTGTCTCAAAAAAAAAAAAAAAAAAAAAAAAAAGAGCAACTAATTGAGAACATCTAAAAATCTAGCAGTAGGGGAAGGATTAGGGAGAGCACAGTGCCTCCATTCTGTAGACTATTAGAATATATGACAGTCACTTCAAATAAGGTTTAAGGAGAGTTTAAGACAATCCAGGGAAATGCTTAGAAATAATAAGATTTTAAAAAGCAGGAAATAAGTAAATAAATAAATATGCATGTATCACACACAAATACATATATGAAATTTTAAAATACATATAAATATATCAATATATAAAAGTAAGTATAACATAGAATAATGTAAATATACAAATATAAATATAAAATGTAAATTTATAAAATATAGATAAACATATAATGATTATCAAAAATGTATCCATAGAAAAAATGCTGGAAAAATACATTGAAACATAAACAGATGTCTGAGTGGTAAGCACCATTTGTGGTATTATCCCTGTTCTTATTTTTACACATTTTAGTTTGTATTTATTGTATTTTCTCTTAATAAGTATGTGTTATTTGAACGAGTCTGACAAAATGATTTATGACCATCAGATTTGTATTTGGTGATACAGTCCTGGTACATGACTTAGATGTTGAAAAAAAAATCAAGGTATATAGCGAAACATGGATTTTTGATGGACATATCCAAAATCTTTCCCTCACTGGCAAAACCATCGCACCTCACTCAGCTGGAAAGAAGACTGGCTGCTTTCCAATTTAAAAAATGACTCTACAAAAAAGAAAAGAGAAACTCACCAATTGAAGGCAGGAATATTTTTAATAAAGCATAAAGAGTATGAACAATGTATAAATTTGAAAATGTATTTCATATTCACAGCCAGGTGCAGTGACATGCACCTGTAGTCCCTGTTCCTCAGGAGTCTGAGATGGGAGGATCTCTTGAGCCCAGGATATATACATTTGAAAATGTATCATTCATATAGTCACTTGTTGGAAATAGAGATATGTTTTTAGACCATAGATTTCTTACTTGAGTCTGTACACCAGGAAGTCTGTGGTCGGTTTGTAGAGATTCTGTAAATAGAATCTTTTTTTGTTTGAGATAGAGTCTTGCTATGTTGCCCAGGCTGGTCTTGAATTCCTGGGTTCAAGGGATCCTCCCACCTCAGCCTCCTGAGTATCTGGGACTACAGGTGCATGTCATTACACCTGGCTGTGAATATGAAATCTTATCCAATATTTTAAGTTTGGATATATTTTGCTAAGAGGAGTGTTTATCAGATTTGCAGCAGGGCCTGTCACCCCCGAAAAAGGTTAAGAATCACGACTTCAGACAAATATAACAACACAATAGCTAACATTTATTTATTTTACAAAATTCTTTTGGCACCTGTGTGCCAGGCCCTGCTGGATTAGGGGTGACCCCAGTGGATCCTCAGAGCAGCCTGCAAGGTGTGTGCCATCCCCTGATGAGAATCCTGGGGCTTAGCACGATTCAGTGACTTCTTCAAGGGCCCCAAGTTATTAATTCATTGGGCACTCACATTGGGCTTGGCCTGCTCTTGCCACACCCAGCCTCTGGCCACATGACTGAGCACATGAAATGTGGCTGTCCCTTTGCAGACAAATGGGTTGTATATAGAAAATACACAAGGGATTTTGAAGACTTAGCAGTTTAGAATATGTCTCAATTTTTAAAATATTTGTTGAAATGATTTACTTTAGATCTGTTGGGTTAACTAAAATATGTTATTAAAATTAATTTCACTTGTTTCTTTTTGCTCTTTAAATGTGGCTACTAGAACATTTAGAATTTTGTATGTGGCTTGCATTTGTGGGTCACATTCTATTTCTATTGGGTAATGCTGTGGTAAAGGCTCTCAGGATCTGGTGGTGAGGAAGACAGATATGAAGAATGGCAGTTCTTAGCCAGGGCACAACTCTAAAAAAATTACTTAAAAGGCTAAATATAGACAAAAATAGAAAAATGCACTTAAAAGCATAGAGAATGTGAATCTCAGGTGGGCAAGAAATAACCATTTCCTATTATCTTTTTTGATCAGCTTTAAAATGATCTGAAGGTCCCATTCTGATGGCCTAACAGGAAACTCAACTTCAGTCATCCCTGGGGCTCCCCTACTCCTGGGTTATGTCAGGGAGAGCCTTTGGTCATCCATCTCCCCCAGTGCACACTGGCTGCCAAGGAGACACTTGTTGCCCGGCCGGCATGTTCTCTTCAGATCCACATGGGGATGGAGTCTTTGCTGAGACTGGAAACCCCAGTATGTAGGATAGCACCACCTAGCCACTTCTGGGGTTCTGCCATCCCCTAGGATGCTACTGCTGTGGGTGGGGGGCCTGATTCCTTGCCCTCCCAGCAACCAGAGATACCACTTTCCTTACTCTTTGCCTCTTTTTGCATCCACCCTCAACACACATCTACACCTCCCAGACCCTGATCATCATCTCTTTAGCCAGCAGATCCTAGAAGTCTGTGATCTGCCGAATGAAGGCTGAATCTAGCCTAGTGATAAGTTTTATTTGGCAGATGAAGTGTTCGATATTTAATTTGACTTTGATGACATTTGAAAGTCATGAGCTTCCTTTTTTGTGTGTTTTTTGGTTTATTTACTTATTTATTTTAATTGACATATAAAAGTCATATATATTTATGGTGTACAGCATGTTTTGATATAGGTATACACTGTGGAATGGCTAAACCAAGCTAATGAACATACCTATTACCTCACATACTTACCATTTTTTTGTGGTGAGAACACTTGAAATCTATTCTGTTAGCAATTTCCAAAGTCATAAGCTTTCACATAAAAATTAACATTTCCAACTTCTCTTGAAACGTTAGAACCTCCAGCGACCCTGGGCCTCTGTTCCTATGGCAACGAGTGGCCAGAGGGAGTAGCTGCATAAAAGCTGTATGAAAGGATCCATTTCATTCCTTTTAGTGACCGCATGGTATCCTTTTTTGTATGCTTTTTGTGTTAGAAATAAACTAAACTTTGGATTATTTTGAGAAGCAGGGCTATGACTAGGGTAAGGCAAATAGGTGCCTTGGCTGCAGAATTTGAGGAGGCGCTCATTCTTGCACAACTCTGAGAGTGAGCGCCTCCTGAAACTTTGCACCCTGGGTGCCTCACTCACCACACCTTAGTCTCAGCCCTACTGGGGCTGCTTTCTTTCAACACATCCCTCAGTCTTCTGCCAGCTTCCTCTGTATTTGTGCTGCTAAGGTACATATAAGAATAGGCTTTCCCAGGCATCCTTGGTAAATCTGAGGAGAATCTCTGCTGGCCTTGAGTGGGCTTTGAGGTATGAACGGGAAAAAAAGGCGTAGACATTGTCAGGGAAGAAATACTCAAGAAATGTGATTGTAGAAAGGAAGAGGGAGACGGTGGTGGGAATTGGATGTGGTGTGAGGAGAGGTTTTGGTTTTATTTTAATTTCAGAGCTGAGAAACTAGAATGGATTGATAGGTTGAGGAGGAGGAGTTAATGGGATGGAAGAGGCCACACATCCTGATGGGGTGGGTAGGGAATGAGATGAGCAACAGCAGGCACTGTTCCGTGTGTGCTGCCCGCACACCAGGAGCCATGTGGAGGGCTACATTCCATACCCTCCTCCATGCCTCCCACTGCCCTGGGAGGAGAGGGTCACGTCATTCTCATCCTGCAGATGAGGCAACCAAACTCAGAAAGGTGAAACAGCTTGCTGGAGATCACACAGTGAAAGCTTCTTTGAAATGCTGCATTTGAGGGTTGATGAACACTGGTGGCAGAGTGAGTACCTGGCACACTCACATCTGTGCAATGCTGTCCATGGCAGTGCGACGAGGGGGCTGGTCACAGTGAGGAACACCGGGTGACGTTAGGTCAGAGGATGCAGGTGGCATGCCTTCTCAGCTTCTCCCAACTCCCTTTCAAAGGATGCCTTTGGGCGATGGCAGGGGTGGTTTTCTGCCTGTCCAGTCTTGGGTCCCGCCAAGTGGTGGGAAGCTTTGTGTGAGTGCCTTTCAGGCTTTTTGTCTACTGCCCTATTCCCAGCCCCCTCCCCCAGGAACTCCAACACAAATATTTGTACAGTTATAAGAATTGGATTACAGGAATAATATGTTCCCATAACAACAGGACCATATTGCTGCATAATCATATAATAAGGATGTGACTTTTAAAATGAACAGTCACATTGTGATTATGTGACAATGCCCATTCTGGGAATAGGTGCTGTCCTCTGCAATGCCACAAAGCCCAGGAAAGCTTGATCACAGGGAGCCAAGTCATGGTGGCCATAAACCACGTGGCTAGTTTTGTGGCAGAGCTGGGGCTGAACTCAGGTCTGTCTTTTCCCAAAGCCAAAACAGAAGGGAGGAAGATTCAGCCTTGGACAACAGGCAGTCCACCTCTCCCTCCGAGGCAGGAGCCTAGAAGGAAAGGATAGCTGTACCTACAGGTAGAATTTTGTGGGGCTAGTGTGTGGACAGAAAGGGCAGAAGTTGAAGGTGGCCTTAAATGCTTCTTAAGGAAGCAAGAGGTAGGAACACCTGCTGAGAGCAGAAGAGAACTGATGAGTCTGGGGGTTTGAAAGAAGAATTTCATGTGCGGAGAGCTACATTGGGCTGGGGCCAGTGACCCGTAGTGTTATAGGGCACCATCGAGGACCGGGTTGAATTTGGAGACCAAGTAGTTGAAATGCAGCCAGTACATCTGCTGTGGTTTTCCCTAGCAGCTCTCTGCAGCCTGGGAGCTGGAGCCAGGAAGGTTGATTGTTGGAGTCATCCAGGACTGGGGTTTTCCTAGGTTGGGTAGTAGAAGAAGAATGGAACCAAGGAAGTTACATATATTGGCAAAGGACTGGTTCAAGTAAGCAACTGTAGGATTTAAGGCAGTGTACTCTTTCCGTTGTAAGTGACAAAATCCCAATTTTACCTGGCTTAAGTAGATTTGCTTACATATTCAACAAGTCTAGGGATGTGATGGTTTCAGGCATGGCTGGATCCAGGGGTTTAAACAATGTCATCAAGACACTGTCTTTATCTATGGACTCTACTTTCCTGTATTGGCTTCCTTTTCAGGCAGTTTGTCCCTTTGCAGTGTCCATCTTTGCCCGCTACAGCTCCAGGTCTATAACCAACTAGTTTAGCAACTCCAGCTTAAAGAGTGCTTCATGCTCCAAGAGTTCCAGAAAATGTCATACAAGATCAACTTACTGGATCAACTTAGGTCATGTGCCTATTCCTGAGCCAATGAGCCTGTCCAGAGGGGTGCAGTTCTCCAACTGGCCATGTCTGGGTTGTGTGCTTACCCCTAGAGTCAGCTCTACTTGAGACCCAAAGGGTGTGGGTGTCTTCTACACATGGGGAGCAGAGGAAAAGAGGCCATGAGGGAGGAGGTGACGGACAAGTGTGGAGGTTGTGAGGGAGTGAGAGAGCAGGAAGAGCAGAGGCTGTGGCGAACATTGAACAAGGATTATCACCAGGGTAGATGTTAGAATGAATGTGTGAGCTGGGCTTAAGGGTATGGATTTGTCAGGGTTCTTTGCTGCAAGAAACAAAAGTTTTCTCCATCCTGAGCAATAAGGACTCCCATCAGCAGGACTTCGGAGACTCCCAGAGTTGACAGGAGGCTGGAGAGCTGGGACTGGACTGTGAATGGGACCAAGAATGTCTCGGGATGGAGGAGGCAGGAATACACAGCAGAAACACATTGGCCGCCTAGTGCCACTGCTGCTGCACTGAGTCTGACCCCCGCCACCCTCATGTGCTGAGGTCACAAGCTCGAAACGCAAACTCACACATGCAGTCCTCCTCTGGCTGGGCCTAAGTCATGGGCCTGCCCTTGACTGGCCTCTTGGGCGAGGGAGAGAGCCCACACTCCCACCCAGAAAACACATGAGAGAGAGCCACGGGCAGAAGGAGAGAGCAGGCTGAGAGGCTGGAAAGCCAAACAGGTGACCACGTCCGTGTAGACGGAAGTGAGGAGGGCTTGGTACCGCAGCTGATCCACCTCTGGGCATGTTTTTCATAACAACTCTGCAGGCTGGCTTTTAGAGCTTGCAGAAAGGGAAACTGAGTCTCTAGTGGGTGAAGTCATGCACCCGAGGCAGTAGGTGGCAGAGCTGGGATCCCAAACCTAAGCCTGCCAGTGTCCAAAGCCCTGGCTGTCTCCTGCCTTTACCTGGTGGTCATGAGGCCCGTCTGGACCTTGTGAGGTATGCGCTGGTCCCTGACAAAAGAGTGATCATCGAGAGAACCTGCAGATGCCCTGGGGAATGGTGTCCGCTGCACCTGGAACTGGTCTATCCCCTGAACCAAGCCCAAGGCAGTCTCCACAGCAGTCCTGAAGAAAGGAGGGCAAGTGACGTCCCTGACCTTCTCTTCAGCCATGGTGCTTGGCTGTTTGTTTTTCTTGAGTGTTATTTTGATGTCCCTTAAAAAGCAGTAAACATGCCAAGGCACGCTGAGTCCACTCCGGGAGGCAGTTCTGAGTCGCAGGGTTGCCGGGCAGGGGACTAATGACCCAGGCGCCAGGGGCAGGCCCAATCCTGGCTCCAAGGCTCCTTACACAAGGCCCCTTCCTTCCCCACCCCGGGGCAGGGTCTGGGGGCCAGACAAGCACATCCTGGAGGCCGGGACTGCCTCCCACTCACTGTCACACATTCTGGGGGAGCCGGCCTCTTGCTTTGTGTACTCCTTGAGAAGGGAAAACTTCCTGTTTGTGAAGAAAAAAGTCCTGCAAATGGCAAGACAGCCCTTGGACATCAAAGTGTTCTTACAACACAGCATCCTAATGGCTTAAGTATCAATGAATCAGGGACATATGGATCCCATTTGCCATAAAGTACACACGGGCTTAAAAATCCTGAGGAAAAACGCCAGGCAAAATATGTTTCAGGTTTTATTGAACCAAAAAACTCTAAGAAGATAGATTTTCGACGGTCACCAAACCCAGAATACAGGTCTGGCTGCCCAGCTGACAGCAGAGAAGGCTTGGTTCCCTGAAGCCACGGTAGCTTAAGTCATTGCCCCTGATAGGAGAGACAAATTAAGTGAGATTTTGATGTAATTGAGATATAAAAGGGTTTTATGGGATCTTTTCCTTTGTAGGAACATTTTAAGTGTGTCTGAGAAGAGCCTAGCTAATTTTCTAGTGGAACAATAGGTTTGAAATTTAGATGATATGATCTGGGAGGACAGCAGTGCTTGGATGACCAGATTATCCGGGGTAACACCCAGAAAAGGACACTTCAATAACGCTGCCCAGGGAAGTCTCTTCTTTCCCACTCTGAAAATCTGCCCAACATGACAGGAAACGGAAGGAAAGATGGAAGGAAAGAAAGGCAGGAGCAAAAGGAAGAAAGGAAGACAAAGAAAGAAGGAAGAAAGGGAAGGAAGGAAGGAAAGGGAGAGAAGGAAGAGAAAAGAATGTTTTAACATTTTCCTGGAACTGAAGTGTCCACATCGGGAAACACTGTGTCACGCGCTAACATGTCTCAGCACCTGGGCTGCTTTTGTGTTCTGCATTCCATTTTTCTAGTCGTATATTTCTCCCTGGTTTGCAACCTTGCTTTGTGAAAAGTGTCATAAAGAAATGCTTTACCGTTAACGCACTCTGACTAGATCATATTTCAGGTTGCTACTCTCCAAGACGTTATCCCAACGAGAATCCGTGTACTGTGGAGTGATCTGTCGGAGCCCATTAGAGGGACAGATGAGAGGATTGGAATGGGGCCCGGGCTTTGTAATGAAACCTTAGCCCAGACAAGGGCCAAAGAGGGGGCTGTGGTTTGTCGGGTGCAGGAAGGAGGGGTCTTGAGGAATTCACGTGGCTTCACTCTGGACGGGTTCGAAGCAGCTCAGTGCTGAAAGATGAACATTCCTGTCTGTTGGCTCCTTGACCGTCCTTCACCCTTTGGTTGGTGAACCAGCTCTGACCACTGGTGCCTCATGCATGAGAACACCAGATTGCCACTTGACTTTATTTTTAGTGTTGATTGTGTGTGTATGTCTGTGTGTGTATGTGTGTGTGTGTTCTTGTCACTTTCAAGTGGAATATGGTATGTTATAAATAAAGCCCCACTTTCTCCTATTCTGATCACACACGATATGAGTGTTGGGGGGGTGGGGGTAGAGGAGGAGGGATCGGGGGTGCCTATTCAACACTGGTCCACATGCATCTGAGATTTCCTTTTGAAAATCCCAAGGCCTGGCCCACACTGACATGAAATTATTATGTACTTCTGTTGTACAACAAATTATCATCCTTTACTGTTGCAGCAGGCATTTCTATAGCGAATGCAGGTTGTAGTAATTTTGTCATACAGAGTAATATGTCACACAGACCATTCTGGATTTAGACCAATATATACAGTTTCTGGCCTAAGCAGTAACATATGTTTGGAGGAGAGATCTTTTCATTTTACTGGAATGGACAGTAAGTAGAAACACATTCCACATTTCTCTTTTTTCCTTTTATTTCTCCCTGCCCTGAAATTTGGCAGCCAGAGTCCTCCTTGCACTTGATCTCAGGTTTTCAGCTGCTTACAAACCATGATGCCCAGAGTGCTATGATGCCCATGCATTTAGCAACTAGTGGCTAATGAAAAAAAAAAATCACTGCTCAACAGGTTTCCAAGAAACCCTCCAAGAGCTGTTTGCAACAAATGCAAATGGCACTCAAAATTTGCCCAATAACATGCTAGCTCAAGTTCAGAAGTTTTCTGCAGCTGATTTTATGCTTTCGAAGTCTGGCTTGTGGAAACCTTTTTTTTTTTTCCTGTTTGTTTGATGAGTCTGAAAACTGCCCTGTGTGTGGAACAAAAGATGGGCAGTCAGGGGAGTGATGCCTTTGCTCCAGGCTCTACACATCCCCAACTCAGAGATACTCGGGTGTCTATGTGCCTGGACTCCCAAGAGGACACTGTTTTACTCTGCCGTTTGTCCAGAGAGAGGGGGTGAGGCAGGACAGTGAAGTTGCTAGCTGGTGGCATTTGCTGCTGCTGATCCTGGAGTTAGGAAAAGTGGCATTGGAGTTGAAGAAAAAAGGAAGGTAATTCATGTTGATGGGACACCTACTTTGTGCTTTGTACAAATTGGATTTCACTCAAATTCTCACAATAATGCCATTTCCTGGTGAGGAAACAGGTATTCAAATCCCACAGTTCTTCCGTGGGATTGGATGATCCGGCCTCCAGGCCTAGCACCTAGGCCCTCTCCTCTCCAGCGGGCGGTGGCTCAGTGCTCAGCACACCATCCATGGTCATACTTTATCTTCCATGTGTTTAGTTAATGCAGGCACTATAGGATTAGAAGGTCCTCAGGTGCAGGGACCCTGGATTTACTGTATGTATCTTATTCCTCACTTTGGGCCTTGCCTTAGTGGAGAGACTCCTTTAGAACAGTTGTTCTCAACTGGGCATGGTTTTGTCCCCGAGGACATCTGGCAATACTTGGAGATGTTTCGATGGTCCCAACTTAGGGAGGGGGTGCTTCTAGCATCTAGAGGGTAGAGGTCAGGGATGCCATTAGCACAGGACAGCCCCCAAAACAAAGAATTCTATAGCCCCAAATGTCACTAGTGAGGAGATTGAGAAGTCCTGCTTTAGAAGAAAAGCAGTCAGATCAAGCCTCATGTTCACAAAAACAACCTAAGTCACTTGTCTTAAATACTTTTTAAAAAAACAGAACAATGAATACCAAATATGCAGTATACTTGCTTAGAATGCTAAAGCCATGACCCACCAAACTTCATCCATGACTAAAACAAAATGAGAACCAGCGAGGGACGTAAGTGAGAGAGAGAGACTTAAGCTAGAACAGAGGCTTCTTGAAGGCATGGATTATGTTATATTAATTTTGCATCTCCTGTGTGCACAGCACAGTTCTCAGCATCCAGCAGGTGCTTAATAAATGCATGTCGTGTGTCTGATGGAATGAATAGAGCCTCTTGGTAGATAATGTCACACTAAATTGCATCAGCCACTGAATTGCTGAATGTTCTATACTGTGTTCAGCTCTACAACCATATCCCAGATTGCCATTGATGGGAACCTCACTCCCTCACAAAGTCCATTCTATTTTTGGACCACTGTAAACGTTGGAAAGGGCAATGGCGTCTAATCGTGGTCTGGAGCCCCTTTTCATGGGAAGGGGCTAATAGCTGTTGAATGACCACTGGTCAGGGGAATGGTACGGCCAGGGTTTTACGGTGTTTTAAAGGGTCCCGGTCTGCGTCTTGGTCACCTCTCAACCCCCAGGGCATTTCCTGGGCCTCACAGATAGGAGCTTGCTCCCCGCTTACTCCAAAACAGAGTGTTCCTCATTGGAGGCCACTTCCTGTCTTGGTATCCAAAATGTTCTCCCACCAGGGAAGCCCCTGCCCTGTGCTGGGCCTCTCCTTCCCACAGAATCTCAGAGGGCTTCACAGAAGGCTGAGCTCTGCCACCTCCAGGATTTCTGGAGGTCAGAGCCTCAGCAGAAAAGGTGAGGCGGTAGATTTCGAAGCCGGATGGCTCTGAGGGCCAGCCCCAACTCTGTCACCATGTGGCTGTGAGGCCGTCGGGTTTCAGTTTTCTCATCCCTAAAATGGGGAAATGATGCCTTCCTCCCAGGTCACATCCGGGGAACGTGATTATAATAAGAATACCAGCTGCGACTTCTTGAATGCTTGGCCTACAGTTGATTTGCACACATTCTTTTCCATGTTTCCATGAATGCGATGTTTTCTTAGCCCTACTTTACTTGCAGAAACTGAGGCCTGGGAAAAAGTGACTTGCTCAAGATCTCACTGTCAGGAAGGGGTAGAGATGAGCCCACACTCAGGACTAACTGGTCTGAGTTTAGGTTTCTTTGCCATTCTATGCCAATGCTGTCTATGCCTAATCCCTTCATTCCTCTTTCCCCTCTCCAGTGCACCCTTCAAAATGGTCTCGGCTTGCTCTTCGATGATGTCCTTAACCTGGTCTCTGTCTCAAAATCTCCTCTAAGCTCTGAGAGGCCACGACCCCACCTTTCCTGAGATCAACACTCTCCCCAGCTCCTCCTCCTTCAGGCACAAGGGAGGTGCTCGGTGACATTTGCTTCCTTGGAAAAGGATGGAAGGGTTGCATCTTGCCCCTCTTTGTCTCTCTTCACACACACACAGCCATGCACACAGTTGTACAAGCATGTGTGTATTGTGCACACATTGTACCCATTCACACACACGTACAGACACACTCACATTCCCCACACAGACACACATGCCCTCACACGTGGATACACACACACTCACAGACTAGACATGCAGTGAACACATACTTGCCACACACACACACTCTCACAGGCTGTACACATGCTTACACATATTCACCGTTTACACATTCACGCACAGACACACACACGCCACATGCACTCACACTGCCATATGCTCATACACTTACACACTCTTATACACTCCCACACACTCTGCCCCGGGGACTGTCTCCTGAGTGAGAGGGGGTCCCAGGTGGGGCCCGACTGCTTGTTCTCAGCCCCTCATAAGCCTGCCTGGGGAGTGAGGCCTCACTTAGAGGCACCATTGTCAACAGGCACGCTTTCTACCAAGATTGTTTTTAAGCATGGACTTTCCAAATGCATTCAATTTCCATCCATGGGTTGAAAGCAAGCCGTTTTGTACACGTCACATATATTTTTGCTCTGGGAAGCCCTGTTTCTGAAGCTGAGGCCACTACATGTGTGTGCCAGGGGGTAGGGCGAGGGACTGGAGCTGCAGAATGGCTTTTCCATGTGGGTAATTGTGGTCATCAGGAAAGCGTCTCGCAGCAGTTTATGCTTTCTCAGTTTACCAAAGCCCCGGCATCTGTTCTGAGACAGAGCTGCTGAGTTTAGGGCAAACCACGGCTCAGCCCATTCGTGTCAGCAAGCTACCTTTACCGACAAGATCTGAATCTGCAGACAAGAAAGGAAGAGAAGAGAAAAGTAAAGAAAGAAAAGACAAGAAAAGGGGCAGGGGGAGAGGAGGGGAAAGAGATGTTGACACATGCTCTGAAGTGGCCAAGGAATTCTGTTTACTTCTTGGTGATATTTCTGCCTTTTGTTGTGGCAAAGACCTGCCTTTTACTGCATTGTTGAAACATCTTCAAAATCTGGAAATCTAAGGGGCATTCCAATAAAAACCTTTGTTGGGCTGCAGTGGAGAGAACCCCAAATTCAAATCAGGTCTCAGCACTTGGCAGCAGCAGCGAGAACTGGGCAGCCTCAGCAAGAGAAGAGGGAGGAGGCCAGGAACTCCTGTCTCTGTGACAGAAGAGGGTACAGGACACTCGAGGTAGAGGTTCTTGCTAGCTGAAGGGTCCCTGAAAACACTGTGGGGCCACATGGAACCTGGATCAAACCCTAGCTCCACCACTAATTCAATGTGTTATCTTGGACCTGCCACTCTACCTCTCTCTGAGCCTCAGTTTTCACATCTGTAAAATCGGTGTGTGTCTGTGCATGTGTGTGTATGTAAGTAACCATCTATAAAGCTGGTGTATAGCTTAGAGACAAAGTGTGTAAAGTGCTTGGCACATGGGAGGTGTTAACAGATTTTAATTCCCCATCTCCTTGCTAACACAGAAAAATCTGGCTGTGCCTTAGGGCCCACCTTCTCCATTCCAAGCAGTGGTTGTCCCAATATTTCTAGGAATAGGTATCATCTGGCATCTCCTGTTCCCTCCACCTCCTAAGATGAAGGAAGGCAAGTCTGTGGGTCTCTCCGAGATAGGGGGCCAGTCCTGTGCCCATCTGTCTGGGCTAGAAGATGCCCACAGCAGGCTGATGTGGGCTGACACTGTATGGCCCACCCAGATGGGAATCAAGAATGGAAGCAACCAGTCTACAGGAGCAAGGGATGCCCTAGAAGGGAGGGCATCTCATTTTTGTCAAGTGAGTCTCTGTCATTCATAGGCATTGCTCATCCTTGTCCTGATCAGAGGTAGAGATGGCTCTTATGTGGGCCCCTCCAGTCCATCCAAGCTGAGCAGGGCAGCCTCCATGTCCACAGTAAACCTTGGACATCATTCAGTTTGAGCTGTTCGTTATGATGGCCCATGCTTATTAGGCAACTCATCCATCCATCTATCCGTCCATCCATCCATCCATCCATCCATCCACCCAGCCATCCACCCATCCATCCATCCACCATCCATCCATCTGCCCACTCATCCACCCATCCACCCATCATCCATCCATCCATCCATCCATCTACCCTTCCATCCATCCATCCATCCACACACTCATCCACTCATCCACCATCCATCCACCCACCCATCCACCCACCCACCCATCCATCTATCCATCCACCCTCCCATCCATCCATTTATCCATCTGGCCATGTTCCAGGCTTCATCCATGTGCTGGGCTTCAGAAATGGGGCTCAATAGGACAAACCTGGTGGGACAGACAGGCATGCAAACCCCAAGAGATGGCTCAGTGCTGGTGGAACCCAAGAAGGGACCTTGACCCAGTTTGACAGAGGCCGAACAGGGTGAGAGTGGGCCTGGCAGTCTTCTCAGAGTAGAACACCCTTAAACTGACCACTGTTGTCCAAGTCTCACGATGACATTATTAATTGCCTGGGCCTCGGGATTAAAAATTTCCCTTAAAACTGTGGCCAGGGCCTGGCTCATGAGACAATGTCTGTATGACTGGGGAGTCACTGTCAATGAGGGCAGGGGTGGGCAGTCCAGTGTTTGAGGGAGGCACACAACACTGAATGTCATCTGAGGAAGCCTTGCCACCTCAGAGACCTCATTTGGCTGGATGTCCAGGAACTGCTCCCTGTGCTGGGCACTGAGGGGCCAGGGTGGGCGAGGGCAAGTGCCCTCCCTTTCTCAAAGGAGAAAACAATGAATGATGTTCCAGGGGAGAAGTAGGGTGACTGGGGTCACAGAACTCAGATATCAGGCCCTGTGGTCAAGGAAGGCTTCTGAAGGAAATGATCTTCAAGCTGGAACCTGGGGGTGGAGTGGACATTAGTCAGGTGAGCAGCAACAGAGAGAAGGCTCGAGCAGAGGGAATAGCAGATTTGAAAAGACGACAGAAGCCCCACAGCAGAGGGGAGCTGAATGATTTTCACATGGCTGAAGCCGGGGAGTAAAGGAGCTGGAAAGAGAAGCAGGGGCCAGGTTGTTGGGGCTGAGGTCCTTGGGGCAGGGCTTGACACCAGGGCTGGTGCTCACTGGGCTCGCCTGATTTTCTGACCTACTCTACTCTGGATCCTTCTTGTCCATTCTCTGCTCTGCCCCAGGGTGAGGCTGCTAATTGCAAATGTGGCCGCCTTTTCCTTCTGCTTAAATCCTCTCTAGATCTCCATTACTCTCAGGTAAAATCCAAGCTCCTTACCATGGCTTTTGAGGGTCCCAGGGTGGTAAGAGGTGATGGAGTAAGCAGTCAAGACCTTCAGCTTGGCCGGGAGTGGTGGCGCATGCCTCTAATCCCAGCACTTTGGGAGGCCAAGGTGGGAAGATTGCCTGAGGCCAGGAGTTCAAGACTGGCCAGTGTGGGGAAACCCCATCTCTACTAAAAAATACAAAAATTAGCTGGGCATGGTGGCATATACCGGTAGTCCCAACTACTCAGGAGGCTGAGGCAGGAGAATCGCTTGAACCCAGAAGGCGGTGGTTGCAGTGAGCCAAGATTGCGCCACTGCACACAAAAAAAAGACCTTCAGCTGGAGGGCAGGTAGACTTGGGTTCCAGTCTCAGATGCCCTACTATTAGTTGACCTTGGAGAAAGAAACTGCTTTACCTTCCTGAGCCTCAGTTCCCTCGTCTGTAAAGAGGGCACAGGAAATGAGATGATGTCTGTGTTCCCCAAGAAGCTTCCAACAAGTGACAAATCTGTGGCCACTGACAACCTCACGAGCCTCATTGTCCTTCTCTTACCTACTCGTATGTTTCACAGCTAGCACCTGTAGATCCTGGAGTGCTTGCTACTATTTCCTGCCTCCCTGCCTTGGCTTATACAGTACCGTCTGCCTAGAACACCCTCTTTGTGACGACTGCCTCGACAGCCTACTCACCCTTCAAGACCCAGCTTGGAGGTCATTTCCTCTGAGGAGCCCTCTCTGATTTTCCTCCCCTTTGTTGCCCCAATCATCATAAAGGGCACCACTGAACTTTCCAAAGCCTGTCTCACCTCCATGCCTGAACACCTGCTAGTTCAGGGTCAGGTTCTCTTGCCTCTTGAACCTTAAGGGCCAGGCATGGAGTCAGACACCTGGCCAGTTTGACAGAGGAGAAAGCCCAGACTCACTCCACACATTTATTCTGACTTGATTCTGTTTGTATCTCTCTTTTCCAGGCTAGGAATGGGGATGGGCCACTCCTGAGTCAGGCATTTGCTTATGGGGTCTCTTCAGTTGTTTGAGTCCAGCCCAGGTCCCCCAGCAGGAGGCTGGTTCACTGCAAGACTAATCTGCTGCCTGCTGGTCATCTCCTTTTAAGACACAAAGACAGTGTGCATGCTGCAGCTTCAGGCTTCCTCCTGCTGGAACCTGGGCTGGCCTGTGCCTGTCTTGGCCGTGGGAAGCCCTGGCGCATTGTCACTCTTGTTTTGCCCTGCCCGAGTGATGATGGGCAGGCTCCAGCCTTCCATTACCTCATGCCCAGGAAACACCTCCTGGGTCATTGCCAGGCTCATGCACAGGGCAAGGCAGTTGCCTCTCCCACCAGTGCCCCCATACAGGGGCAATGAGGATGGGGGAGTATTCACCCCAGCTGGGCTTCTGCCCCAAGGCTGCAGGGAACAGGGGCCAGGGCTCAGGCCTGTGTTTAGGCTATACGAGGTCCTGGCTGGAAAAGATCTCAACCTGGCTGGAAAAGATCTCAAAACTTTCATTTTCATAAGAATATCCCAAATTCCCCACTGCCTACCATATGCCAGGCTCTGGGCTGAATGCTTTACATTGCTTTAATCTCACTTAACTTTACAACCCTACGAAGTAGAGACAGTTACTATCCTCATTCCCATTTTACAGATGAGGAAACTGCAGCTCAGAGAGGTTAAGTAACATGCCCGAGGTAACACAGCCAGCAGTGCTGGAATTTGAATGAGACAACTGAACTTAATGGGCTTAATGCTCTGTGTTATATACGGAGAAGCTGAGGCCAGAGGGGGGAGAAGTCCAGGTCTTTTCCTGCTTTACTTCGTTGTTGAAGAAAATCCACAAAAATCTTTGCCTTTTGTTTGTTTGACTGTGGGGTCACCCAGACCTGGGTTCAATCCCAGCTGAGTGACCTTAACCAGGCAACTCCAGCTGTCTGAGTGTCAGTTTCCTCCTAGGTGAAATGGGACTACCATGCCCTCCCCTGTGCAGCTGTGAGGGGTTCTAAGTGAAAAGGGGCTGGACACAGGGTCTGGCAGGGATGAGTGAGCAAAGCCTGTAGGGGATCAGTTCCCGTGATTATTACTATGGCTCCATCAGCTTCTGTAAGGTGTTTATGGCTCCAACAGTAAGAGCCTTAGAGTGACAGAGACTAAGACCCAGCAATGCAGGGCAAAAGATAAAAAAGAATGGGAGGAGAGGAGAGAAGTTACACCACGAGGCCTAGAGAAGATAGTCGCTCTCTCCTTCACCTGCTTCTCCTGCAGTGTAGTTAAGCAGGGGCCTCTGGAGCCAGAATGCTTAGGCTCCGATCTTAGCACTACCACTTACTATTAAGAGTTCTTGGACTTTGGGAACAGTATTTGGTCTCTGTGTTCCCATCTGCAAAGTGGGACAAATAGCAGTGACTATCCCATAGGCTCATGGTTGTGAGGGTTAACTGGGCCAAGGCAAGAAGCACAGTGCCTGGCTTAGAATACGGGTATTATTGCTGAATCAGCACACACTTGCTGAGCACCTGCTCTGGGTCAGGGCCTGGGGAATCATGTGCCACCTCTGTGATGACGTATGTCCTTAAACACTTCACAATATAGTGTGGAGACAGATAAGGCAGCACCCAGCTGTATGAGGAGTTGTGGAAACTATGAAAATTAAACCTGGAGTATAGCTCTGAGCTTCCTAATGGCCAGGCCAGAGAGAAACAGATTATGTGGTTTTCATTGTCTAGAAGTACATGAGACAGACAATTATTTTTCTGGGCCCCCAATTCCCTTTGTACTTATGGAGAGAAAGGGGATGCAGATAGGTTAAGCCACTCAAGCAAGGTCACACAGCTAATAAGCTAGCAAACACTAGCTAGGTCTTGATGTGCCCCCTTCCCAAGCCTGAGGCCTCTCTGCTGTTTAAGATGGCTGATCACAGGATACCATGTCACCATGCATGGCTGGCCTACGTGCATCTGCATGGGAGCAACCTTCCATCCCCGGACCCATATGTTGGCAAGTGTGCAGTAGCCAGGGATGTTGGATCTGAACTTTCTGGTGAGCAGACCCTTTGCAGCCACATGAAGGTGAAAACAGACAGTCTGTGAACCATTTCTGCTACATTAGAGAGGAGGCAGTGCGATGAAAAACGGAACTTCCAATAGGTTTGAGCCATAGAAAACTGCTGCTATTTGACCATTTTTGCCTACAAAAATGACAATATCACATGGTTCAACCTAATAATATTCACTTAATATCATGTTTTAAAATCCTAAAATAGATTCACTTGTTGACTTTGATCTCTTCCTATGAAATAACGTCCAAAAATTCATGGGGTCGACGTGCTAGTTATATTGTTTTCCTGAGTGGATACATACCTACTACCATTTCATAGACAGTCCATCCATGCGCCTCTTGAAGTCATCTATTACAGGCAATGGTTTGAGAGGACACCAAGGAGGGCAGTAGGGCGTGGGCCTAAGGCTGGACCTCCTGAGTTACAGCTGGGGCCACTGCCTGCTTGGTGTGCTCACCTCACCTGATGGTTAATTCTATGTATCCACTTGGCTAGGCCATAGTGCCCAGATGTTTGGTGAAACATTATTCTGGATGTCTCTGTGGGGGTGTTTTTGGGCAAGATTAACATTTACATGGATGGACTTTAAGTAAAGTAGATTGACCTTCTGATAGTGGGTGGCCTCATCCACTCGGCTGAAGACCTGAATTGAACAGAAAGCCTGACCTCCCTCAGCAAGAACGAGTTCTGCAGCAGATGGCCTTCTGACTCAAACCGCAACATTCACTCCTCCCTGGGTCTCCAGCCTGCCAGGCCCACCCTGCAGATTTTACTTGCCACGCTCCGAAATTGCACAAGCCAGATCTTTAAAGTAAATCTCTATCTATCTATCTATCTATCTATCTATCTATCTATCCATCTATCATCACCTATCTATATCTATCTATCATTTCTATCATCTATCTACTGTATCTATCTATGTATCTATCATCTCTCTACTCTATCATCTATCTCTATCTACTATCTATCTATCTATCTATCTATCTATCTATCTATCTATCATCTATATCTATCATCACCTATATATATCTATCTATCATCTTTATCTATCTATCATCTATATCTATCATCTATCTACTGTATCTATCTATGTATCTATCATCTATCTACTCTATCTATCTATCATCTATCTACTATCTATCATCTATATTTATCTATCTATCATTATCTATCTGTATCTATCTATCATCTCTATCATCTCTACCTATCATATCTATCTATCTATCATCTATCTACTGTATCTATCATCACCTATCTATATCTATCATCTCTATCATCTATCTACTGTATCTATCTATGTATCTATCATCTCTCTATCATCTATATCTACCTATCTATCATCTATATCTATCATCTCTATCTATCATCACCTATCTATATCTATCTATCATCTCTATCATCTATCTACTGTATCTATCTATGTATCTATCATCTATCTACTCTATCATCTATCTACTATCTATCAATCATCTATATCTATCATCATCTCATCTATCATCTATCTACTGTATCTATCTATCTGTCTATCATCTATCTACTCTATCTATCATATCTATCTATCATCACCTATCTATATCTATCATCTCTATCTATCATCTATCTACTGTATCTATATATCTATCATCTCTATATCTATCATCTATCTCTATCTACTATCTATCTATCTATCATCTCTATCTATCTATGTATCTATCTATCTATCATCACCTATCTATATCTGTCTATCATCTATATCTATCATCTCTATCATCTATCTACTGTATCTATCTATGTACCTATCATCTATCTACTCTGTCTATCTATCTATCTATCATCTATCTACTATCTATCAATCATCTATATTTATCTATCATCATCTATCTCTGTCATCTGTATCTGTCATTTCTATCTACCTATCATCTATCTATATCTATCTATCTATCATCTATCTACTGTATCTATCTATCTGTCTGTCTATCATCTATCTACTCTATCATATCTATCTATCTATCATATATAGTACATGTGTATCTATATGGACATTTAGATATATGTAAACATTCTATTGGTTCTGTTTCTCTGGAGAACCCAGACTAGTTCTCCTCTTCTGGGCCATGGCGTTGCTATTAACTTGGCTGTGCTGAGGAATAGATGAGATGACACGCCTAGTGAGTGCTGAGTAAATGTTGTCTATTGCTGGTACCATCGTTATTAATGTTACTGATATTAGATGGGGGAGCATCTTCTGATCCCTGCCACGTGCCCTGACCTCCCTCATACACTCATCGTTTCCCCAGAAGGTGCCTGTCCTTAGGGGGCATTTCCTCCTAGGGGCCTGGGCTCTGCCTTCCAGCCCCACATCCCCTATGCACGCACCATATGCCCAGGCTCTGGCTGGTTGGTTTGAGAGTCTGGGAGGCTGAGAGCCTTCATGGAAACAAGTGCTGGCTTGGTGCCAGCAGGGCTGTTGTGGGGATTAAATGCAATGCGGCCTGAGCAGCCTTTGCCGCATGGTACTCGGACGCAAGGCTTGTTTCTCCACTTTGTGTCATGTGAAATCTGACTCAGGATATTCAGTCTCAATGCTTTAGGGGTGGGGAGTGGGGAGGCTTCCTTTCCCTAAACTTGTAAAAGAATTCCAGGAACCTCATTCAGACTGAAAATGAGAGCCAGTCATCTGATCTTCTTGGGCCACGGTTTCTTGGAAGGCAAGGAGTCCTCTGCTTGTGGCATCCACTCCTCAGTGCCCATCTGGGCCATGAAGTCTTCACTGGGCTTCTGAGGCCCAAGGGAGGCAAGGCTGACTTCCCAAGTGTCCAGCCTATGCCACTGCCCCAGGCGCCATGCTCAGAAGGGCCTCACTCTTGGTTTCATTCTCTCTGCCACCATCCTGAAATTCAGAACAACTTTTGAACAAAGGACCCACAGTTGCATTATACGCTGGGCTCTGGAAATTATGAGGCCAGTCCTTCTCCAGGAGTCCAACAATGTGTCATTATCCTCGGAGGTTCCACCCTCCCAGGGCCTTCACGGGGGTGGGAGGCCTGTTGGCTGCAAGTGGGGCCATCTCCCCCAACCACACGCTCACTCTTAGAAATCTCACCCCTTTTTCATCCCGTGGAAACAGCCCCTTTTAGGCAAGCCAGTTATTTGTGTCTCTGAACCTAAGATTTTGAAAGTACAGGCCCTTACTCCCCCATGGGACAAGGAAACCTTGGTACTCCAAGACATAAAGCCTTCCTTTCCTTCTCGAAAAAGAAAAGGAGGAAATCCTCTTACTCTTTCAAGGCGAGACCTCTTGAATACTTCACACAGCTCATCCCTCCATCAGAGAATATCTCCCTCAGCGCTAGATAAATGGTAGGTCCCTTCCCTACCTGGCTCTACACCCTGAAGTTGGGCATTATTGCTTCCATTTCCAAGATGAGTAGACTAAGATCCAGAGAGATTCAGAGTCTTGCCAATGATCAGAGAACCTCCCATCTTCCTACTCTTCTCAGAGTTTCTGTAGACCTGGCCAGAGAAGTGAGGAAATGAGAGCATGCGTGGGTAAAGGTACTGTTTATATAATTTTCGCTCCTCTAAAAAGTCCTGGATCAGTTTATAACTCAGAGAAATTGCAACTATTCCCCATTATGGCAGGCGTGTCTTAAGAGTTAGCTCTTAAGATATGTCTTAAGAGAATGTTAACTCTCTGTGCTGGGATTACAGGCGTGAGCCACTGTGCCTGGCTGACATGTCTTAGGAGTTAACATTCGTATCTCTTTTATTCCTCACGGCAGCTCTATCAAGTATTGTCTTAAGGCTTCTTTTTACCAGATGGGAAAACTGAGGTTCGAAGAAGTTGAAAACCACGCCCAAGGTCACAGAGAGCTAGAGAATTTGGAGCTGGGCAGGTAGTGTCAGCTGCAGCCCAAGGTGGAAACCTAAACCTACTCTTGATAGCTGGGAAACTCTGAAATGCTGCCCCATCCAAGCCACGTCATGCTCTGCAGTGGAGAAGGTCTAGGCGGGAGACGCAGAGGTGCTCAGAGGATGGTTTCAATTTTCAAGCCGTGGTCTGACCACTCACGTTTTTGAAAATTAAAAATTAAATCTTGGCCCTGAACCGAGAGCAAAGAAGCAGTATTCTGCTCTTGGAGCCCTGCCTGCTCACCCTCGTGAATTGGGGGTTCTATATCGTGAGGGAAATGGCTATTTCAGCTGCCAAAGAGTAGATCACACTCCCTGCAGCCCTCGAACCCAAGAGTTATTGCTGTGGGTAGAGAGCTGGGCGGCTTTGCCCCAGCGATGATGAATTGGGAAAGACCTTGACGTTTCAGGGTCTTCCAGAAACACTATCCAGGCGCAGGAAGGAGCTGTGTGCTTGAGGAGGGTTTGCCAGGGGACAATGAGTTCAGGATTCTGAGGACAAAGCTTATTCAGATGAGAGCTGTGGGAGTGGCCAGGGTGCCACTGGGAAGTGTGGGTCCCTGAGATAGTCTCCCACGGGAACCTCTGGGTCTTCCTTGCCCTTTCTTCTTCCTCTCCCTGACTGCGTCATGGAAAGGCCGACATTTGTTTCTGAATAGCCCTTACCTCTGTTCTCCCGTCAGCACGCTCAGTCCTCGTCCTGCCTGGATGGCTGTCATTGCCCCTTTGTGGGACCCCCTGCCTCTGTCTTGCCCGCTCCACACTGGTCAACCCCACCACACTTGGAGGTGCAAAACCCTCAGGGGTCCCTACTGTGTAAGCCTGACACACTGAAGGACTTGACTGTCCTTCACACTGACACACTGAAGGACTCTCCAGCTTTGTTTTCTGCCACCTGTCCTCCTGATCCAGTCATGCCAAGCCACAGAGGCTCCCCAAATACGCCATGATCTTTCCCACCTCTAGGCCTTTGCATCTTCCACTCCTCTGCTGGGGACACCCTGCCTCCTTTGTCTGTCCCCCTCCCACCCTGCCCACTTCACCAAGTTGAAGCTCCCTGAGGGCAGGAACCAGTAGACCTGGATTCCATGTCCCAGCTTTCCATGTTTGTCAAATTAAAATGAAATGAAAATAAATTTGCATATGCATCTCGGGACTCCAGTCCAGCTCTCATGGAGTTTGAAGCCCAGAAACAGAAGATGAAGAGGAGGAAAATTCTTTTATTAGAGCTCCTCTCTGAAACCAGAATCTGATTGATCTTTTTATTGTTCAGTAAGTATTTCTTGAGCATGTACTGTGTTCCAGGTTTAGCGTGGGGCTCTGGGCTAGATATTGTGTTGTTGGATACTATTATATAGGTGCATAGAGACACAGCTTCCTGGAGGGCAAAAGCGAAAAGGGAGAATCACAAGTCAGTGAGCAATTAGATGTGCGAATGAATAAATGTTGCAAACTGCCTAAGGGCACCAGTCGGAAAAACCAGGAGCAACAAGTAGAGGGTTGGGGGTGCCTCGGACGATGTGGTGAGAGGTTTCTGGGAAAGGGAGGCATTTGTTTTTTTTTTGAGATGGAGTCTCACTCTGTCGCCCAGGCTGGAGTGCAATGGCGTGATCTCTGCTCACTGCAACCTCCGCCTCCCAGATTCAAGCAATTCTCCTGCCTCAGCCTCCTGAGTAGCTGGGATTACAGGCGCGTACCACCACGCCCGGCTAATTTTTGTATTTTTTATTAGAAACAGGGTTTCACCATGTTGTTCAGGCTGGTCTTGAACCCCTGACCTCGTGATCCGCCTGCCTCGGCCTCCCAAAGTGCTGTAAGTAGAAGTCTGGAGGCCTTAGGGAAGAGGTGTCCAGGCAGAGGGGAAAGCATGGGCAAAGGCAGGAGGTAGGAAAGTGCTTGGTGGTTTTGAAGGACAGAAAGGAGGCCAGTGTGGCTGGAGTAACATGAGGGAGGAGGAGTGGGGCCGGTGCAGGAGGCAACCTCAGGCCTGTTCTCTCAGCCTCCTCTGAGCTCAGGGCCCTTCTCACTATGGAAGACTTGGGACGTGGAACAAAAAATGAGGCTCTTTTCTGGAAGTATATACTGCCCACTCCCTCTCAATCTTCCTCCCCGTCTAAGAGGTTTCCACTCTGTCAGCGAAACAGATAGGGCCTGTGCAGGAGGAGGGGGAGGCCAAGCCCAGGGGAGAGCTCATTCTCCAGGGCCCAGAAAGACCAAGAGGGTCCCCAGACTTGGCCTTGGAGAAGCCAAGTTCATGAAATGACATCTTTGGGAGAAACCCAGGCAGATGGCAGTGCTGGGGAACAACTGCAAAGGAATGCCTTAACTCCCCCACGGGTGCTGGGCGGCAAGGAGAGGAGGCTCTCCTGACCTCCACTGTGCCTGGGGCGGCAGTCTAGCCCAGCGGTTAACAACCTGAACTCTGGAGCCCTGCTGCCTGGGTTTGAACATCATTTCAGCATATAACAACTGGTGATCTTGGATAACATGACCATCTTTAACCTCCCCTTCCTGAACTACACATAGAGGGGAAAACAGTACATAGGGTCATCATCAGATTAAATGAGTTAATGAATGCCAAGCACCTGGAATAGTGCCTGGCACTTAGTAACAATGTAGTAGGCTTCCGCTAATATTGCTATGATTCTTCTTTTTTTTTTTTTTTTTTTTTTTTTTTTTTGAGATGGAGTCTCACTCTGTTGCCAAGGCTGGAGTGCAGTGGTGTGATCTCTGCTCACTGCAACTTCCGCCTCCTGGGTTCAAGTGGTTCTCCTGTCTCAGCCTCCGGAGTAGCTGGGATTACAGGCGCCCATGACCACGCCTGGCTAATTTTTGTGTTTTTAGTAGATACGGGGTTTCACCATTGTTGGCCAGGCTGGTCTTGATCTCCTGACCTCAGGTGTTCCTCTCGCCTCGACCTCCCAAAGTGCTGGGATTACAGGCATGAGCCACCGTGCCCGACCTGTTATGATTCTTACTAACCACCAGGCCTCAGATGTCTGGAAACTGCCCATCAGCTGTCAGCAGAGAGTAATGTGTATAAAGGCCACCAGCCTCAAAGCCCTTTTTAGAGAAACGTCTACATCATTTTGACGTGTATCCCAGGTGAATCTGGTTTGGTCTACTCAGCAGCTGGTTCCCCAGGGAAAATTCTCTCTGAGACTTTATTGGGTACAGGGACAGGTAGGCATGCCTATTTACCCCTTCCTTCCCTCGAGTGTTTCCACCCAGGGAAGCATAGGTGCCGTAATGGAAATCGGAGGTTTATATTCTCATTAAACGTGATGAGCAACCCGATCCTATTGGTGTACAACCTCGTTTCATCCAGCTATCAAGCTCCGGGCCTTCACAAAATCAAAACATTAAAATAGATAAATAAAAATCTGTTTAAAAGCACTTTTACTATTTGTTTTCCAACAGCAGTTTCTCTCCAATTTAAAATCATATGATTTGAGTGAAATATGACCCGTATGTCTCTGATTCATTTGCTGATTAGCTAATTTACGACTGTAAAAATGGCTTTGAAATGACAAAGTTTCACACAAAATCTCAGCACCATGATTATTTACATTTGGACATCAAATAGCTCTTGTGAAATATTCTGTGAAGTGACTGAGGGGCTTTTTGGATTAAAATTTTGTTTTCTTTTGAATTCACCATGGCTGCTGCTGTTTCTTTTTCTCCTCTTCTTCCTACTTCTTTTCTCCCCCATTTCCTTTCTTTTCTTCTTTTATTTTTTTATTTTTATTTTTTTCATAATAAATACTGAATGTATTTTTATTTTGTAGAATTCAGTAGAACTCGGGTCTTGAAAACCTACTTGACGTTTAGACTCAGCATGGTGAATGAAATTGCTCGTAAACCCACCCAAACAAGCGCATGTTCCCATCGTACCAAACACTGGTTTCCTAGAAAACTGGGTACACTTACCCAGTAGGGCAAACAGGAGGAGGTGGGCTTCAGGGGCTGCCAAGGTGGGAAGGACATTCTGAGCATGTTCAGCTTGGCATGTTCAGGCTGAAATTTAAAAAAGAAAAAGATACCTAAGATTTCAACACTGGGAATCGCGCAGTCTAGGGATGTTTTTTGGGGAGGGTATTTGAAGAGAAAAAAAAAAGCCTAGGGAAATTGGTTGAATGCTTTTAAGAGAAAATGTGTTTGTTCAAAAGTTAAAAGTTAAGGGATCCAAGGTCAAGGGTAGATTTTTGTCTCCGTGTTTATTTTTATCCTGGATTTTTCCCTCTCCCCACATTTGATTCTTTGCCAAGTGCCATGGAATTTTCTCTCCCTGAGCCCTCTCTCTGTGTTCTCCATCTCCCCCAAAGCAGTGTTTCTCTACATCTTCTAGGACCTGAACCATCAAACTCACCTCTTCCCACTGGTCTCCTGTCCCCACCCTCCACTGCACCCCCGGGGGAGCTTTCTAGAGTGGAGATTAGATATGTTCCTCTGATGCTTAAGATTGGTCCACAATAATGGTCTGTGTCTTTGAACACTTCCTCTATGTTGTCTCTCTGCTTATCATGGCTTTGCCTCAGTTTGCCCTCACCTCCATTCTGTGAAGTTGTCCTCCATCCTTCCTGTTTTGCAGATGGGGAAGCTGAGAATCAGATAGACTGAGTCACTCAGAGAGGCAGGGTCAGGCCAGGGGATCCAGTCCAGAGCCTCCGCCCTGAGCCTGAGGTGCTACCTCCCTAGGGTACCTGCAGGAGCAAGTCCAAACGCCTGCGTGGTCCACAGGTTTGAAGACCCTCACTGGGCCCCTCTCTGCCACACCTCACACTCCTCTCCCACACCCACCATAGCCTCCAGCTATGCCAAACTATGAGTTCACACGTCCACAGTCTGTTCTCTCTGGTAGGAAACACCCTCTCCTCGCAGCCCCAGCTCTGCCCAGCATGCTCTGTTCGTTCTCGGGACTAAGCTCCAGGGCTCCTCTTACGGAAGCCTCCCTCACCTGTGGAATGCCACTGTCTTTGCCCACTTGGCATCCTGCTTCCCCTTCTCCCCGTGACAGTGTCCTGATTTGCATGGGGCTGGCTCCCTTCAATTTCAGGACTGAGCAGAGGACCCAGACCTGGCCAATAGTCAATCAATGATTCCATCTTTATGGAGACTACAATGAGTGATTGAGAGAGTGGCATGTGACCTGAGCAAATTCACCAACACTCAAACCTGGGAATTTGGCTGAAATTAAGAGTAAACAGGGGCTCTCCTTTCAGAGGGGTTGCTAACCATGTTGACCTTGGAGGGTGCCTCTGGTGGACAACTTGCCTGTCAGAGAGTGGCGTCATCTTCAAAATAATGTCAGTGTGGCTGAAAGCACAGCTGAAGCAGGGGAGAGACTCCTGTTGACGTTCTTGAGTTCCTGGATAAAGCCATGCTTGAAGCCAGTTGCCCCGAACTTTTCAGAAACATGAGCCAATCAATCTCTGCCCCACCCCTGCCTTTTTCCTTCCTTAAACCAAGTTGAGTTGGAGTCCTGTCACTTGCCATCAGCAGTCATGAAAAACACACCATCCAGGTTCACACCTCCCTGCTCTGTGCCACCTCAGGACCTAGTGTCACTTCTATCATTTCTGGTATTCCCACCTAATTGCAATTTGTTCACTCATGTAACTCCGCTACTGGATCCCAAGCTTCTTGAGAACAAGGACAGTGACTTCTGTATCTCTGTTGTCTCGGTCAGGCTAAGAAGCAGCAAGTTGGTGTTAAAGTCATGGACATTGAAGTCAATCAGACCTGGGTTCAAATCCTGTCTCTGCCTCTTGCTGACTGTGAAGCCTCAGCCAAGTTCCTCACTCTACCTCCTTGAGTCTCAATTTCCTGAACGCTCATTCTAAAGGGGCATTATTAAGAATGAATGAGGTCATTTCCTCTGCCTTAGCTCAGTGCCTGGCTTCTGTGAGGCATTTCATAAGGGGTAACTGTGGTTATTATTACACGTTGGTCCCGTGGAGTCAGTCCTATGAGAATCACAGATCATGGCATGGCAGACCAAGGGTGGGGACGGTTCACACACAAGCATAGCCACAGTTACCCGAAGTGGTAGCAGCGTTGTTCCCAGATACTTGGAGACTCAGGGCTGGGAGGAGTTTAGGAGTGTGGGAGGAAGTGGGCAGCTCCTCTCAGCCCTGCCCCTGAGGCCATGGCAGTTCTCAGGGAGGGAGTGGGCATGGGTGTGTGAGCAGAGAAGGAAAATCCACCCTCCCAAGTTTTCTCCCCATGACCAGCCCCCATGCCCTCACTCCAGACTCAGAGCTGGGGTTCTTTGCTCTGGGGAGAAGTGCATTGTTAGGAGCTCAGGCGTCGGAGTCAGGCAGTCCTGAGTTATGACCTTGGCTCCCCAACTTCCTAGCTGTGTGTCTCTAGGCAAGATACCTACCTTCCCTGAACCTCTCTTTCCTCATATTCAAAATGAGCTTTTTAGAAGAAAAATGAGATCATGTAATTTAAGCTTTTAGACCAGTGCCAACAAATGGGAACTATTATTTTTAAGGATTAAAATAAAATCCATGAGGGATTTCAACTCCCTGCTGCCCTGGCACTGAGCTGGTCATCTGGAGGCAGCAGGGCCTTGGACTCCAGGATGGACACACTCGGCCCTCCCTCCAGGACACTGTGGTGGCTGAGGGTGTGCCCGACGTGGTCTCACTGCCTGCCTTGGAACTCTCACTTACTCTGCAAGTTACACAAATTCCTCATGCCTCAGTTGCCTCACTTATAAAACGGAGATAAAAACAGCTTCTACCTCATTGGGAGTTTTCAGGATTAAATGACCTAATGCATGCAATATACTTAGAACTGTGCCTAACACACGGCAAGTGCTTAATAAACATTAGCTATTAGTCATTTCTAGAGTAATTTAGTGACTGCTCATTGCATTAAGAGACCTCCATCTCAAAAGAAATGAAGGAAAATGTGCTTGTCCTCAGTAAACGTAGAGTCCAAATTGGGGCCATAGTGATAAATAACAATAATGATAGTGATGATAGTTACTGAGTTTTAAAGTGGAAGTGATTGACTTACTTTGATTTGGGGAGGAACAAAAGTCAAGGGAAGGTACCACGAGCTCCTGGAGCCACAGAACATGTGGACCCAGCACTTGGGAGAGTGCCCCCAGTGGGCATGCAGAGGTGGGCCCTCAGGGTACCACCTTCCCAGCCAGCCACAGGGGTGGGGCTGGGCGGGGTGGGGCTGAGGCTCAGTAGTGATTGGTCCAGGGATGGGCACATGACCCACTCAGGTCCCTTTGCTGAGATTTTTTCTTACTGGAGTTGGCGGAAAGAGCTGTCTTTTCCTCTCTTGTCTCAGCGCTGTGAGACCACACACAGGCTGGAGTTGCATGGGCCACGCATCCAGCTTCGTGGGGTGAGCTGACCCGATGGGATGAAGCCAAGATAACACACAGATAACACAGTGAGAGGGAAAGAGGGTGTAGAGAAGAGAGAAGTGGGAAGTGGGCTAGGGAGGGTGAGAGGAGGAAGACAGAGAAGGAGACTGGGAGAAAAAACGGACTCCCAGTTCTTGGGTGCTGTGGCCCCTGCTCCTTTCTGTGGTTCCATGAGCTAATGAATTTGCTGAGCTGCTTGAGGTACCATGTTTCATAGCGTCTAACATGCCATCGATTGTAAGATGCACTATTATTGAAGGTGCCAATTAACTCTCAATGGATCGCAAAGCACAATGTTAAAATGTGGAACTCAGGGCAAAGGGGCTGTCCTTGAAGAGATGAATATGATGGTTCAAACTGGGCATCTGTTTCTCAAAGAAGAAAACTTCCAGTTCATTCATGTGCTCTTCCTCCCCACTCTGGAAACGCCCTGACACAGAAGTCCTGCAGTGTTTTCATCTCTTACAGAAGAGGTCTTTGGAAGGAGAGGGGGACAGCAAAGCCCATTCACCTGTGGAAACAGAGGAGTAAGGTACCGTAATGCTCCTTCTTTTAAGCAGCAAAGTTGCAAGCTCTGGGCTGGGGCAGATAGTAGAGAGTCCTCCAGAAGCACCTCCTATGCACCAGGGACACTTATTCTTCACATCAACCTTTGAGAGAGCTTCGGCTGCCACTGTTTTACAGCAGAGGAAAGCAAGGCCTGCTTCAATTAACCTACCTGACCAAGGTCAGGCAATAAAGGCATCACAGAGCCAGGATTCCAACCCTTCCCAACTGGCGACATCCTTCCCTCTGTGGAACTTGGCTGACTCCTTGCGTTTGGTCCTAATTAGCCCTAAAATTGTCAAACAAGACACACTCCAGTGAGAAGTGAGAGCAAAAGTGTTACAGCTCAACACTGTCTCTCAGTGACTAAAAATAATGTTCACCTGCCGTTGTTCTTAGAAATTCAGGAGAAAAACAAAGGGCCACATTCCCAGCTGCTGATCTCACCCTATGGCCATTCTATTTTCGTCTGAACATCTCCAGGTATGAATAGAGGCTTCAATGTGTTGGGGGGCAGGCCTGGGATCCAGGCCTGGACTATCATTGGCTCAAGGTATAACTATGGGCAGGCCACTTCCCTCCTGTGGGCCTCAGTGCCGCCATCTGTAATATGCCAGGAGCCAGGGCTGGACTAGCTCACTTTTAAGGCTCTTCCAAGTCAAATATGAACTTTAGTTGGTAATTTCGCTTAAGCATTTTATAGCTTGTAAAGATCTCACTTGGTCCTCTGATGAGGCAGTTCTCAACCTATTTTCTGTTGGTACACACATAATGAGGTTGTCGTACCTGGTATTCTCCACAATTCCACTGGCTAGCTGTAGTTTCACAATTTCCATGCCACTTAAGAGAACATATTAGAATGCAAATGAGGAGGGATGACATTGTCATGAGGCTAACCTTGGATATGCTCTAAGTTATATAATTTTAACCCAAATCATTTGAACTATCAGTGCTTTGTTGTAAGCCTATAATTACATTGCCAGGCTTTTCCCAACTGCTTCTGATCCACAAGTTTGTCTAGACACTGGATCAAAGCCACGGCTGTAATGAGCTCAAAAGGAGACAGCACAGGCTTCACATCTGTGTAAGGAGCTATAGTAAATGGCATTTTAATAGCTGGTGTCCAGATTCCTTCTAGGAAAGGAATTGTGTTTTACTGTGAACTTAATTGAGGTAGGGGAGGGTGGGGGCAGTGATCCTGAGGGCCCTGGGAGTCAGGGCTTCCAGGAGGAGAGCTAGGTTGCCCCCACACAATAGAGACAGAAGATGTGGAGTCCCCAGACATAACCCAGGAGGGAAGAGGTAAAGGGGAGAGGAGCCAGACAGTGAATGGAAGGCTGTGCTGTGTTGGATGTCTCCCTGCTCTATGATTCTCAAACATTTAGATACTCCCAAGTCCCTGGTGAGGTGTGTGTGTGTGTGTGTGTGTGTGTGTGTGTGTGTGTGTGTATCCAGTGAATGAGGCCATCAGCCCACATACGTATACTCATAGTGCAGGAACCAAGAAGCATGGCTAATGATGGGACCTCAAACCTCTGCAAATGTGCAGAAGTCTTGGAAGTTCTTGTCTGTTCCAGTCCATGGGATTGGGGGTTTCAGGCCACCCTAGTTAGACCTGAAGTGCTGTCAAAGCCCCATCCAACATCTGGGTTTTCACCCACTTTACAGATGAGGAGCCAAGAGAGTTTGCCAAATTGGACAAAACTGGCTCATTCCTTCCACTGGGCCCTGATTAGGCACTTGTTCTCTGTGGTTCCTGCTCCCAGTTTCTCCTGTTTTAAATTCGAACTTATTCATCAGCTTAGTAAATCCCCTTGATGACCCTAGCTTCTGCCTTTCCCTAACTCTGATTTACTTAGATTTTTTATTTTGAAATAATTTCAGATTTCCAAAAGCATTATTAAGATAGTACTAAGAGTTCCCATATACCCTTTACCCAATTTCCCTAACTTTAACATCTTCCATAACATTTGTCTAAACTAAGAAAACTCATATGATACCATTGACTAAACTACTCACAGACTTTGCCTGAATTTCATCAGCTTTTCCCTAATATCCTCTGTTTCAGAATGCACTCCAGGGCACCATGTTGGATTTAGTTGTTAAACCTCCTTAGTCTCCTCCTATCTGTGCCAGTTCCTCAGTCATTCCTTGTTTTTCATGACTTTGCATACTATGTATGTTGGCTCTCCATGTATGCATTTATCTACTAGTCAAATGGATCCATCAACTCATCCACGAGATGGCCGGCCATGTGTGGGCACTGGGAGCTCAGAAATGGCACTGAGAGCTCAGAAATGAATCAGGTGAGATCCCTGACTTCAAGGATTTAACAGTCAAAGAGACTAGCAAGAAACTAGCATGAAATCAGACTAATAAAAGCTATGACAGAGGAAAGCACAGGGCAGAAGAGCTGACCCCATGAGTACAAATGGAAGGGCTGGAGCCCAGGGCCAAAGCACAGAGCACTTTTGTCAAACTTTGCACTGAGGTAGAGGAATGATCCTCCCTCAAGGAGCCCCTGCAATGATACAGGGATCTTGATTCATAGGGCATCATTGCGGAGTGGGCAGACAAAATTGTCCCACAGCACAGCAGCATGCTTCAACAGAGATGCACATGCTCCATCTGTGACAGAAAAGGTATTGTAGTTGAATTGTGCCTGCTCCCCAAAATATGTTGAAGGCTTAACCCCTGGTACCTGTGAATGTGATCTGATTTGGAAACAGGGTAATAAAATTAAGATGAAGTAATACTGAATTAGGATGGGCCCTGATTCAATGACAGGTGTCCTTATAAGATGAGAGAAATTTGGACCCAGACACGCAGGGAAAATGCCAGTGACCACGGGGGCAGAGATTGAAGTGACGCATCAACAAGCCAAGGAGCGCCAAGGATCGAGGGCAACCACCAGAAGCTGGAAGGAGTAAGAGGGGATCCTTCCCTAGAGTCTTCAGAGAGGGCATGGCCCTGTCGATCCTTTGACTTAAGACTTCCCGCTTCCAGAACTGTGAGAGAATAGATTTTTGTTGTTCCAGGCCACTCTGTTTACAGTAATTAGCTATGGTAGCACTAAGAAACTAATACAGTAGCTTCTAGAATGGCTTCCAGTGGCCCCCACATCTTGGTATCCATGGCCGTGTATAATCCCCTCCCACTGAGCACTGCTGGGGAAGAAAATGTAGTGAAAGTGATGAATGTCACTTTCAAGATTAGGCTATAAAAGACAGTGACTTCTGGAGTTCTCATTCTCTCTTTGCCTCTCTCTCTTCTCTCTCTCTTTCAGAGGCCTCCTCTCTCTCTCTCTCTCTCTCTCTCTCTCTGTCTGTCTCTGGGTCTTCTTCCTGGCTTGCTCTGATGAAGCAAGTTACCACACTGTGAACTGCCCTATGGAGAGAACCACGTGATAAAGAACTGCGGTGGCTGCAGTCACCAGCTAGTGATTTGCTGAGACTCTCCGTCTGGTGCCCATGAGGAACTGAATCCTGCCAACACCACATCAGTGAGCTTGGAAGCTGACTCTTCCCCAGCGAATCCTTTAGATGACTGAAGCCTTGGCCAACACCTTGATTACCACCTTGTAGAGATGTTGAGCCAGAGAATCCTGTTAAGCAATACCCAGATTCTTGACCTGCAGTAACTGTGAGATAATAAACGTTGTTCTAAGCCACTCAGTTTTGGGGTAATTTGCTATGCAGCAATAGATAACCAATATAGCATATAACAGAAACAGATGGAATTAACAATAGCTGATTGTAGCCAGGTAGAAACATAGGTCCATTGTTTACAAGTCTGTAGATTTTTCAAGGAAGGCTGACTGGAAATCTAATTTTTAATGCAAAATTTCCAATTAGAGCAATATTTCTCAATCAAGGGAGATTTTGCACCCCAAGGGACATGTGGCAATATCTAGATACTTTTTTATTGTCATGTCTGGAGGGCACTCCTGGCTTCTAGAGGCCAGAGATGCTGCTAAACATCCTGTATGAGAAAAACATGTGGCCCAAAATGTCAATATAATGTACAAGACAGCCCCCTCCTCCCAGTATCTGGCTCAAAATGTCAATAATGCGACTTTGAGAAACCTTGAATAGAAAAACACTGTTTGAACTACACAAACAAGTCTGTTGATTACATTTGGTGGGAGTTTCCAGGTTGCAATCCCTATTGTAATGCTTTTTTATCTTATTTCATGGTGTGACTGGTTTCTGATACAGTCAGACCTCACAGGGAAGGAAATGGCTTTATTCTTTGTCACTATTTCCATTTAAACCTGCTCTGTTCCATCTCCCTCCCCTGCCTCTAGATGATATCTTGGGTTTCCCAATCGCTTTCAGGCATTAGAACATATCATTATCAGCTATTAAAAACTCAGCCACATCTAATATTAAAACTGATTTTCTCATCCAATTGAAAAGTTCTTTCCTCTCCTCAGTCTAGCCTCACCTGAAAATTCTTCAGATCAGCCCTTAAGAAGAGAGATGTATCAATCAGAGTTCAATGAGGAAGACAGAAATCATGCCAGGTATTTCCAACAAAGGGGGCTGAATACAGGAAATTGATTAAATGGGTGTTAGAAGATGGAGGAGCAAAAAGGGGGAAGGCACAGCAACAGAGATCAATAACTGCAGGAAGCAGCTGCCACCCCTAGGGCCATGGAGTGGGGAGAGAGAAGGTGTTGTTATTAAATTCTACAAGCTTGGAAGAATTTTTGTCATCTTCAGAGCTGGGGCCACTGGGGAGGAGCTGGTGCTCAGAAGCTAGGGGCTTGGAAGAGATGCAACCACCTGCAGAGACACTGCCAGAAGAAGGAAAGAGAGAGATAGAGAGAGAACAAACAATGGTTTGTTCACTCCTCTGTCCCCTCCTCCTACCTTCTGATCTCGTACTAGGGCCTCTTATTGACAGAATCTGAAAGGAAGTCAACTCAGAAAGCATCTTTTAATGCTAAGAATTTTAGCTTATAGACTCCCAGACCCCATTTTGCAGGGCGAACGCTAGAAGGTAGGTATGGAGCCAAGAGACAATGGTAGATATCACGTGAGCATGTCTGTTCTTTCATGACCCCATGGCCCTTGCCCCTCCATACCTCCTCCACTCCCTATGTTTGTTGTGGCTCCTTCAGCGCTGGGTTGCAACGGGAGAAGCAGTAAAGAGCCCCACAGGCCGAATGCCCTGTAATGTCTGAAGTCCGCTAAGCACATGTTCCAGCCTACTTTGGTGTTGGGCAATAGAGGATTGGTTCTCCATACTCTGGTCAGCCATTGAGCAAATGCTGCATCTCTCTTTTATAGCTTCTTCAGGGACCTCCTGATGGGGACCTTGAAACTCCCATTTTTTCTCTTAAGAGACAGTCCCTGGCTGGCAACATACAATGTCCCCAGCTCCTACGCTTTTGTGATATGCACCCCACAGAGACCTCCTGCTGGGGTCCTTTTGCCCTGGAAGGCCTTTCTTTTAGGAGAGGTCCTTTCCAGAAGGCTCTAGCCTAGCTAGTCTCATGGCGTTCACTTAGCCCATGGGAAAAGTCAACGTTTCTTTGCCCCACGAAACTCTGGATGGGCAAGTTACTCCCACAGCAGCACCCACTCTTTCATTAGTCCTCACAGGCAAACTAACCAGGCTTTTGCCTTTAGACATCTCCAGGTGAGAGTCAGGAACCATGTCTAGGTAACTCCAGGAAAATCAGTCAAGTTTCATCAAAGATTCTTCTATCAACTTAACCCTGACAGCACTACTGGATAAACCTACAGCAAAACCCCTGAAAAAAAGCAAATAGTACAGGCATAATTATTTCATATAACAAACTCCCAGGTTGGCTCAGAGGCTTAGTAAGTTTGGATTGGTGTCTCTATGAGTCTCTTTGGCCTTACCCTCATGGTGACAAGATGGTTGCAGCAGCTCCAGGAATCACATCTTCATCCACAAAGTCCAAAGTGAAAAGGAAAGGGGGTTGTGGGAGGAAAGGCCACTTTCCATCTCCCTCTGTCTTTTATCTCTCCCAAAAGGCCCTAGCAAATCTTCCCTAACATCTTGGTGGCCAGAAGTAGATCACACATTCAGTCCTAGACCAATGACTGACAAGGGGGAATGGAAAGACAAAGACTAGCTTAGAACAATCACGAGTCAACCTTTGAGGCCAGAATGAAATTGGGATACGTTTTCTAAGGAAGAAGGGGAAATGGCTGTTGGGTAGAGAACCAGCAGCATCTGCCACAGACATTTCGTTTCTTCAGAAGTTTTGCACTATGTAAATACTGCCCTAAATATTCCTTTGCATGGCCAGAGCAGTTATTTGCATCTCAGTACCCCTGTGAGCTGCAGGCTCCCTGCTCCTAGGCCAGTCATCACAGCCCTCTGTTTTGGCAGATCACCTGGAGTGTGTGAGTTGCTGGCCAGGGTTCAAATTTTCTGGCTGTGTGCCCAGGGACAGACTATTATCAGCTGATACAGACAACCTGATTACTTCCATATTTCCCCTTTCCTACTTTTGTTTTGGTTTGGTTTATCCTTTGAAAATTTCTTGAGTGCTTGTCTAGTCTAGTCAAAGCATTCTAGTCAATCCCAATCTCAGAGTGTGCAAAACCCAACATTAACAATTTAGAAAGAAACCTGAAATCAACTAACAGAATCTATTTTTCTATTAGCCACTTCTCTGGAAATGTTGCAGTGTGCAGTTTTGATTAGTGACTGGATTAAGAAATCCCACTGCCACCCACCAAGGGCTTCATCAGAAACTACATTTAATGAACCCCAATGATTAGATTCCCAATACGGGAATTTGTTGGTCAAATTGCAGAATAATTACTGGGCACTGTTACTTAGGGTAGGTATTGTTAGCTGTTGTAATAGACAATCTCCAAATCAGTGGCTTCACCCAACAGAAGTTTGTATCTTATCACATAGTCTAATCAGGGTTTCTTGGCCAAGCAGACTTCCAAGTAGGGATTCAGTGACCCAGGCTCCTTCCATCTTGTTGTTCCTCCCTCTTCCATAGTCCTAAATCCTCTCTAATCAACCAATAGATGGAGAAGAGGATATGGAATTACGCATGGGAGGCCTTGCAGGGTGACCCCTGGAAGTACACCCATCACTTGTCCCCACTCTCCAGTGGCCAGAGTACTCACTCACATCGCCATACCAACACAGGAGAGGCCAGGAAGGCTGACCCAGCTGTGCACCCAGGAGGAAAGCCCTCTCTGTCAAAGCAGGTGCCAGGCGCTTTATAGACATTATCTTGTAAGGTAGGTGTTAAAATTCCCATTTTAAGATGAGAAAGCCGAGGCTCAGATAGGTGAAACGTCCTGCCCAAGGTGACACAGCTCATATGTGTCAGAGGGAGAATATCTCCTATCGTTTTCTGCAATTGACTTTTTACTTTTACCTTTCATGTTTAGATGTTTAGTCCCCTTGGAGTCCACCTTTGTACATACTTTAACATAGGGATCTAGTTTTAGTTTTCTCTAGTTTTCCCCAAACCATATACTAGACAACTTTTTTTCATAACACTTGATGTTATGACTTTTTTTTCCAAAAGGGTCAAACCAATTTACCTTTCTACTACCATGTATGCATATGCCTGTTTCACTTCGCCTTCTTTAACAGCTAACATTATTATTTAAAAAGTCAGTGCTATTTGATGGTAGAAAAGTGGTAACTTATTTCTTTGGTTGCTAATGAGATTGCCTTCTCTCATTTTCTCCCCCAAATATATTCTTCCTTTGTGAATTATCTACTTGAATTCCTTATTCATTTATCTAGTAGGGTCTGAATAACTTTCTTATGGCTTCACATACATATATACATACAGATAGTAAAAGCTCTTTATCTAATAAAGATATGATGCCTTTGCCTGTCATTTTTGCTGCATGCATTTTCCTGTCTTTTCTATGTACAGATGTGCTGAATATTCCTGCTGCCAATTCTGTCCATCTCTTCCTTTGTGATCTTTTCTGATGCTTGTAGATTTAACCAGACCTTCCCAGAGGTCTGATAAATATTCATGTCTTTTCCCCTCTGTGGTTTGATTTTTTAAAACATTCAGTTCTTTAGTGCACCTGGAATGCATTTCAGTGCATAGTATGGCATGGAAGGGTCTAACTGCAGGTTTATAAGTTGCAAGAAGTCATTTACACCCCCTTCTACCCCATCCTGAGCTGCTTTTTCTTCTCCAGGCCCCAAAGAAGCAAAGATATTATAAGTGACAAAAAGTATAAGGCTGTGATCATTTTCCCCCAATTGAAGAGATTATTATTGTTGTTGTGCAGAATAGAACATTTACCATGTAGTAGAGTTCTCTTTGTTTTGCACAAATTGTGTCACTGAAATTAGCCATCAGACATCCTCATGGGATAGAAATCATTACCCCTATTTTACAGAGAAGGAAAACTAAGGCTTAAGTGACTTGCTCAAGGTCACACACTGGGGTGATTATTATTTTTTTTCTTTGCGCACCTCACTTTCTTTGCTTATTCATGACCTTGCCTTCTAGCTATTAACTTAAACCATGCTTGTTTTCTTGAAATTAAGGTAGAATGACATTAGATGAATTCACTTTTTTTAAAGCAACTTTGAAATGTTCAAGAGCCCCCAAAGTAGAAAAAGATACTGAAGAGGGTCCAGAAACTCCCAAAAGAGGTTGACACCATCCCATTGTGATATTTTCTGATGCTTCTAGATTTAAACAGATCTCGTCAACAGTCGTATAAACATTCTAGTCTTTTCCCCTTGTCACCTTGGTAATTACCATTGTCACCTTGGTAAACAAGAAGTTTACATGAACTGACTTTTAGGGGAATTAGCTCCAGGTTCCAGAGTCAGGAGCTCATGTGAATCTAAATACATGGGTGATTGCTAGTGATTTGGGTCAGAAGGGGGATTCTCATTTATTTGCCTTCCTGTTTTAGGAAGATTTTCATTTCTGTGAACTTGGAAGACTACCCAGTGAAGGGAAAAAGAAAAGACTGAGCAGAAAGGAGGTGGGAAAATGTGAGTAAACACTGACTCCCCACCGAGAGACCTGCTGGCATGGTACAGTGCCTCTTTGCACCTCAGTGTCCTGTAAAATGGGACTACTGACTGACCCCTGCTTTGCAGAACGAGCCATGGTGAGGATCACCTAAAACAGAACCCAGGCACGCCAGGCACCTGACCCGGTTAAGAGCCATCTCTGCATTCTGTTAGGCACTTCCCACATTGGTACTATGAGGAAAGCCCACCACGAGGATTTGGTGACGTGCCGAGATTGGCCAAGGTGCATATTTAGAAGCAGACTAGAAAAAGCTCCTAAATTAGGAAGGAAAGAGGATGCTAGAGAGGGAAGAAGGAAGACAATCTATTTTGTACCCAAAGGCCCATGTTGGTGTTCTACTCCCCTTCTATAGGTGAGGGAAGAATGAAGGCTGAGGGAAGTGCAGAAGTGAGCTCAGGTTCACAGAGGATTCAGTTCCCGGTCTCTGGGCTACACAGCCTGGGAGGGAGGGGTCTCAGGAAATAAAGGCGGGGGTACATGTAACATGATGACTTGGTCAGGAGTGAAGCACCATCAGGTGGTAAACCCCACAAGGACCCAGGTATCTTGACTCTTAGTAAGGTCACTTGGAGACCTTATGGTTTTCCAAGCCAGAAGAGTGACCAGCTCCGTGAAAGGTTGGGTATAGGAAGTGACCACGCGGCTCAGATCATAGTGCCATGTCCGGGAAATAAATGTGCCTTCTAGGCCAGCAAGGCCCTGATTACACGGCCTTGGCTCAATTAATAGGATAAGCAATAGGTACTTTTAGCTTGGCAAAGTGGTCAAAAACAGGTTGCAAGAATAGTCTGGGCCAAGCCATTCCTCCATAAACTACAAAAGAACCCTAATTTCACAGTTCCTTAGCTTTAAACCAATTTAAGTATATTAAACCCTTCAGCATCTATCATCATGGTAGCTGGGTGGCGGGGGTGGGGGTGGGTACAAGTACAAAGACCAGAGTGAGGATAGAGCAATGTGTGAGAAAAACCTGGATTCTGGTATAGCTCTACTGCCAAGAATATCTCCCTGCCTGGAACAGTTGGAAATGCAAGAGAGTATTTTATGATTTGTCTGTTTGTTTGCCAATTTCAAAGAAATCTTGATGTAGAAAGTTTGAAAAACACATAGAAATATAAAGAAGTAGGAAAAAATCACCCATAATCCAATCATCCAGTAATAACCAGTTTACACTGTGGTATTTTTCTCTCTAGAGTTTCTCTCTGGGCTTTTGTTTTTTAAATAAATGTGATACTTGGCTTGAGACCCATCCACTTCCCAAACTGGATGAGATGAGGCCTGTAACATCCTGAAAATATATATATTTCAGATTGTAAAATGTAATATGCTCATTAGAGAAAATCTAAAAAAATTTCAACAAGGATGAAGAAAATTAAATTAAAATTCCACCACGTAGAGAATTAACATTGGGGTGAATTTCCTTCCCATCTTCTTTCTTTACATTTCTTTGATTATCATACACATGTTTACCTAATTTTGCATTCTACTTTTTTTCCTTAACATTATGTCATGAGCATTTCCTCCCGTTATTGCACATTCTTTCAAGGCTACATAATATTCCTGGGTATGGACATTACCTACCTTATTTAACTCTTCCTTTATAATGAATGTTCGATTTTCTGAGCATTAGTTTTTTTTACAAATGCTTGCCCACAGCTCTTTTATTTCTCTAGGATTGATTCCTTCAGGAGGAATTACTGGGTGAAAGTGGATGAATCTTTTAGAGAATATGAATCTTTTAACACATACTGCTACGTCGTCCTTTGGAAGGGCTGTAACTGGAGCAGTGCAGGGGGGTACCTACTCCATTATACCCTTGATTTAACCTTGAGAGCTCTGCCTGTTTTACTTTGCAAAACGCTATTGCTACTTGAATCATTCCTGAGCTAGGACCCAAAATGGCTACTGCCTTCACTGGGCATGGCTTTGTGACATTAAGTCAGCCAGTTAACTCTTGACTCCATTTCCCCATTCTTACCACGATGTGTTCTTTAAATTCAGATGATTTCAGCTTAAAGTTGGAAATACTGGTTCACATTCCAGCTTCAGCTTTTTAAGATTGTATTTCTTAATCTGCAAAATGGGAATAATACCTAGATTACAGAATAATGATGATTAAAAAACAAAACAAAACATCACAACAACAAAATACGTAAATTGCTTAACACCATGCGCGGCACATAGCAGATGCCCAATGAATATTACAATTATCTTCTTTCCTCTCTTTATCCTCAACATAGAAAGCATTTGAAAAGTCAGGAAAAGTAGCATTAATCTATCAGATTTCTAGTTGAAGAGACCAAAGCTCAGAGAAGTGAAGTAACTTGCCTAAAGTCCTGGTAGCTGGTAAAAGACAGCATGAGGTCCACTCCCAAGATCTAAAAGAGGGGACAGCTGCAGGGCTAAATACGGCCTAGGCATCTGTTTTATTTGGCCCACATAACCAAAAATAAGTAAGAAAATAGGATAAAATTAAATAAAGACAACGTTTAAAAAGAGGAGCTTTTACATCCAGATATGATTTCTGGTTTTTCTTGAGAAACATTCAATCTGGTGACGGGGCTGGTGGAGTCCACTGGTGCCTGTCCCCTTTGCAGAGGCCACGCATTTCCAGTTCTCCAGGTCTACACTGGGTGTCCGTGGGTTTGAGATACTGCGCGGTTCCTGGGTGCACTGGAGTTTGCGACCCCTGCTCTGACCCACTGTGATATTTCAATGTAGGGCTTCTGGCCACCTCCCAGGGTACGCGCTCCCGCTAACCTCAGACGGCGCGGGCCCGGACGCCCGCCCCGAGGCCGGAGAATTGCCCACCGAGCCAGGTCCTGCGGAGGCCCGTTGTAGTCAAAGAATGTGAACGTACATTGTTCTCCGCCCAGCCGCATTCATGCGGGGTGAGCTCACCCTGGCCCGCTGCCTCCTTCCCCCAATCTCTCCAATTAAAAACATATTACCTTCCCGCTCCGCCAGGAGCAGCCCTGGGCCGCAGCTTTATTTTATAAACACATTTAGACAAGTTCAAAAAGGAATGATTCATGCTGGACCTGAGCACTCCTAAAGGCGAGGGCTGCTGAGCATTTTCACAGGGCACGCATCCTGAGCCGGACCAGGCCCGGCCCTCGGGGGGTATCATCTCTCCCGCTCGAAGGCCGGGATTACCTGGATGCAGCTGGAAGGACTTACCCACAAGGCCACCTTTCGGCACTCCCAGCGCAGCCTCAGTCAGGGGTTGCGCCCAGACCAGATCTAGCCACCGGGGGCTCCCGGAGGGGAAGGGCGCAGGCCCTGCCCCTCCCCCGCTGGGAGGCTTCCTCTGATCCCCAATCCTGTCCCCCAACCCCAGTGACCCCTCCTCCTCTCTCCTGAGCGGCTCAGCTCAGAGGCTTCCAGGCCCACCCTACCACCCTGGGTGAATTCCCTCCTTCAACCCACTCCATGCAGCACTCCTGGAGGGTGTACCCTGGAGGGTCTTTTATGCTCTTTCCACAGAGCCAGGCTTAGTGTCTGGCACAAGGAAGGGCACGCGGCAGGTGTCAGATAGAATCACAGTAGCAAGAATGAGGAGCTTGTTGAACAGACAGCATTGAGAGGATGCCAGGCACATACTTAGTAATTTACATCTATTCTTTCATTTAATCATCACAAGCACCCTGTGAAGTAGGTGCTGTTTGTGACAAGGCCATTTCACAGATGAGGAAATTAAAGAGTGGCGGGATTCGGTTTCAGCTGGACTTTACCTACAGGGTTAGCCTTAGCTGTCAGAAGTGAAAGAGCCCATTGGCCATTTGATCTTGTCACTTGACTTGACAGGTCTACAAACGGAGGCCTGGACAGGGAAAGACGTCCCTGAGACTATAAAGGATGGCGTAGCCTCAGCAGGAGACCCAGCTCCCTGCCTCTGTGGGGCACCACGTCGTGCCAGCCCCTGGCATCACGCCTGACACATAGTACGAATTCAGTGGATATTTCTGAAGGAGTGAATTTTTTGTGACACTCCCCCTCAGACCTCAGTTACCCCGACTGTATCTTACTCATATCTGAATCCCCAGTGTCCAACATCAGACCTAGAACAAAGTAGGTTCTCTAAGGATATCTGTTGAAGCAATGGATCAGCGTCTGATTGTGCCATTAGCCACTGCACTTTAATCCTTCATTATTAGTTTACAGTTACTGGGTTATTAATTTTCTCTCCTCAACTGAAGGGTAAACATGGGATCTTCTCCCTCCTTCATAGGCACGGCTATGCTTGGCACACAGAGGTGCTAATTCCATGGATGATCACTCACTGGTTCTTGCCCTCATTACTCTCTATTGAGCACCTACTATGTGCCAGGCACTGTGCCAGGTTCTGGCCAAGAGGTGTGATACAAAGGCAAGTCCAACCATGACCCACCCCCAGGAATGACCACGGTAGCATCCCGCAGCAGCTGTCTCTGCTGGTGCTCACTGTGACCATGATGGGTGGGACTGTGGGGGCCTCGTCTAACTTCAGAGGAGTCTGGGATGAGGAAGTTGTCTGAAGTCCTTGGTCTTCTCTGCCCATTCTTCACCAGTCTTCCTAACCCCAGTCAGTCCAGTGGTGCCAATCACCAGGAGCAGGAAGTTGCCAACTGTATTCTGCTCATTGATCCAGTCACTCAACAAACCTTTATTAAGTGTCCACTGTGTGCCAAGTCCTGTAGTTGTAAGAAATAGACTGCACTTGGCTGGGCACGGTGGCTCATGCCTATAATCCCAGCACTTTGGGAGGCTGAGGTGAACGGATTGCTTGAGCTCAGGAGTTCAAGACCAGCCTAGGCAACATGGTGAAACCCCGTCTCTACTAAAAATGCAAAGATTAGCTGGGCATGGTGGCACATGCATGTGGTCCCAGCTACTTCACGGGGCTGAGGCTGGAGGATCTCCTGAGCCTTGGGAGGTGATTGTGCCACTGTACTCCAGCCTGGGAGACAGAGACCCTGTCTCAAAAAAAAAAAAAAAAAAAAAAGGAAAAGAAAAAAGAAAGGCAGAAATAGCCCACAGTCAGGAGCAACCTTGCCAGAAGTGTCTGTATTCATTAGAAGGCTCATGGGGCCAAGTGAGAAAACGTAGGTTCAGGCAAAGGGGGAACTGATGAGCACCTATCATCAAACACAGGGACGGCCTCAAGCACTGCAAAGAGTCTTTCTCTATATATCATATCTTTGCCTCTTCTTCTTAGGGCTGGCCTTTTTTCCCTTGTCACAATAAGATCATGGCCACTGTCAATATTAGGGCTCAGGATTCCCAACTTCACCCCCTTATCAGTCTAAATAGAAAATCCCCAGGGAAGCTGAAAACAGAAGAGAAGGTGCTGCTCCAATAACATAACAGAGTGGGTGACAATAAGCCTGTTTCTAGGTCATCCTTTTAGTGTCCTTGGCCTGTTTCATCTTGATTCCTATATCTAAGAGCCTGATTCATAGATGATTTGATGGTGAGGTGAATGAGTTACATGATTTTGGTTGTAAGTAGATTTTCTAAAAATAATTGTTGTTGGGAAGGGTATTCAAGAGCTCTCATAGAATTCAAAGACGCACAGAACAATGAGTCACAGAAAAGAAGGACCCCAGTGGCCACAGGTCTTCCATGCTTGGGGTTCACAGAACCTTTTCCTTATAGCATCGCCCTTTATGGGATTCACCTCCAACAACAACCAGGCTCAGTAGTTCCAGCAACTACCAGTTCAGTTCCAAATGTCAGATCCATGGGGAACAATTGGAATTGGCCTGGTGTGGGTCACTTGCTCATTGTATGCCAAAGAGCAGGTTCAAGAGGTCGGGTCACATTGTACTAATATGACAACTCTTATCGGAGCCCTGGGTGGAGGGTGAAGCCCAGGTGATGGTTTCCAGAAGATGGTGATGAGCAACCAAGCCACAGAAAGCACTGGCTGGCAGGGGGCACCCTGATTTTGGGTCAAAGCTCTTCCATTGGGAAAATCCAGGTTGCCTGCCTTCCAGGGAAACCACTTGGCTTAGAGGAATCAACAGGGGTTTGGGAGTCGGAATTGGATATAAATCCTTGTTCCACCACTTCCTAGGTGTGTGACCTTGAAGATATGACTTCCCCTCTCTGAGCCTGTTTCCTCGGGTATAGAACGGAAGTAATAATGCCTCCTTTGTGAAGGGCGATGTGGGAATTGAATATATCCAACATATTAGGTGCCTGGAGCCTGGTAAATGCTGAATAAGCAAGTTGACTTATTTTCCCTCTCAAGGATTTTGTGTTTGTGACAATGAATATACTTGACATCTGAAACAAGAAGACATAACACTCAAATTCAAATGCTTCCAGAAGCCTGACAGTGACATAAATGAATTAAGAGGGCCCAGTGTAAGGAAAGGCCAAGCAAGGGAAGTGACACTGAGCTCAATGACTTGAAGCAGTAGGGAAAGAGGCACAGCAGAGAGCATGCACCTTATACAGGCTGTAGCCATGACCCTTCCAGCCAAGTGCTGCCATGCAGGAAGGTGCAGCCCGTGTTGTCAGATCTTTGAGGTTTTAAGGAAAAGTTAGAAATCAGATTTTCATAGGAAATTTTCTAACTTTTAAATATTGGCAACGAATTCAAAACTTTAAAAATTAGTAACATCAAGAGAATGGAAAAACTACAGACTAGGAGGAAATATTTGCAAAAGATATATCTGATAAAGATATCAGATTATTAATCCAAACTATACAGAGAACTCATACAACTCAACAATAAGAAAATGAACAACCAATTAAAAAATGGGGAAAGATCCGAACAGATACCTCACCAGAGAAAATATACAGATGGCAAATAAGCATACGAAAAGATGTTCCACATCATATGTCATTAGGGAATTGCAAGTTAAACAACAATGAGATACCACTAACTGCCTATGCGAATGGCTAAAATCCAAAACACTGACAACAACAAATGTTGGCGAGGATGTGCGGCAGCAGGAAGTCTCATTCATGGCTGGTGGAAATGCAAAATGGTACAGCCCCTTTGGAAGACAGTTTGTCAGCTTCTTACAAACCAAACATACTCTTACCATACGATCCAACAATTGCACTCCTTGGTATTTACTCAAAGCAGATCCAAACTAACGTCCTCACAAAAGCCTGCATGTTTACAGCAGCTTTGTTCATAACTGCCAAAACGTAGAAGCAACCAGATGCCCTTCAATAGGTGAGTGGATACATAAACTGTGGTACATCCAGACAATGAAATATTATTCAGTGCTAAAAAAAAAAAAAAGAGCTATCAAGCCATGAAAAGATAGGGAGGAAACTTAAATGCATATTACTAAGTGAAAGAAGCCAATTTGAAAAGGCTACATACGGTATGATTCCAAGGGAATGACATTCAGGAAAAGGCAAAACTCTGGAGACGGTAAAAAGATTACTGGCTGCCAGGAATTAAAGGGAGGGAAGGAGGGATGAATATGTGGAGCACAAAGGACCTTTAGGGAAGTGAAATGCCTCCACATGATAGTGTAATAGGGAATACATGTCACTGTATATCTGTCCAGACCCATACAATGTCCAACACCAAGAGTGAGCCTTAATGTAATCTATGGTCTCTGGGTGATACATCAGTGTCAGGGTAGATTCATCAGTTGTAACTAATGTACCCTCTAGTGGGGACATTGATAACGGGGGAGGATATGCGTGTGTTGGGGCAGCGGAATAAGGAAAATCTCTGTACCTGCCTCTCCATTTTGCTGTGAACCTAAAACTGCTCCAAAAAATCAAATCTATTAATTAAAAAAAAAAAAAGGATAGGCTGGGTGTGGTGGCTCCCACTTGTAATCCCAGCATCTTGGGATGCCAAGGTGGGTGGATCACCTGAGGTCAGGAGTTCGAGACCAGCCTGACCAATATGGTGAAACCCCGTCTCTACTAAAAATACAAAAATTAGCCAGGCATGGTGGTGTGCACCTGTGGTCCCAGCCACTTGGGAGGCTGAGACAGGAGAATCACTTGAACGCAGAAGGTGGAGGTTGCAGTGAGCCGAGATCCCGTCACTGCACTCCCACCTAGAGTACAAAGAGAGACTCTGTCTCAAAAAAAAAAAAAAAAAAAAGTAACAACCTACCTATGGGCTGGATTTGATCTGAGGACCCTTGGGCTGCCAGTGTATGATTCCTGAGAAACAGAGCCCACCTTCTCAAAGCCAAGCACCACCTGGTTTCAGGACTTCATCTTTCCAACCTGGTACGCATATTAGGTGAAAGTGTCTTCACATTTCTAGGTTGTAGTCACCACCAGAGATGCCTGTACCTGCCCATCAGATGTTTTAATTAGCACAAAATAATAAAAGTGGCCATATGGAGGTAAAGCAGTTCTAGGCCCCAGCCCAGGCAACCTGCCTGGAGTTCAGTGACAGTCCTTAGGTTCTGGAATAAAGAACAGTGGAAGACCTCATCACTGCCTTCTTAACCTGAATGTCTAGCCTGGAATGTCTGTGGTAATTAAGGGAAAAAAAGAGAATCATGAGAGGGGACTCGAGGGTCAGACAGGGAAGATCCTCCTTAATCCCAGTTATGGAGACAGTGGACCTGGTCCTGCTGCTTGGAGCCCTGTGGAGGGAGTGGTGTTGGTGGCCCGTGGTGTAGGGGTGGATGCTGCTTAGGGAACCACCATGAAGCTGACTGGAAGGCTTTGTAGGATCCTGAGCAAAGACCAACACACTCTGCCCCCCACTAAGTTACTTCGGCCTGGGTCTCAAAATTACACCAAAGCACTGCTTCAGTCAGGTGACCAAGGTCAATATCAGCATCACCAATCACACTGACAGCATGTACTCTTAATAAGACGTGATGAAAGTGGCACTTTACCTCTGTGATCTTTTTCTCAAAAACCCCAGTCAAATTACCAGAAAAATATCAGGCAAATACCAATAGAGGGGCATCCTACAAAGTGCCTGACCAGAACTTACCAAACTGTCAAGGTCATCAGAAGTAAAGAAAGTCTGGGGGAAACTATCACAGCCAAGAGGAACCTGAGGAGACATAACGACGAAATGTTGATGATGAAATGCGATATGATGACCTGCATAGGGTCCTGGAACAGAAAGAGAACGTTAGGTAAAAACTAAGGAAGTCTGAGTAAACTATGAGCTTTAGTTAATAATATAAACTATGAGCTTTAGTCAATCATATAGTGTCAACATTGGTTTACTAATTGTAACAAATGAACAGCATTAATGTGTGATGTTAAAAGGGGAGGCTGCGCAGGTGTTGGCGGGAGAAGAGGTGATAGACAAGAACTCTCTGTACTATGTACCATTTATCCATAAATCTAAAACTATTCTAAAAAGTAAACATTATTAATTGAAGTTCATCGGTTTAAAAAATCATGCACACAATGAAGACTTTGAAGTCAGATAAGCAGATAACCTGGATTTGCCTGTTGCCTTTAATACAACTTTTGGGCTGGGCAACCTTGGACAGATTATTTTAACCTCTTTACGCCTCTGTTTCATCATTTGCTGTGTAGGGCTAAGAATAGTTTTAAATTTTTTTTAACTCACTGGGTTGTTTGGAGAATAAAAGAATGTGTTGCCTGTGGAGTGCTTGGCTCAGTGCCTGCTACATATATAGCACTCGTTAAGTGATAAGTATTATTATAGGCATATATTCACATACACATGTACTGGGGTTATTACTGATGCAGGGTTTATTTTTATTGTTCTATTTTATTATTTTTTAAAAGCAAAAACTGTCATTTTTAAAAGTGTCATCCAGTTCTGTTCCTAGCATAAAAGGTCTTTTGTGTTTAAGCCAAAAGCACTTGAATTGTTTTTCTAATTATGTGGGCATCAGACAAGCAGACATTCACTGTCTGGGTTCGAATTTAGAAGCGGGTAGGTATTTGTTTTCATCAGAGCCGAGGGCTTCGGCCTTTTAGTGGACTCCATTTCCCCTGCTACTCCTTCCTACTTCATGGGGCTTGATGGTTACTGGGAGGAAGGTGAGGCTATCTGCATACAGGCCCAGAGGACTTCTGGAAGGAATGGGACTGAGACCCCAACACTCATCTTTGAGGTTCAAAGTTGTGAGAAGGCCTCTGATGACGGACAGCACTTGACCAAACGCTCCCTCACCCTGTCCAGCCGGAAAGGAGGTCTGGCTCAGGAACCCAAGCTCAACACTGTGGGTAGGTGAGGCCGCCAGTGTGCCAATGCTGAACCCAGCCTTGTGGGTCCAGCACCTGGCATCGCCTCCTTTGGCACAGAGGCCTATTGAGCACACCACTAGAACCACGGGACTTCCTGTCCCATTCTACACTGAGAAATGCTGACTCAAGGGGTCTAAGCTGCTGAAGTCACCACTGTAGCAGACAAAACCCCACACACCGCCTGTTTCTCTGCCGCACCCCACATGGGGTGAGAGAAACCTTGCTTCTGAGTGGTAAGCTCCCTGTTTTATCCAGAAACGTCATGTGGCTGCAGCCAAGGACACCATCAGACTTCCCAGTTTTCTCTTCCAGAAGATAGTAACCAGGCCTTATGTCCTGGTCCAAGTAGGCCCTGGACAACTTGATCATCACAGAAGGGCCACTGGGGAGAAATGACTTTTTTACAGTAAGCAGGAGATGCTATAATTTGGCTCTTAGCAGAAATGTGACCTCATCTGATGCCTTGAGCTGGAGGACTGTGCACTGGTTACCTGCAGAAGTGTCCATACACACAGACACTTGTAAACACACTTACGCATGTGCACCATGCACACACATGTACGTGCAGACATATGCTGCCCGCACTGCTTATTGTCTTGGCAAGAAAAGTTCTTTTTTGCACTCAGCTTTTCTTCCCAAGTCTTGGATTCTTGGAAAGGGACTGCAGCTGGGGATGGGGGGTGGGGAAGGAACAGGGGAGCGGCAGACCATGTGGAGAGAAGCTAATTTGTTTCTGCAGTCGACAGATGGGGTGAGGACAAATTACACAGTGGGTACTAAAACTCCTTTTTAAATTCAACAGTATTTGCAAACTGATCTGAGCCCCCCAGAAGCAATAAGAGCAAGTGTACAATCTGAGAACCAGTTCCAATGTCTCTTAAGGGTGGGGCTGTTTAAAAACCTTTAAAGGATGCCTGGCCTGTAGTGTGTATATCGCCACGTAAATATTAGCCACAGCCTCATAGGGTCACTAGGAAAAAAAATGATACATACATCTTGGATGTACAGAGAGTTTCCTGCTACAAATAGATGTGAGACCCTTTGGATATTCTAAAATGACTACATTTAAGGTATAAAAGAAAAAACTATTTTTTTTGGTCATTTTTTGGTCATTGTAAAACAATGTATGTTAGTTGTAGAAAACTTGGAAAAGTATGAATAGTAAAATTTCCTCCACCCAGAGAGATTGGGTGTTATTTTAAATAAATATTTATGAATATTATTGACACTTGAGTATATATGCACCCAATCTAGGTAGAGCTATAGCTATAACTATAGCTGTATGACTTGCAAATATTGTTACATGAAACGGAGGTACTGAGCGTTTTCTCATGGTCACTTGAAATAATGTTAATGTTCATCTCTGCAAGTGTAAGCACACAGATCTTTTTAAGCCATGAGAATACTTAGGAAAGAGAACAGAAATGGCTGCCCCACCCCCAACCTCCTCCATCCCTCCTGATCCCCCCGCCCCACTCTCCCCACCCCCACTGCCTAGAAGAGTGGGCTGCTGTGGTGAGCTTGGATATTCAGCATCCTTGGAACATTTGTGCACATCTGGAGGAATGGTTACGAAGATTAATGTCATGCTCAGTGTCAGAACTCCCCCTGACATTTCCTCAGTTTATCCAAACAGTTTAGGGGAGCTCTCTGGGGATTAGGAACCACACTCAGCAGTGCAAGGCCGACACTTAACCTCTTGAATTCTCATCTCCCTGGAGACACGCGTGCAAGTTTTATCCTTTAATTGCTAAAACAATGAGGTCGTGTACAAAACCAATACAGCAAGAGCTTGAGATAGTTTCAGGCAAGTATGCGAAAAAGGAAAATCTGGACCCACTGGGTTTATGGAAATTATATTAATATCTTTAAGCAAGGTTTGAAAGCCAATAGAAATGGAAACTAAATGGTAAATAAATTCATGTGTTTGAAACCATTATGTGTATTAAACAGGATCTTGAAGCAAATGAAGTACTTTAAGTGTGATTCAGAGAATATTTTGTTATCTTTCTTTCCTACTATGGGAAGAGATTTAGCTTCATTTTAAACCAGTTAAAGACTGTTTAAAAATTATTTCTCTTTATGAATAATGTATGTCATGTAACCAATATGTCTTCCATATTGCTTTGGCTGCCAGGGGGCTCAGGAACTCATCGATTCAACTTAAATTACTACATAGGTCTTGCATATCTATGTTGTAATATTCCCTCTGGTTTTGATTCTTTTGATTTTTTTCCCCTGATCCTGGTTTTTATCTAGTTAGAGTTTTGTTTTATTGCATGTAGTTTTTTGTAAGCCACCTCAAATCTTTTGTTAGATAGATTTGTAGATCAAAACAACTTGGATCTGTGGTTTAGTTTAAGAAGAAATGAACATTTTGGTTTGGTTTTGGAGTTCAGCAAATTAGTGTGATTAGCTCTGATTTGAGGTTTACAGTTCTATTACGTTAAAGTCCTTGGTGTTTAATACATCAAAGGGCCTGAGAGCTTGCACTTAACCTCCTGCGTGTTAACACTACACGGTGCATTGCATGTCTGTCTCCAATGATCACTGAGTAAGAAGCTCTTGGAGATTCTGTCCTGGAATCTTGCTCACCCTTTAGGCATGGTGGGATGGATATATGAGGCCCAATTTTCAAACACAGAGTCAATGAAGAGTTGAGGAAGGAAAGTGACCATACTTGCTCCAACATTTCCCTGTATTTTTGCTTTTAAAGAGATGAAAGCCCAAATCTTCTGTATGCAAGAGGATACATGTCCTACTTTGTTCAATATTCTACTTCCTATTATAGCAATTCCAGAATCATCCACCAAGGTCACACGGAGAGGTTCTTACATCCTGCACCTGTCCACCTTTCCAGGAGTCAGGGACCTTCCCTTCAGGAAAAGGAGAAGCTCTGGCATAAGAGATAGCAGATAGCACAGTCTCCCCAGGGAGGAGGAAAGATCATAAACAAGGCTTGGGCTTGAATTCCAGAGCTTTGACTCTCCACATTGGCTCTGGTGGATCCCCCAGGGAAGCCCTTGGATTCCGTCAAAGACCACTAATTTATGTTAACACCTAGACAGAGGATGCTTGTTGGGGTGGAATCAGGCACACTGGGTTCTGGTTGCTGCAAGGACACTCGCTCTTAGTCAGACCTCATGCCAACTCCTTAATATCTCTTGTGTCTTTATTGCTCCAAGGCCCAACAGAGGGGTGAGGAGGCTGACAGAAGGGAATCCATTCATCTTGACCTCTGCTGTTTTTCAGAGACCATGTTTTCCACTTACCGGCCTCATCATTTATTAGCTGCATGGCCTTGAGCAAATGACTTCATCTCCCTCAGACTTTGTTTCCTCGTCTGAACGTGGAAATGATGTATTGATCATGAAGCTAACGAAGCTTAGGGCTCAGGGCCCCTCCCTTTGTGCAGGTTTCCTCCAAAGCCCGGGAAGAGGGCGGACAATGTGTTCACTTGGTCACATGTTTTGGCAAAATTTGTAAAAGCAAGATATTTTAGTCCCAATTGGTCAAGACTACTGTCCCTTTCCACGTGATTTCCTCTTTAATACTTTGCCATAATCATTTTTGGAATCAGGCCAAGGTGAAGATGAGTTGGGCTACCTCTGATCCGAGTTTAGTTAAATATATCTGGGTAGTTGCCTTTTTCTTTTCTTTCTTTTTTTTTTTTTTTTTTTGACGATATCTCACTCTGTCACCAGGCTGGAGTGCAGTGGCGCGATCTCAGCTCACTGCAACCTCCACCTCCCAGGTTCAAGCGATCCTCCTGCCTCAGCCTCCCGAGTAGCTGGGACTACAGGTGCATGCCACCACGTCCAGCTAATTTTTGTATTTTTAGTAGAGACGTCGTTGGCCAGGCTGGTCTCAAACTCCTGACCTCAGGTGATCCAGCCACCTCAGTCTCCCAAAGTGCTGGGATTACAGGCGTGAGCCACCATGCCCGGCCTGTGTAGTTGACTTTCCAGGGTAGGAATGGCTTCCAGTAACACTCCCACTTCTGCTTAAATACTCCTGCTTTCCCTTCAATAATCCCACTGTCCAAGACAGGGTATTCCTAGAAGCCGTCTTGCAATATGAAATTTTTCTAGAATGTCTCACATCAGAAATATGTGGGTAGTGGAAGAGGAACAAAGTTTGAAATATATGGAGTCAGAGGCTAGTCTGTGGAAACAAACAAACAAACAAACAAACAAACAAAAACTTCCAATCATCAGACATGTAAAACTGTAAGCAGGCAATTTGGTTTCTGTAGATATATAATTAAAATAGAAGTTCTTTCTTCTCAGAAACATGCCCAGTAATTCAGCCTATGAAATTATAAAGTCGCCATTCTTTTTTTCTTCTTTCAATGGGAACCATGTAAAAAAATCATTTATTAACTTTTTGTTTGTAGAGCACAAACCAATAACAGAACTACAAACAGCTAGTATATTTTTGTGTGAATTTGCCTGTTTTTGCATCTCAACTCTCAATAAAAAAAAAAAATTCAACCATGCTAAAGAAAAGACTGAATTACCTTTCTATTCTTTCCATAGGAAATAATATCACATCTTTGTCATATGAAAAGATGATCAAAGAGTATGTGGCCAAAAATAGAGGGATAAAAGTATTATAGAGGAATGCTAGGCAATATTTTAATTAAAAATATTATGTAAATTTTATAGCTTTCATGATGTTTGTGGTACCTGTCAGCTTTTTAAAATATGAAATATGTGTGATTTCTTTTTGTACACTAAAATATTCACTTTTGATTTTTATTCGTAATTTCGTAAGCCTCAGGGTATAATCTGGCTACTCTTCTGAAAATGGGCATAGTTATACCTGCTTTGCAGACAGATGGGAGATGTTCTTATGAGAGATGTGTAAAGGCTTCCTGACCCAGGACTGGACTGCTTAGTAGATAGCAGTTATTATTATTATTATTATTATTATTATTATTATTATTATTATTTTATTATACTTTAAGTTTTAGGGTACATTTGCACAACGTGCAGGTTTGTTACATATATATGCATGTGCCATGTTGGTGTGCTGCACCCATTAACTCATCCTTCAACATTAGGTATATCTCCTAATGCTATCCCTCCCCCCACCCCCACCCCACAACAGGCCCCGGTGTGTGATGTTCCCCTTCCTGTGTTCATGTGTTCTTATTGTTCAATTCCCACCTATGAGTGAGAACATGTGGTGTTTGGTTTTTTGTCCTTGTGATAGTTTGCTGAGAATGATGGTTTCCAGTTTCATCCATGTCCCTACAAAGGACATGAACTCATCATTTTTTATGGCTGCATAGCTTTCCATGGTGTATATGTGCCACATTTTCTTAATCCAGTCTATCATTGTTGGACATTCGGGTTGGTTCCAAGTCTTTGCTATTATTATTATGATTATTATCACAGGAGATACAGCAGGAAGTTTCTGTCCGCTAGGAGCTTGGGGAAACCCTTCAGTACTCACAGCGTATTAACTAAAGGGAGCACTTTCATTCATTTTAAGAGCAGCAGCACATTTCTGGGGAATATCAAACCTCAGTGCCCTGCTGCACTAGATAGCTATAGTTTTGCACCCAACTCTATCTATCCTCCTCACTCTTTTGAGAAATGTTCCTTTCTCCACACCAGCCTTGTGGCTATGACTCAGTCATCTGTGTTCCCTGGGGTTCTTCCTACTTGGCTATAGTGATTGACACAAAGTGACCGGATCACTGCTCTGTCTTGAAATTTTTGACAGAGAGGGATCAGGTCTTTGTCCTTCTGTGGTAGAGGATCTTAGAAATGTGCTCTTGGTAACTGCTGGTGACCATGTTCCGAGCCACAACGGTCTGAGAAGGTAAAGTCAGAAATCAGAGGAAAAGAGGCATTCCAAATGAGGAGAGAGAGTCCTGGGGTGCTCAGCTCCCTGGTTCTTATGGCTCCTAAGTTCCCAGATATACTCCTATATTCCCACAGTCATGCTGCTTCTCTAATACGTGCCTCTATTTTTTCCTGAAATAGTCGAATTGGCTTTCAGGTAAGACTCATGTCAGCCTACACCCTAGGAATAAAGGTGAGCTGGAAATGGGCCAGACATTACAAAGATTAAAACTCATTATTGAATCAGTTCAGCTCCTGTTTGAGCTGATTCTATGCACTTCTATTATAACAGCCTGTCAGAAGCTAAAGAAAATCCTATCTTTGGAGGAAAATAACATCATCTGGAGCTTCTAAAATTTTTTATACAAAAGTTTTCAATACTCAATAAAAAGTTATTGGCCGGGCACGGTGGCTCATGCCTGTAATCCCAGAACTTTGGGAGGCCAAGGCAGGTGGATCACTTGAGGCCACGAGTTCAAGACCAGCTTGGACAACATGACAAAACCCCATCTCTATGAAAAATACAAAAATTAGCTGCGCGTGGTGGCACATGCCTGTAATCCCAGCTACTTGGGAGGCTGAGGCACAAGAATCGCTTGAAACTGGGAAGCAGAGGTTGCAGTAAGCTGAGATTGCACCACTACACTCCAGCCTGAGTGACAGAGTGAGGCCCTGTCTTAAAAAAAAAAAAAATTATCAGGCATACCAAGAGAAAAAATATATATAATACAAACAGGCCCACAGGTGATCTGAGTATTAGAATAATCAGACATAGACTTTAAAAATTGAGATTAATATATTCAAGAAAATAGATGACAAGTTGAACATTTTCACTAGAGAAATCAATCTTTAAAAAAGAATCACATGAAAATATTAGACATTAAAAATATAATAATTGAAATTAAGAATACAGGCAGTGATTTTAATATCAAATTAGATACAGCTAAAGAAAAGTTTAATGACCTGAAAGATGGATTCATAGAAAATATACAAATTGAAGCATAAAGGTTAAAAGAATAGAAATTTAAAAAGCCATAAAATACATATGAAAATGGTGAAAAGATCTTTCTTACATGCAATTGGAGTCCAAGAAGGGTAGAAAAAAGACAACAAGACAGAAGTCACTTTTAAGAAGATAATAGCTAAACATTTTTTAAAAACCTGGTAAAAAGGTCAAACTACAGATTCATGAATCACTAGGAACTCCAAGCTGAATAAATACAGACGAAAAACACACCTTAGCACATGAGAGTAAAATTGCTGAAGGCCAAAGACAAAGAGAATTTTAAAAGTAGTTAGAATGAAAATGACACTTTATCATCAAAGAAACAAACTAAGACAGGAAACTGAAATGATGTAAACCAAAAGACAATGGAATAACATATTGAGAGTGCTGGGATAACATTATTGCCAGCATAGTTTATAGCCAGTGAAAATATCCTTTAAAAATGGGGCCTCAAAGACATTTCCAGACAAACAACAACAGAGAATTTGCTATCAGATGACTTGCACCAAAATTAAAAGGAGCTTCCTCATAAACTTCATTTAGAAGTGCTAAAAGAAATACTATCTCAGAAAGATGCACAGAAATGCAGGAAGAATTGACAAGCAATGGAAGGGCTAGATATGTAGATAACTCTAGATGAAGTTTGACTGCATAAAATCATGACAATATAGTGGATCTTTGAACATGGGTTTGAACTGCACAGGTCCACTTATGCATGGATTTTTTTCAATAAAATTACACCAGCCGGGTGTGGTGGCTCATGCCTGTAATCCCAGCACTTTGGGAGACCGAGATGGGTGGATCACAAGGTCAGGAGATCAAGACCATCCTGGCTAACACGGTGAAACCCCGTCTCTACTAAAAATACAAAAAAAATAGCTGGGCGTGGTGGTGGGCACCTGTAGTCCCAGCTACTCGGGAGGCTGAGGCAGGAGAATGGCGTGAACCCGGGAGGCGGAGCTTGCAGTGAGTCGAGATTGCACCATTGTACTCCAGCCTGGGTGACAGAACAGAGTGAGAATCCGTCTCAAAAAAAAAAAAAAAAAAAATTTACACTGAGTGTACCTGCCTCTCCTGCCTCTCCTTATGATGATTCACTTCTACTTAATAAATAGTAAATATATTTTCTCTTCCTTATGATTTTCTTAATGACATTTTCCTTTCTTTAGCTTACCTTATTGTAAGAATACAGTTATAATACATATAACAGACAAAGCAAGTGTTAATTGACTGTTTATGTTATCGGTAAAACTTCCGGTCAACAGTTGGCCATTAATAGTTAAACTTCGGGGGACTCAAAAGTTAAATGCAGATTTTTCAGCTGCACAGGGGATTGGCATCCTGAACCCCTGCATCGTTCAAGGGTCAACTGTGATAATATCTTGTGGCATTTTAAATACATGTAGAATAAAAAATATTTGACAGCAATAACATTTAAATTGAAAGAGAGTAAATTAAATTAAAATAACAAAATTAAAATGTCTTAATTTTACTGTTTATAAACGGTAATAGTACTGTCATCTAGTAGGCTTCAATAAGACAAGGATGCTTATTGTCATTGTTAAGAAAAGTCCTAAAAGAATAGTATGAGAATGTAAACTACCAACATAATAGAGGGTAAAATTTAAATAACAAATAAATGATTAATTGAAAAGAAGACAAGAAAATCAAGAGAGAAGAACATAAAACAGATGAGACCGATGGAAAACAGATAATGTGATTGTACATATACACCTATAATTCAATATATGGACACTTACATTAAAGGTGAATAAACTAAATATTCCTATTAAAAGGTAATGATTGCAAAGCTAGGATTAAAAACAAAAACAAAAATAGAATTACATGCTGCTTGTCAGAGACACATCTTAAATATAACGACCCCGTGAGGTTGAGTGAGTGAAAGGATGAAAAAAAAAATTCCCTGCAAATGGAACTAGGCTACGTTATTGGCAAAGGCAACTTTAAAGCAGAAATAAAGAGGGACTATAATAAAAATGATAAATGATAATAAAAAGCATCACTCCGCTGGAGACACATAATTCTAAACGAGTATGTGTCTCACAACAAAACTTCAAAAATGAAGCAAAAACTGGCCCGGCGTGGTGGCTCATGCCTGTAATCGCAGCACTTTGGGAGGCAGAGGTGGGCAGATCACCTGAGGTCAGGAGTTCGAGACCAGCCTGGCCAACATGGTGAAACCCCCGTCTCTACCAAAAATACAAAAAAAATTAGCCAGGCATAGTGGTGTGTAGCTGGGAGGCTGAGGCAAGAGAATTGCTTGAACCCGGGAGGTGGAGGTTTCAGTGAACCGACATCGTGCCACTGCATTCCAGCTTGAGTGACAGAGAGGTATTCTGTCTCAAAAAAAAAAAAAAAAAAAAGAAAAAGAAAAAACTGACAGAACTGAAAGGAGAGAGAGAGAAATCCAAAACTACGGTGGGGCTTTTAACACACATTTCTCAGTGACTGACAGAAAATAGCAGATGGAATCAGTGAAGACAGAGAGGACCTGAATAACACAATTAACAAACTGGGCTGACCTGATATACAAAAAATACGGTACTCAACCGTTGCAGAAAATACTGAACTTTCCTGTCTCAGAGTCTCTTGGCTCTGATAGCCTTGGTTGGTTTAATTTGTTTTTTCTTTTTCTGCTTGTATTTCCATCATTGCCTCAAATCTTTTTTGAAAGGAGTAAGAGTATCAATAAATAAATTTAAACAGACAGATAAATGGAAAGGCAAGGTGTGAGTTCAGGAGTCCGAGAACTACGGTTTTCTTTCTGACTTCTACCTGTATAAACTTGGACTTAAGGTTCACATGGGAAAATAGAAAAAATAACAGCAACTTTACAAGGTCCTGGTGAAGCTTCTGTAAAATAGTGCAAGTAAAGTGGCGGTCCAGGGGTGCACTGAGCAAGCGTGCCAGCCACCCACGGTAGCTGTTATTACGATTATTGTTACCATTACTTTCGAAGAGAGCAGGTCTTTTAAATGATGAGACTCTGAACTTGCCTTCCATCCAAAATCCTCCAGGCAGGCAATCTGCTGAGCCAGCTTTTTTGCCTGCACATGTCTGAAGAACAGGAAAGAAAAATGGATCAAGCTGGCATTTTCTCCCAGCTCAGCTCAGTAAAAAGCTGTAAAAACAGGCTGCACGTGCCTCTGAGCCAGGCAGGGAGGCATTGAGGACAATATCCCTAGGGCAGCGGGTGGAGGGGTCGGTGCTCACCACAGAACCAGTGAGGATGAGGCTTTTCTGCTAACAAGGTCCTTGCAGAATGCCCATAACGAAGATCATCTGGACTGGGGCAAGAGGTCTGACTTTCTCTGAATCACACCAGGGAGGGCTCAAAGGCTGTCCCCAAAGATTGGGTCAGCATGGGATCCTACATACTTGTAAAAAACATAATACATCCAACTCTCCTTGGAAAATGTCTACTCATTTTCAAAACCCTAGGTCAATAGGAAGCCTCTGTGAATTCTCTCCTGGTGCTCCAATGCATCATTTCTCCCTGATGTGTCACTTCTGCCTCAGCACCTACTTTTTTTTTTTTTGGTGGGGGAGATGGAGTCTCACTCTGTCACCCAGGTTGGAGTGCAGTGGTGCAATCTCAGCTCACTACAACCTCTGTCTCCCAGGTTCAAGCAATTCTCCTGCCCCAGCCTGCCTAGAAGCTTGGATAACCCATCCCACCACCATGGCCAAGGCACCTACCACCATGGCCAGCTAATTTTTTTTTGTATCTTTAGTAGAGATGGGTTTCCCCCGTGTTGGCCAGGCTGGTCTCAAACTCCTGACCTCAAGTGATCTGCCCATCTCTGCCTCCCAAAGTGCTGGGATTACAGGCCTGAGCTACCATGCCTGGCCTCCCAGCACCTACTTTTATTGTGACCTTTTCGTGCTGTTCTAGGATCACTAAATGACATATCTAGCTCCCTCAGCAGGCTGGAGGTTTATTATATCTGAATTTTCAGACCCAGCCCTGGACTGAGCTCAGAGTAGTGAAGGTATCAGAAAGCACACGTGTGAGGGAATGAACAAAAAAATGGAAAAAAAAGACTTTTATTCAGCAAAGATCAATTTAGTCCATATAATGTGCCATACACTGCTAGCTAAATGTGGGGTACAAAGCAATGAACAGAAATAGACAAAGTCCCTGTCCTCATGAAGCTGATGTTCTAGGGAGGAAACAGTCAATAATCCAGTATACAAACAAACAAACAATAAATAAAATAAACAAAAGGTAAGTATTTGTGATAAGTGCCACCTCTGGGACCCAGGCCTGTTCAGAGGATTACCTGTTCTATCTTCAGGTAGAGGGCTGGGTTAGTGAGAGGCCTATTTAGTTATTATGTGGGCATTGCATTTAGAGGGTGAGTGAACCTCTTCAATATCCCCGATTTTTCTGTACCCTAAAATTTTCATTGCACTACATTCAAAATAAACAAAACACAGTCCTATTAAAAAAGCAGGTAGCTCAGGGTTTAGCAAATCCTAAAACACTTAGGACAGGGATGGCAATTATGTACTTCCACTGCCTACGACCAGTCCTAGGGCAGACATTGCTAATGGATCATAGCACTCTTTCTAGCTGAGCCTAGGTTCCTTCTCTGCCTAGCACTTCAGGCAGCCACAACCAATCAACCCCAACTTGCACGCAAGTTGAAACCTCTCTGCACCCCTAGCCTGGGGCATTACTATATCTCCTTTCTGGCTGAGAGAGTATAGTGCTGTGGCAACAACTTCAGGGGAAACCAAATCCCTGAACCGATCTTGGCAGTGACACTTAAAAAAAAAAAATGAGAAGAAGAATTGCTTTTCAAATATTTGGTTTCCAAACATATTTATTTGCAACTCCAAGTCTACTGACCATATGCATTACATCTGTTCTGGATTGGGATTCAAACAAGGTTTCTGATTTATTAGCTTTAAAAAATACATCTCTAGGTACCTCTGCACAAAGATGCCCATGAAAGAAGTCTCAGTCTCACAAAGATACATTTCCCCCTCACCATAGGAGTCAAGAGTATTTAGGACCCTAAAGTCCATGAGCAAATCCCATTGCTTAATTTAAAAGAAGGAGAAAAAGGCCTCTGTTAGACAGCTTCCGGTGCCTTAATGTGAATTACCCAGCCCGGCTGATTTCATATAGCATCGCTGAGGCTTCACAGCTCAGCAGAAGTTGTGCCTCTCTCCTGGGGCCGCCTAGGCTCAGACGAGTTTGCCAGGCTTTCCTGGGTGGCCCCTCTCTGCAGTTTCCTGTGGGGAACATGGCCTTTCCCCTTCAGCGCTTGAATTTGCCCCAGGGGGTCCTCTGGGTCCTTGCCCATGGTTGCACAGGGCTCCGCTTCTGCCGTGGCCTCCCTGCTTAGCCCTCTCTTCTCCTGGGGAGGGCAAGAGGAAGTGAACTGGCTCTTACTGTGTCCCAGCCAGTGGTTATCCATCTGGCTGAGACAAGTGTTTGGATCTCTCCCAGTCTCACTTTTCTCATCCACGAAATGGGAATGAGAGTAACTCCATCTCTCTGGTTGCCACGATGATTTGATGAACTGATTGAGATCAACAGTGCAGCTCATAGGGGCTGCCCATAGATGATGGGTCTGCAACGGGCCTACAGCTGTGTGGACAGGTTGATTTCATTATCACAAGAAGCCAATAGACTGGTCTCTCATGCATTGGGGTGCATTCGAATCACCCCAGAACCTTGTCGGAAGACACATTTTCTGATCCCACCCACGGAGTCTGATTCAGACAGTCTGAGACAGACTGAGAATTTGCTTTTTTAACCAGCACTCCAGGAGGTCTGGACTGGAAGTCTCTTGACCACCCCTGAGAAACACTGTACAAATAAAGAGAATCTCACCTCAGCTTTGCAGATAAGGAAGCTGAGGTTCTGAGAGGCATAATGACCTGAGCCAGACCACAGCAGTAAGTAGCTGAGCTGGGATTTGAACCAGGACTGTCGGATTCCCACTGGGGGCTATTTTTGTCTGAGAAAAATCCCTGCCCACGGCGAGCCCCTCCTTCAGCCCGCCTGTCCTTTGGCACATCCTCTATCTCCTCCCATGTCAGCCTCTGCCCAGAGAGAACCTGGCCACTGGAGAACTTGCTGACCAAAGGTGGCTTAAAATCAAAGCACTGTCGCTCGCTAGCTGCATGACTTTGGGCGCCTGTTTAGACTCCCGCAGCTGTGGATCTGGGATTCTCTTTGCCCTCCACTTGCCAGTCCACCCTTCTCCACCTGCCTCAGTGGGCTCCCTTGCCCCCAGCCTCTGCTGGGTCCAGTCAAAGGGGGGCAATAGCAGGAGACTGGATAGCAGGAGGGAAAGCAGGTCAGAGTGCTTTCCTCCCAGCCGCTCTTGACAGGCTGTGACTCATTACCGAAGGCTACAGCTTCCGCTGGGTGGCCCTCCCTCTCTCCATGCAGCAGGTCTTGTGGGTTCTGATGATCACGCCTCCTGCTGTCCCTCCAATCCTAGGGTTTGCAACAGCTCCCCACTGTTGCTCTCCTGGGAGGACTTCAGCAGCCCTGTCAATTCCTCTTCACCTGCCACCCTTGTCGAAAGCCCTCCAGTGACCCCCTCCTCAATTCCCCACGTGAGTAGCCATCTGTTCCTGGACCCTGCCTGATGCACAGTTTCTATAGCACAAGTAGAATCCTGAGAACTCCATCAGGGTCTGGCAAAGTGTGGCCTGTGGACCAAATTTGGCCCACCACCTGTTTCTGTAAATAAAGTTTTATTGGAATGCAGCCACGTTAATTCATGTATGTTTTGTCTATGGCTGCTTTCACATTACAATGGTGGAATTGAGTAGTTGTAACAGAGACCGTATGGACCTCAAGCCTAAAGTTTTGACTCTCTGACCCTTTACAGAAAGTTTGCTGAACCCTGAACCCCATCCTAGAATAAGCTAGTCAGTGACAAGCCCCCGGGCACAGTGCCCAGCTCACGGTAAACTGTGGTAAGGTCTGGCTCTTCTTGCCTGGGTGCAGTGGCAGCAACTCGTATTCTCTCAGCCAGAGAACTCGGGAGCTGGAAAGGGGGTCGGGGAGGGCTACCATCTGCTTTATAGGATGCTGGGTCAGAAAAGCCTTTTAAAAAGCAAGGTTTCTTGGTGGCTTGCCACTTGGTGTGCAGGAATCAGCTCTTCCTCATTCTTCCTCTCAGCACCTAGCTCAGGGCTCCCAGCAGAGTCAGCATCTATAAATGTTTGCTGTTAGATGAATGAATTCAATTAACCACCCATCAATAGGGGTGGAACTTTGCAGAGACCCAGCTTTTATGCAAATCAGCCTCCTTCAGGGATGCTGCAGCTGTCGCCAAGTCTTATCGGATTTTCCGCCAACACTGATTTCTGGAATCCACCGTTTTCACTGTATCCCATTGGCCACCTCCAGGCACCGCTTTCCTTGGTGGCCTTCCTACCTTCAGGCTCACCCCTGCAGGCTGCTTCCGCATAGCCTTCAAAATCATGTTTCTAACACATAAATCTGATCGTGCCATTCCTGTTCTAAAAACCTGTCCATGGCTCCCCACTGCCTGCAGATGATCTCATCTCTGCATGCCTCAGCACAGCAGGCAATGCCCTTCTCCATCGAACCCTGTTCACAGACCCTAGCTCATCTCTCACTTCCCCCTCCCCTCTCCTCCACATTATATTCCAGAACCCTGCAATCTTTCCAGGACCCCAAACATACCTGGATCTTTGTCACCTGCTCCCTGGAGCTCCCATCTGCACCTCTGCTCCATGCCAACTCCTACTCATTATTGGGGCCTGTCTGGGGCTTCATCTCTTCCAGGGAACTAAATTGCTTTCCTCCCAGCTGCACTAGGTGTTTCTCTGGGTCTCCCCAGTATCTTGTGCTGTTCTCTTTGGAAACTTGGAATGTGTCTACTTGTTGTCCTCCCATTCTGTACTATAAGCTCTGAGCAAGGGGGCTATACATGGTGGCCATCCCCCTGGCTGCAGGACACAATGGGTACTCAACCAATGAGAGGCTCCTTCCTCCCTCAGCCCAGGCCCTTCCCAGCTCTTTGTCCGGTTGTATCCTCCTGAGTACATATGCCCAAGTCTCCCAATCCTTGAGAAGCTACAGGATTCATCTTTTGGGGTGGAGGAGTACATGCTTATGCCTAGTTTCTGCCTACATGCTTGAAAATTCTTGCAAAGTCCAAAACAATGGCTGGAATGAAAGCTACATTATTTAAACACTAAATTGAAACATATTATTTCAAAGAGAAGCAGCCACTCATTTGAATTTCAGAGTTTCTTGGGAAACCCACCTGCAGCCCCAGACAATCCGCATGTCTTTTGTGCGGGTCCAGCCCCTCGTATTGATGGGCCCGATTGGGGTCTGAACTGGAAATCCAGCTTTGTTCTGAGAATGAGATGACAACTCACCCCTTAGCAATTTTTGCTTTCCTTTCTCCTTGAAAGACCATGTCAACCACAGAAGAAATATAAAAGGGCATAACTTGGGTGGCTGGTGGGGAGAAGGTGGTATTTAGCCACTAAATGAGGGTCAAGTGACTTCAGCGGCCAGGAAGGAAATGTAAATGAGGGCAACCAGACGTGGAGCCACAGGGAGGGAGGGGCCTATGGCAGAGAGGGGGCCTGCGGCTCACTTCCAGCCTTCGGTACTAGGGTCTTTCACGAGAAACCAGAAATATGGACTTTTTATAAGAAATCTGGGTTTTTGATGTCAGCAATTAATTCAAAAACTGAAGCCTAGAGGAGGTCGAACAAACCGCTTCCGGTGAATTCAACCTGCTAGGCTTGGGTTTGCAATCTATGGTCTTCTCTTTACCAAACCCTTGATGCTTCTTTCCTTAGGAATCCTCTCACCATCCATTTTCTTACTAGCCCCATCTCACAGATGGGGAAACCAAGGCTCAGGACCACATGCACAGAGCCACCGGGAAGGGATGGGCTGTGTATGATTCAAACTCAGCTCTGTCTGATTCCAAAACCCTGGTCCCTTCTTGGTGGCTGAAGCTGTGGCAGGGCCTGCCCTGGGTTTTCAGGCACGGAGGGTGGACTGGTGCTCTGCAAAGTCCTGCTCATCTCCCCGCCAGCAGCCAGGGCGGAGGATGCCTTTGTGTGAGCTCAGCATCTGGTTGTCAAATGCAGGCTGGCTCGGCTCCATCGTCAGGCTCCATGTGAGAAACGGGCACTTTAAACATTGCAGATGCAGCTGGTTGGGTAGGCAGGCCCTGAGAGAGGCGTCAAGGTTGACATACACCAAGGCAGGTTCAAGATGGGAGGGGACAGTGGGTCCCGCTCTCCCAGTCCCGCCCCACCTCCCCATCTCCCGGCCCTTCTCTCGTCTGTCCTAGTGGGCTGTCTGTCTGTCTGCTTGTCTCTTCTGACTCCTCTTTCCTTCTCTTTCTTTGTCTTCTCCCCTGCCTGTCTCCCAGCTCTCAGCTCTGCCCTCCGGACTCACTCCCTTTCCCTCCCCTTCTTTCTCTGTCTCTCCTCGCCTCCATCTCTTTCACTATTGCTCCTTTTCAAGCCCTCTCTGTCCTTTCCTTTCCCCCTCACAGTTTTCTCTCCTTTTCCCACCCATTATTCTTTCTTCTTTGCCCCCTCTCCCTCCATCTCTCAGAATAACATGCAAAAACCTTTCACTCCTGACTTCCTTCCCACATTCTCACACAAAGAATAAATAAAGAGAATGTCACCAACAAGCATCAACCACTGCGTTTCAATAGACCCTTTGCTCTTAGGAGAGGGACAGACGAATTTCTAAAAAAAAATTTTCTCTCTCTCTCTGACACATTCATGACTTGGCATCCTATAGCAAGTTAAGTATTTTTCCAAACACAGCTAAACTGGTGTGCAGAAAGCTAATGAATTCTGCTAAAAGAAGCTTTCATCTGCAAGTCACTAAAATGTTCTGTTGTTTATTCCCCACCATTTCTTTATTTCTCCACAGTCCTCTCCCCCTACACACACACACATACACACACACAAACACACACACACACACTCATATGCACCCTCCCTCTCACATGCTCACACACATTTCCTTATTGCCATTCCTTTGAAGGGAAAAAAATTCCGGATCCCAAATCTCTGGCAAGGTTCTCTTACAAGATCCTCGGGAAAAGGGCAACTAGTTTTTGCTTAGTGCCTTCTGAATTCCAGGGGACCCCTCAGCCTTGGCTCGGGCCCTCCCAGCACCCCTGCCAGGAGGATAGGCAACCCGTCATACAGATGAATAGCCTGCAGGTCAGAGAGGTGAAGTGACTTGCCTAAGGCCACAAAGACAGGCTAGAGTTGAAAGTCGAGTGTCAAAGCACTCCACATGGCAGTCTGGAAATTCTGCGGGTAATTTCTGAGCGCCAGAAATAAGCTTTTGAAGATCTCCTTTGAGTAAAGCTCATTCATTACTGCACCCAAGAGTATTTCCTCCCCTCTCACAGATAATAGCAACATCAGGAATTTTATCCAAGTTTCATTTACCTCATACCTAGTGTTTCATCTCATCCTTAGCTAACTCTTGGAGACCAGGAGGATGGGGTAGTTTCTACTGCCATTTTGCAGGCAGGTAGACTGAGCCTTGGAAAGGTAAAGTGACTTTTCCAGGGGTCCTCGGTTGATTGGCATGAGGGCAGAGGCTAGAACCCATGTTTCCGTGCCTTACTATGGATGTGGGTATCATCACCTGAGTGGGAGACTATAGAGAGGAGAGGTTTTCAGAGTGACACTGCAGGTAATTTTTTAAAAGTCTAATCTTGTTTTGTCAGTTGCAGACATCATTTATTTGACCTTTGACCCCAGTTTCCACATCCGCCAAATGGAGATAATAATTGCTGCAGGATTCAACGTCAGAAAAGGAAAGAAGTTGGATTTTAAACAATTCTGAATTTAAAAAACAGCAACCATTCCATAGACCCTGTAAGAGACATTACTAGTGCTCACGAATGGCTTGCTTGTCTCTCTGTCCAGGTGCGGGAAAGTCTGCATCTCCAGCCTGCTTGGCTCAGCAGGGCCAGGGGACTTGCTTTGACCAATGGGTGTGAGCAGAAGTTACAAATGTCACTTCAAAAGCATTTAATTGCTGGCTTGAGAACCCCCTCTTTCTCTCTCTTCGTCTTTGGCATTGACTGAGAAGACTTCCTGTTCCAGATGATGATGTAGAAGATGGTGGAATGTCCTTCCACCGGGATTGTGGAGCTGTTGCATAGAGAACAGTTGCCCTGTTCTCTGGCCTAGACCCAGAACACACTCTGCATGGTGAAAATGCAAGCTTTCTGTGAGAGCCACTGAGATTTGGGAGTATCTGTTACTGCAGCATAACCTAACTTACTGCAGTTAATAGTCACTATAATGTGGGCATGTAAGTTAAGGAAGAGTCTCTCAAAATGACTCAAATTAGTTTGCTTCCAGATTACCCATGGCGATGAGGGACACAGCCTACTTACCTGCTAAAAAACCCTTTGCCCTGCCTTTCCTGGCCTTGTTTTCTGGCCTGGTCTTCTCCTCCAAGCCTGGGGCAGACTTCTGCTGAGTCCTTTCTGATTCCTGCTCACAGAAGGGAGACCTTCTGGGGTCTGGGGAGTTTTCATGTCCTACCCATGACCTCCTACCCACCCCATGTACTCCTGCACCTGCTCAGGCCTCAGTACCCCTCACCTGGACCACAAAACTCCTCTCTGGCCTCCTTGTTCCAAGTCCTCCCCTTCCTGTCCATTCTCCACACTGCCCTTTGGTGGTTTGTCCAAAACACTACAGTAATTAGGTCACTCACTGCCTAGAACCCTCCATGGCTCCCTTTTGCCCTCAGGATAAAGACCAAGTTCCATAACTGAGCTCTTCTGGATCTCATGCCTTCAAAACTTAGTTGAAATGTTCCCTCTTCCCTGACTGTTTGCACTCTCACACACAGTTTTGTAATTTCATTGTTTACACATCAATATCCCCCACTAGACTGTAGGCAACTTCAAGGGCAACATGAGTGTTGAGTCCAGAATTTGATCATAGTAGGCAATGAAGGAATGTTTGTTGAGTAGATAAATAAATAAATTATCTAAATTGAGTTCTAGTTCTTCTGTCAACTGAGTGTATGATTCTGGGCAGTTTATTTCTCCCTCTGAGACTCAATTTCCTCATCTGTAGATTAGGGTGAATAAGGTTTTCCTTGCCTATTACATTAGCTATAGTTTTTAAACTCCAGGCCCTTTTGGAGGACAGAATATTTGCAATTCCAGGGGATGTGGGACCACAGCATACCATGTCTGAGGATTTTGGGGGAGAGTAATGAGATAATTGATGCAAAAATGCTTTGGAGCCTGTACAAAGTTAATGGATTGTTGTTCAGACCCAGTCCCTGCCTTTGGAGCTTACATTCTAGAAGGGAGATAGAAACACATGGGGTGCATTCTCTTATCACCCACCCTAGTCCATGGCAGGTATTACAAATCATTCACTGCACTTTAAGCAGGCATCTCCAATTGATTCATATCGAACTGGGAGATACAATCTATTTGCCATTCTGGCTACAGAAGGAGAAACAATCTTTCCAATCCCAGACAACCATGTTAAGTGCCTCATTGACCCCAGAGAATCAAAACCTCAGCCTCTGTTTATTGAGCACTGGCTTCAAGCCTGGTCCTCTCCCCACATAATCTCTTCCAATCTTCATGACGATCCTGCAAGTCAGAGACTATTTACTCCCATTCTCCCCTTTCACAGACCAATCTCTGAGACCAATACCTGGGGCTGCTGACCCCAGTCCACCCATTTGAGCCTGGGTCTGTCTCCAAAGGACACGCTCTTGCCACCCTTCCACACTACCTCTCTCAAACAGGAGTGCAGCAGGTCAGGCACGGGCCACAGATATCAGTGGAGCCATCCACAGGGCTGTAGAGAGAACTAACACCCAGCTACACCTTTTCCGGCAGGAATTTTTTGTTCCTGCTGTATTCAGAGGGCCTGCCAGGACTGGAGTCTGTCTGTTGGGAAAGGCGGCTCATGCTATTTTGATATTGAACCCATGTCCACGGGCCCAGTGATGGACAAGCCTTTTACACATCTCACAAATAAAACTCACAGAGTCATTTTCAGCTTGGCCCGAGCTGTGGGCACAGCCCCAGAGGACTTGGCTCTGCTAATTCTCTCATCAGCCTAATAGGAGAACAATTATCACAGTCAGGATACAAATTTAGCTCCAGACACTTCTCTGGGAACTCAGAGGGCTTGTGACTTATGGCTTCATTTTAAAGAGGAGCAGATTGTTGACATGAACTCTGGGTAGTTCTCATTTTTCTCGAGGAACTAAGCTGTACTTGCTGTTAATGGTAGAATCATTAGGTCATGGCTGAGGTCCACAAGAGGATAGGAAACCCAGCAGCTTGGATGTAGGCTGAGCTCTCTATAATTAACCTAATAGCCTGTTTATTTGACTATCTCAATTACAGACTCATTTAAATAGCATTAAAAATAAAAGATGAGCCCCAGGAGCAGCAGAAGAAACATAAGGATGCTCTTTTGTCCAAGATTTCATAGGACACTATTTGAATGCATAAAAAGCCACTGATAGAGCAGCCACCAGGAAAACTTTCTTTAAAAAACTTTAAATTGAGGCAAAAAAAATGCAAACATGAGCAAGACTGAGCACCCGCAGGCATGTTTTATAGCGAAGTCAAATGATCAGGGTTTGGATGTCAGCTCTGCCAGGGGTTGGATGAAACTTGTGCGAGTCATCTAATCTCTGGAAACCTCACTCTCCCCCTTGGAGGATCCATGGAAAGGGGTCAGCTGATATGGATTACCATCATAGCTAACACATCTTGAGCATTTATGTGCCAGGCATTGTTATACACCCTTTATTTACAGTAACTCATTTAGCTCTTACAGTTCCACGATGAAATAAGTGGTATTATCATCTTCCATTTTACAGACGAGGAAGCCGAGGCACAGAATAGTTAAGTGACAAAACAATGCTCAAGGTACCAGTGTGTGGAGTGTGGAAGCTGGGATTTGAAAGCAGGCAACCTGGCCCCAAAGTCTATGTGCATAACCTCTAGTCTACCCTGCCCTGGGAAGAACCTGCACCACCAGAGGCCTTCAAAACATGATTAAGTTGAATCTATTTCTTTTTCTTTGTGTTGCAAGCGTGGCTTTCCGATGGTTGTGCACATTTTTCTATCTGATATAAATAGCTTTTTTATTTTTCTCCCTCTGTCCCCGCTCCAAATATCAGTCAATACTGGAGAGAAAATAACTGTTTCTGGTTCATGGTGACAAGGTCAAGGCTCCTTTGGAGAATGCTTGTTGGTGCTGTCTCCGTCCTGGGCTGAGAAATCACGGCATTTATTTTAAGCTGAAACTTTCTTATATTTAAAGCTTGTCATCAGGCTGAAGTTTGTTTATTGCATTCCATAATTATGATGAATATATTTTAAATAGAAAAAGATTTGAAATGTAGGACAGCTGCAAAAAATATGGTGTCAATCACTGAGAATCAGCCCACATCTGGAGTTAGAACTTGGGTGGGAATGGCTTGTTTTGCATTTTTATGACCAGATGCATCCAGATTAGATGTACCTTATAAACTTCACCCAGACAACTGTCAGGGCCAATCAGCCTTAATTGAATGCGACATTTTCTCCACCAATCCGCCCTGAGCCCAGGCCAAGAATCCCCCCTGTATCACGCACAGGCCCTGTGTGAGCTCTGCTCGCTGTGCACATCGGATCTGTCAAACACAGGCCAAATTAAATACTGGACTTCATTCCACAATGACTTCCAATTAGGGCAGAATGAAGTCCGGAGGGCTTTGAATGCCCCCCTTGGCCCTGTTACTTGGAGACACAATCAGTGGAAAAAGGGGAGCCAAGAGGTCTGCTGCACCCCCATGCTGTGCCCTGTGCATTGTGCACTTAATATGTGCCAGCCTCATGCATTGAGCACTTACTGTATGCCAGTGATCACGCCTGGCCCCTTACATACACCCTCCCTCTTAGTCCTTCCAACAGCCCTGCAAGGTGAACACGACGCTCCCACTTGACAGGCCAGGAAATGGAGGTTCAGAGAGATGAATGGAGGTTCTGGCCCAAGTTTGCAGGCCAGGAAAGCTTGAATATTCTCATCAGCCACCTTCATTTGGCTAATGGTGGTTGTCAAACTCCCATGGGGACATTCAGACGCATGGGAGGGCATTTTGGTTTGTTCCAATGACTGGAAGGGCATTACTGGCTTCAGTGCCAGGGACCCGGGAATGCTAAACCTCTTGCGACGGGGAACAGAGCCAAAGAGTGAAGAACGGTCGCCTTATCCCCCAACCCTCGCTCATCTATTATCTCTTGATCTGATCCCACACAGGCTGGCACCTAAAATTAGGGAGTATATCATTCAGTTTGCAAATCAGGAGGCTTTGAGAATATTTTCTTATTCCAGATTTCCCAAGACATCGTGTGTTGATACATAACTAACCCTCAAGTGCCAAAGATTGTAACGGAGAAGGGGAAAGAGGACAAGAGGAGAGAAGGGGGAGGATTTCATCTGTTCCAAGGGAATATCTAGTAAATATCACCCCTCAAAATTATTATCAAGGTCATCATTATTACCTCTAAGGTTTGCAAATCAAGGCCGAATTCTACTACAGGTGTGTGTGAACAATAAAATCTTCACAATCTAAGATTTCTACTTCCCAAACTAGAACTAGGGGAGTCTCTTAAAGGAGTAATCAATCATAATAAGAAAAATACTGTCTCATGCTCCAGCTCCTATTCCATGAGCTTAACTTATGTCATCTCCAATCCTTACAGGAATCCTGTGATGTGACAGCTATTATTCTGGCCTTTGCAGAGATGAAGAAACTGAGGCTCAGAGAGGTTAAGGGACAGCCCAAAGTCACACAGCTAGCAGGAGGCAGAGCCATATTTTGAGTCTGATTCAATGAACTGGACCCATTTTCTGAACCTTGAACTCCAAGGAAATCATAGCTAGTTTTGGTGACGAAATGCAAACCAAAAGTGTTGTTTTTTCTTAAAATCACCTCTTGAACTGGTTTGAATGAAAATCCAAAATGAACATGTACTTAACTATTAAACCAGAGAAGGACTGGAACATCAAAATATTGGCAAGACCAAGCATAAATGGAGGTCTCTCTCCACCAGCACGCCTGGTTTTAACAAGTACCATCATTTGTGTCTAGTTCTGGGTAACAAAGAGATTTCCACAAGTCAGCAGCCTACGATGAAAGGATGTTGCTGATCTGGTTACAACAAACTCTATTAAGTAAAAAAATTCCATCTGACAGAGGTTTTCATCAGTCCCTCTCCCTACTGGAGACACTCTCCTCAATAAGAATATGAGTTTGGGATTTGTCTTTTTGTGAAATGAAAATGAAATTAACCAAGAATTTACAAAAAGCTTTCACTCACCAAGGTTGCAAACTCAGAGGCCTCCAGGGGCCAGCCAGGTGAGTGGAATAAATGGAGTCTGAGCATGCTGTGCAATAGGGAGTGGTGAGGACTGTGGCAAACTGAAGAGCCCATGCTGGGGCCAGCTGCAACTCAACTCCAGTCATTTATTTCATAGTGACACTAGATCGGCAGGTTTTTTGACTTTTCAAGGGAATATGGGATTTTGGTATAAAGTTTCCTGGTAGTGGAAGGTTGATAACAAATTTAAAAATAAATTATATAAGACAAACCAAAAATGCCTGTGTCCCAAAGTCACCTGTGGGCTGCCGATTTATGACCCCTGACACCTCACACCTCCTTGATCCTCACAACGGCTATGAGGGTGGGCACCATGAGCATCGTCATGTAACGGTGGAAGAAATGGGTTCAGAGAGAGCAGCTATCACGCCCAAAGCCACACAGTGGACTCTCTCATGGAATGCAGAGGCACTGGGTACCAACGACCTCACTTCAAATTGGTATGTGGGTACTAATGACCTCACTTCAAATTATCTAAAGACTTTGACAAATTAAACAAAACCCATGTTGGTATTTGTTCTTCCAAAAGCCATCCCTCTTCCCACTTCTCCTCTGTGTGTCTTGAGTCTCCCTCTGCCTTTTTCTTATAAGGACACCTGTCATTGGATTTAAGGCCTACCTGGATCACCCAGGATGAATTCACCTCCAGATCTTTAAGTTAGTAACAACTGCAAAGACCCTTTCCCTGATTACAGTCACATTAGCAGGTTCCAGGGGTTAGGACATGGACATATCTTTGGGGGGACAGCCACCATTCAACCTACTACATATTCCTTCTCCATTTATCTGCCTCTTAAATTTAAATTTGTGTTTAAATTCAGGACTCCCAACCTGCTATATGATGGTGGCACCCCAATATAAATAGCCTGCTGGGATGGTGGAGTCCTCAGGAGAGGGAAACCCCTCACCCAGATGACTAGCTGATGCCCTTCCTGTACTGTTGATTGTCTTAAATGACTAATGGTGTGAAATGATAGTGTCCAGCCAGGCACAGTGGCTCACACCTGTAATCCCAGCACTTTAGGAGGCCAAGGTGGGTGGATTACTTGAAGTCAGGAGTTTGAGACCAGCCTGGTCAACATGGTGAATCCCCGTCTCTACAAAAATACAAAAATTAGCCAGGTGCGGTGGCGCATGCCTGTAATCCTAGTTGCTCGGGAGGCTGAGGCATGAGAATTGCTTGAACCCGGGAGGCGGAGGTTGTAGTGAGTGGAGATCACGCCATTGCACTTTAGCCTGGATAACAGAGTGAGACTCTGTCTCAAGAAAATAAAAGAAAAAAGAAAAGAAAAGAAAAGAAAAGAAAAGAAAAGAAAAGAGAAAAGAAAAGAAAGGAAAGGAAAGGAAAGGAAAGGAAAGGAAAGGAAAAGAAAAGATAGTGTCCTATTTGCATTTTTCTAGGAAAACATCCTTCTAGACTCCCAGAAAGAAAAGCCATGACACTGTGGCACTGGGATGATGGGTCCAGTGCTTGCCAGCGAGCAGCACAGCCTGTCCAAATTAGACTACTTTGCAGAGGGAAGTGCTTCAGAAAGCTAAGGCTCTCTCGCTTGGGTCTACTGGTATCAAAAGTCACCAGCCCAAAGAACAGTATTTGAACAGCTCAAAAGTATTATCTTCAAAAATTGCACATATACAATACTGGACTGATAAGAAAGTTCCCTCCAGTTTCCTTCTGGGAAAACGCCCTAGTAGCCATGTTTGTTACTGACAGGCAATGACGGGTTTTCCTTTCCCCTTTCTTGCTGCTCATGCACTCTTAACTAATTGAAGGAGCCCAGCCAGCAATAGAAAACAGTACGTTACAAGCAACCAGCTGAAAAGAAAGGTTTTATCTTTCAATCAACAGGAGATTTTTTAATAGGGGGAGGACACACAGGAAGCAAGCATTCTGGGAAACAGCTATGAGGGATTTGGGCTCTGAAAGGAAAGAAACTGGGGTGGAGGTGGGGACTGAGGTCTGCTTGCTGGCCCCTGCTAAATTTAGGTTGAGGGTGAGGGCAGAGCCAGGTAACTGAGAAGTGAGCATCCTCACTGTCTACAAAGTACTTTCACAACTTTTGTTTAAGCCCAAGGCAGATGCCATGGGAGCCGGTTGGAATGGAGGTAAAAGCACTGGGGTCAGACCCAGGGCTGAAGGTCCGGCAGTTCTACCCACTGAGCTGTGTGACCTTGGGCAAGTGACTGGCCCTCTCTGAGCCTCAGTGTTCTCAGCTATGAAATAGGGACAATAGCAGTACATATGCTGCACCTTCAATAATTATTTCACTTCTAAACTAGAAAATGGACTGTCACTTTGTGGAAGGGTTTTTTACTTTATAAAGGAAATTGCCACAGCACCCATGAACTTGACCTTCCATTTGTAATAATACCTGCAGTTTCTCAAGAGATTAGTTATTGCATGGACCCACAAAGAGACCTCCCACACCTAGAGAGGGCTTTCATCTGTATCCAACCCCCATCTGCAAATTCGGGATGTCAATAATAATTGCAAGCTCTCTGAGCTGTATGAAGACAAACTGAAAAGATACATGGGGTAGCAGTTAAGATGCTTTTGTTAGTAGAAAGACACAAGTAATAAAAACCTGGTCTCAAATTCAAGGGTGGCTTTAAATTTCCTTAAAATTTATGATCTCATGTAAGAGTTTCAGAGGCACAGTGGCTTCAGGGTGGGTTGGACCCATAGTTCAATGCTGTCATCAGAGTTTCTCCATCTCTCTGCTCTGTCATCTGCAATGATGGCTTCATTCCAAAAATCCAAACAAGATGGCACCAGAAGTCCCAGGCATCACATCCAAGTATAGCAATGTCCAGAAGAGGACCAAGTACCTTTTCCAGTAGCTCACTGGTAGAGGGGAGAAGACTATGTCTAGCAGCAGGTATGCTCTTGCCTCTGCTTAGATAGACTTAAGTTATCTGATGATTCCTGACGTGATTATTTGTCAAGGTACAAGGGATAGCCTGGAATTGGAGAAGGGTCAACCTCTTCCAAAGCATATGGCTCTGTAGTAGGGGGAATAACTTATGCAAAAAAGAAGAAAAAGAGTATCTTTGTTGGGTTCTTCTAGAAGCAGAACTTACACTTGAACTTCCTTATTTGGAAACACCAGCAGGAGAATGAGGAAGTGGGACAGAGGAGGAAAGACAGCTTTCATCAGGCCAGTTGCTACTGTGGGTAACTGCAGCTGAGGCCACTGAGAAACCTGGGAGATGATGTGGAACACACCTCGGAGGTAACCCGAACTAGGGCCAGGAAGCTAAGGTATTTCTCCACAGCACCCTGTTTATCCTGAGTTCAGGGATACTTCCTTCCAGTACATTAACCAGCACTTTAACGTTGCCCTGAGTTCAGACCTAGCAAGTTTCCACAGATAGAAAAAATCCCTGAGGCAGAGAATTGCAGGTGTTTGCAGATGGAGGTGAGGCAATGGGCGGGGCATCGACAGCATCTGAAACAGGAGGATGGAGCCTGGGTTGGCAGCCAGCAGCAGTAACCCTTTTCAGTTAGAGAAGACAGAGCCCATCTTCTTAGCATGACCAAGAGCAGGAGGCCCTTCTTGACACGAGCCACACGATGTCCAGGACATATTTGTCACTTGAACAATAGAATTTTTCATAAACTCCTCAAAGGCCCAAGGTCTCATCTCATCACATGCAGACTGACAAATCCTTCCAGATCTTTCCTCTGTGTTCCTAGGTCGTCTCTCCTGGGAGTGCCCTTGAAATCACTGGGATTCTAAAACAAAGAAAATAACACTACTACTAATAATAACAATAATAGCAGAGGCTACCAGTTTGCGCACCTACAAAAGTCCAGGAATTATGTTTCCATGTATCTTATTTAACCCTCACAGCCACCCTGTGAGGTGGGTCATGTTATCATCCCCATTCCATAGATGAGAAAATTGAGAAACAGAGAAGGGACTGGCTTAGCTAAAGTCATAAAGGAATGGCGGAGGTGAATCTCAGCACAGGCAGCCAGTGGGCTCATAAGAAGTGCTGAGCAGGGCCTGGTGCAGTGGCTCACACCTGTAATCCCGGCACTTTGGGAGGCTGAGGTGGCCAGATCACTTGAGGTCAGGAGTTTGAGACCTGCCTGACCAACATGATGAAACCCCATCTCTACCAAAAATACAAAAATTAGTCAGGCATGATGGCAGGTGCCTGTAATCCCAGCTACTCAGGAGACTGAGGCAGGAGAATTGCTTGAACCCGGAGGCCGAGGTTGCAGTGAGCTGAGATTGCACCACTGCACTCCTGCCTGGGCGAGAGAGTGTCTCTGGAGGCAGCAAAGAGGGTCCAATGAGCGCTGGAGCGCCACGTGAGCCTCCTTCTAGGCTGCGAAAGCATGTAGTAGGTTCAGTAACAATTGGTTGAATAAAAAAAAGTCTCCATAAATGTTATGGGGTGAGTTCCCCCATTTTAGGAATAAGGAAATGGAAGGGGATAAAAGTTCAAATCCAAGAACACTCTAAAGGAGCTAGGATTGAAACCAAGGTCTCTCTGACCTCAAGCTCTTTTCCACCACACTGTGGGGTCTGTGGTTGTGTACTGGCTGTTGAGACCAGAACCACAGGGACCAGCTGACTGTCTTGCGGTGGCTGAGAGCTGAGGCCTTGGCTCTGGCCACCACACTGTCCCTGCCCACCGTGGATCCTAAAGGGCTGTGGGAGGGAGGGTTTGGGCCCTTGCTGCCCAACTGAAACACAGTGTGAACCGCAAGTGCAAGCCACATACATAAGTTTTAATTTTCCAGTAGCTACATTAGAAAAGTAAAGAGAAACTGGTAAAAATAATTTTATTATATATTTTGCTTAACTTAATATATATCCACATATTATAAATTTAGTGTATAGTCGATACAAAACATGACAAATGAGTTTTCTTTCTTTCTAATTTTTTTAAGGATTTCAAATCCAGTGTGCATTTTATACTTACAGCACATCTCCATTTGAAGTAGCCATACTTCAAGTGCTGAACAGCCACTAGGCTGGGCAAGTTTGGATGATTCAGAGAAAACTTTGCCCTTCCCACTCTCCTCTCGTTCACCTCCTACACACATGCCACACACGAAAAATCAAATCAATATACATACATACATAACGTTTTATATATATATATATACACATATATATATATAATATATTTCTCAAAATGACAAGAGTATAGAGCTAGAGAACAGGCTGGCGATTGCCAGTGGTTAGGAAGAAGAGGAGAGATGAGCGGGTGTGATCCTCCAGGGTATCCCGAGGGAAATCATGATGATGATGGAATAGTTCTGTGTCTTGATTGTGGTGGTGGTTACACAGATCATCAACATGGGATAAAATGACCTAGAACTATACACACAGACTGCACTCACGTCAATATCCTGACTTTGACATTGTACTAGAGTTATGTAAGATGCCACCATCGGGAAAAACCAGATGAAGGGTACATAGGAATTGTCTGTATTATCTTTGCAGCTTCCTATGAATTTATATTTATTTCCAAACTAAAGGCTTAAAAAACAAAAAGAACAGAAAAGAAAAAGGAAACAACCTAAATGTCCAAAAATACGAGATTTTGGTTAAATGAACTATGCTGTCAGTCACTTTACATATACATTTTATTGTGTATACATTATATTTTATTTATTTATTTATTTTGAGATGGGGTCTCACTGTGTCATCCAAGCTAGAGTGTAGTGGCACAATCTCGGCTCGCTGCAACCTCTGCCTCTCCGGTTCAAGTGATTCTTGTGCCTCAGCCTCCCAAGTAGCTGGGACTACAGGTGCACACCACCATGTCCAGCTAAATATTGCATTTTTAGTAGAGCCAGGGTTTCACCATGTTGGTGTATATACATTTTATTGTACATTGCCGTACAATGAAATGATTCTGAGCCATTTAGAATGATCAAGAAAACCACATAGGCAGACAAAGAAAATCGGAATACACGACAGCATATCCTGTAAGATTTCCTTGTTGTAACTAGGTTTGTGTGTGCACCAGACACACGAAAGTCTGATAGGATAAGACACAATGTTAGCGGTGGTTATCTCTGGGTGACTTTCGTCTTTTGAACTGCCCAATGTTTTATGATGCACATGTATTACTTTAGTAATCAGGGAGAATATGCTATTTCTATGTTGGGGAAAAAAAAGAAAAGTGTAAGAAAGTGGCCGAAGGGCAGCAGATTGTGTGGCCATGCCATCGTTCTATCCCGAACGCAGCTCCATGAAGGTGTGCAAAGGGAGGCCAGCAAAGAAGTTCTCCCAGGGGAAGGGACAGTGAAATATGTGCTTTGCTTTCTGGCAGGAACCAAACAAAAGGAGATGGAGTGATTCAGACCAAAGGCCACAGCACGTCAGGAATAAAACAGCACCTGGTATATTACAGTCCCAAAACACGTGTGTGGACTAGGGGTGGGGATGTGTAAAAAAAAAAAGAGAAACTGGTTGCTGAATCTGGGTAGGAATTCAGCTATGAGCGCTCTCTGTCTCTCTCTCTCAAATAGTCTTTGGTACTTTTGCTCTGTCATCATTTCTGTTAAGAGAAGCACCTGGTTTTATATTTGCAACCACAAGCTCAAAATGCCTTTCTGCTGGGTTTGTCTACATCTGGGCCCAGGGAGGCCACAGCCCCTGAGTAAATCACCCTGAAGGCTCAGCCAGGGACCTGGATGAGCAGAAATTTCTGTGAAGGTTGGGGTGGCAATTAGGACTTGCATGAATAATCCAGACAACAATCACCAGGGTAATTAATATTTCTTTTATTTTAAAGAATTTACTGTGCCCCAGACACTGTCTGTCGCTGCTCTGCATTACTTTCTAAAATTGGTATTGCTCCGTTTTACAGATAAACTGAGGACTAGGGGAGGTAACCAGCTGAAGGTCATGCAGCTAGTCCTGGATGGAGCCAGGGGGGCCCCAGTCCCGTCTGTCCCCAAAGCTACGTTCTTTCTACACGGGGCCTTGGGTGGTCCCCTTCATTTTCCTTGGGGACACGAGGATAAACGGAGGAAGGCAGAGTTTGCACAGAACCTTGTGGCTCCCCTCGAGGGTAGACATCTGCTGGTGCCACCCGAATGGCCACTCCTGACGGAGCGGGTCCCAGGATGGCGAGGCTGCGCGGGCTGGGACGGGATCTCCTGCGCACAGGCTCCCCCTTATGGAAATGAGGGAGACGCCGCTGCAACTCCAACCTGCCGCTCCACCCAGACAGAGGCGCTGGGAAGGGCTGCCCACGCCCACCCAGCCCTGCGCCTGGATGACGGCCCGCCCCGGGCTTCCTGCTCGGAGCGCGCTCTGGCCCCTAGAGCAGGCATCTTCTTTGGCGTTCCACTCGAGGACGTGTTCTTGAATCCACACGCTACTGAATGTTGATAAATAAAATAACATAAGCTGACAGAGGCCTGAGAAGAAGCGATGATATTTACAATGGGCTTCTCAGGGAGCTTTTCCTGTTTCGACACCAGAAGGAAAACATCCTTGCTTTAAAATATATATAGCATGTGTAATGTTTTATTTCCTAGGATGGCTGAGAACTGCTTTCTAACCATAGAGCTTTGGTTGAATTCTGTTCCCTCCGTGAGCCTCAGCGCCCTCATCTGTAAGATGGGTGTGATGACACTGATCTCATAGGATGGTTGTGACCTGTGCCCATAAAGGGCTTTAGGTCCTTCTGGGAATCTTACAATTCCAGTGCTCATTCACTTACTCAGTAATTAAGCCACTCAAAAAAAGTGTTTACCCAGCACCCACTATGTGCCAGGCACAATGAGGAAATCAGACAGGGGCCCTCTGTGTCTTTAAAAACAAGGGTGAGGCCTGGCTGCCAGGAGGCACGCAGGAAATGGAGGAAGCCCTCGGGGAAGGGAGGACAGAGAGAAGGAGCGACCACGTGATTTCCCTGACCTGCAGCCCACTGGGTCAGCTGGACCGGGAGCCAGGACACCTGACTCTAACTTGGTCCCTATTTCTCTGTGACCTTGTCCTCTGCTCCTCCCTCCCTCTCTCTGAGCCTCCATTCACCCACCTGCAAAATGGAGGAGCAGAAGGGAACGCCTGGTGGAGGTGCTGTGATTTGACCAGCCAAGCCTCCTTTGGATTAAAAGACAGCCCTGCTTCAGACTGTCCCCCATCCCTGTCCTCCATGGTCGTCCCCCCATCATGGTGCCCCCATGGGGTCCTCTTGCCTGTTCTCCCTGAGCCCTAGAACACTGTCCCTGCTCTTTAGACGTAGGCAGGGTTGGGCAGGGGGACCTGGCTCTGTAATCTGAACCTCAGTTTCCTCATCTATAAAAGGATTTGTAAAAGGGATCCTTGGTGGTTTGATTCTGAGGATTTAACAATAAGGACTCCAAAGTGCAAGGGTGGGAGAGTGCTTTGTAGCCATCCATGCCCTCCACAGATAGACAGTCCTGTTGATCTTATTATCTGGGGCATCCCTGTGGAAGCGCGTCCTCTGGGGTGGGCTTTGAGGGGATGGGAAATGAAGAGATTCAGCTGTAGGGCTTGCCAAGTAAATACCCCTAGACTTCCTGAAGGAGGAGATTCCAGAGCAGGCTGCTGGGATGAGAATGAGTTTGCAAATTGAGTGGCAGGGCTGTCAGTGTGGGGAGGGGGATATTCCACGTGGAGGAAACTGAGTATACAGAAGTTCGTGTATTGAAATAGCCTGGAGGCTGGCTTTGATCCTAATAAGGGAAGATCTTCAAGCTAGTATTCTGCGCGGGAGGGCAGCCAACATGGGGGTTTGGGAAGAGGAGGCTGGTAAGGCAGGCAAGACACCCTGGGCATGAAGGGCTTTGGATGCCAAGACCTTTGGGACTTTGGATTTCAGACCAAGGGAAGCCATGCTTGTGTAACTTGGGCGGAGCAGAGAGGGGAATTGAAGCGGGAGAGACCAGGGTGGCAATAATCCAGTGGGGAGAGAGAGTGAGAGCTGGCTGCGGTCAAGGCTGTGGGGATGTGGAAAAGGGAAAGTATTTGAGAGATGTTCCCGAGATGGCCCCAACGGGGCTGCATGATGGATTGACTGTGGGGCGTGAGGCAGAGGGAAGATCTTACCATCTAGCTGGAGGGCCCAGACAGACACCCGGGAACAAGAGTGAAGTAGATGAGAGAGAGGATAATTAAGTGCTAAATTGTGCAGCTTAATTTATTGTCTGGATAGTTGCCTTGTACTATAAACCCCGTTGCTCTAATGAGCTCATGACATCAGTCAGCAAGGAAAGTATGCCTAACGCATTGCCCATCACACTGGGGCCATCTGTGGGCACTGCCCAGATGCCTATCTGGACAGACACTCTGGCTGCCAGGCTTCTGGACTCAGTTTGCAATTGAGGGTACCAACAAGTGCCAGGCCAGGGCACCTCTGGCAAAATCCCTTCCTTAGAAGCTTCAGAATCCAAAAGGCCAGGGACTCCCAGGGGTTTAGTTCCAAAGAGGAAGGAAGGAGGCACAGAGTTGGAACTTCACTGTAATGCAAGAGCATGGGTCCTGCCCCAGGGTCCAGGGGAGTTGGATTCACATCTAGCCCCCTTCCTGCTTATGTGACCTTGGGCTGGCCTCCAACCCTTCTGAGCCATTCATTGTCTTATCTGTGAATTCAAGCAAGCACCCAGAAAGTGTTCTGTGAACCTCAGTTATCATGAAAAGATTCTCCCAGTTGAGGCCGGGCATGGTGGCTCACACCTGTAATCCCAGCACTTTGGGAGGCCGAGGCGGGTAGATCACAAGGTCAAGAGATTGAGACCATCCTGGCCGACATGGTAAAACGCTGTCTCTACTTAAAATACAACAAATTAGCTGGGTGGTGGCATGCGCCTCTTAGTCCCAGCTACTTGGGAGGTTGAGGCAGAAGAATCACTTGAACCTGGGAGGCGGAGTGTGCAGTGAGCCGAGATTGTGCCACTGCACTCCAGCCTGACAACAAAGTGAGACTCTGTCTCAAAAAAAAAAAGATTCTCCCAGTTGAAAAAGATGTTGAAAACAATAGGTATGTAAGAGCACCCACCTTACTTACTTCTCATGGACCACATCCCAGGCCTGGAGCTCCTGGGGATGCAGAGAATTTATTCTGTCCACCTACACTGGAGGGGAGAAGACAATTCACCCTTGATTCTATTACTCCGTTTATTGAGTCTTTTAAAGAGATTTTCAGTGTGTGATAAAGAGAGAGGGGTTTGTCTTGGTGAAAACCAGAGGCTTTTTGAAGAAAATGCACCCCAAACAGGCCTTGGATAATAGTCTAGACTTTCTTGCCAGAGAAATAGCCCCTTGCACTTGCTCTTCTTAACAAGGTTGCTGGAAATATCTTTGTTGGAAGTGCTTAGAAGAATATCTGGTTAGAGGGGTAGGGGCGAGGGTGAAATGCAGCTGCATTTACAGAGAATTTTATATGACATTGAGAAGGGTCCATTTTCCATAGCAAGGAAAATCAAATCTGATAGAGATTGTGGAAGAGGCCAAAGCTCCCACTAGCCCATCTCCCCCAGGCCACCATTCCTCATAACACTGACTGCAATCGTAATGGAGAGATTGTTTGATTTTCTGCTTAAAATATGCACCACCACCCTTCCTGCAATAGAGGATGCCTGGCACAAGATAAGCACTCAATACATTTTTGTTGAATAAATGAATGAAGAAAGCAGAGGCAGTAGTCAAAGACATTCACGTGGAAACAAGATTTTCTTTTCACTTATCGGGTCACCGAAGATTAAAAAGTGATCACTCATATCCAGCTTTGAACACAGTGAGAAGGAACAGCACTCTGGATACTTTCTGGGGTGGTAGAGTGACAGATCTTCCCAGGGCACACTTTGGCCACCAAAGACTTACAAAATGCTCATGCTCTTTAACACAGCAACACCACTGCTCGGGAGGGAGTCTCAGGAGTAGAAAGACGTCTCACCGTGAGATACTGGAAACAACCTAAATGCTCAACACTAGGGCATTGGTTTAAAAAACTGTGATGATCCTTGGAATGTTATGGACGCATTTAAAATCACGATAGAGGTGTGTATACACGGAAACGTGCTCACAATGTGTTAAGCAGGGGAGAAGCAATCGCCGTTCCACAAGGTATATATACACCAAGTGAGCCTGAGGGACAGTGACCTTCTCTGGGCATTTTTATTGTCTCTTTTTTTGCCTACCTGTATTTTGACATTACAAAAAAAAAGGAGAATGTATTACTGCTCTAAAACAATAAAGCTGTCTCCACATTGATATTTTCTAAGAAGAAGAAGAAAGGTGAAGGTAGTGGAAGCAGGAACTGTGCCAGAGCTTCTTAGATTTTCCTCTGTCCCGATGGTGCCTCTGCTTCCGGAGGGGCTCTCCGCTCATCCAGGGACACCCCCAATTCTCTCCCCCAAGACAGGGAACAAGTAGGACAGCCACAGACCCTCCCTTCCCAGGGACAGTTGCGGTGTCTGTCTCATGACAGCCCTTTGGGGGCACCTCCTCTCAGCTGGGGTCCTCAGGACCACACTGTTGGCAATGACCACAAGCCCCATTGGAGGCTCATTCTCAGCCGCTTCCTCATTCCCAGGTCCTGGGCTTAGCCTCGTGTCCAAAGTCAGCCCAAGCTGGCTCTGGGTTCCTGCTATGCAGCTCATCCGTGGCACTGCCTCACCTCTCAGAGCCGTCTCGCGTGTAACTAAGGGTTGCCATATCCAGATTGTGGGGTGTTGCCCTCTCTGCTCCCGCTTCCTCTCCCACAGCCTTCCTCACTGGGCTCGCCACCGGCTTGTGTTTATGGAACATCAGGGTCCAGCTATTTCTCTTCTGCTGCTTACTGAGGGACAGCCAGAGAGACAGGTCCTTCTCTTTTCTCCATCCTGGAAGCTTCTCCTGGTGGTTTTTGACACTGGTAGGGGCCGGCAGGAGGGTCCCTATCCAGAGGCCAAAGGTCAGAATGGAACCACAAAGAAGGGGCACCACAGTCTGGAGGAACAACTTGATGGACATCACTACCCCCATTTCCCCAGCTCTCCCTTTCTCCAGGTTCCGGATAGTGGATGTGGTGGGGGAGGGGGTAGGGAATATCTGTGGGGGGTGGGGCGGGGGTGTTGTTGGGGGAAGCAGGTGATGAGGGTGGAAGGGAGGCAGCAGAAGTGTTCCAGGTCCCTGCCACGTCTACAGGGTTCCCCTCTGGGTACCTTTGCAGAGGCTCTGCCTCCCAGCAGGACATCCCATTATTATTCCTGGTGACCAGATGGGGAGATGAAGCTACCAGAAGCTTGTTCAGTTCATTCCTCTGGGGTGGGCTTGGGAGGACCTAGGCTCTGGAGCCAGGCCAGGCAGAAAGCTGCCTCCCCCATTTCCACGTAGGATGTTCTTGGGCAAGTCATTTGTCTCTCTGAATCTTGGTTTCCCAATCTGTAAAATGAGTTACAAACTCTTTGAGAGTGTCACTGTGAAGTCCAGGAATAATGTAGTCAGATCACCCAGCCCCGTGCCTGATATCATGTATAAACACAATAATTGACTGTAACTTTTTCTTTCAATAATAATAATTGCTCTGACTCTAGAGTCCACAGAGATCTAGAGATCTAGAGAGGAGTATGGAGTGAGCACAGCCCAGGGAAAACAAGATCTTCTTCCTTTGAGATGGAATCCATGTGGGCACAAATATTAAAATTCAAAGGAAACCATCCTCTCCCTGCTCTTTGCCCAAATGAGAATGATCTGACGTTTCCTGACAGGTTTTCCTCTTGCCTGCACACCATGTGGAATGGCCAGTTCCACACACCTGTGTTTTTAGTGAACTGTTTCAAGCATGCAGTTGCCTCAGCAATAGAAGGTCAACAGACAAAAACAGAAGCACCTACTCCAGGTCAGGCATGAGCTCTTGCATCTGCAGAGCGTTCTGGTGCCTGGAAAGTCCAGTGACTTGCCCCAGCAAAGTGTGAGTGGCAAAGCTGAGTCTTGAACCCAAATCTGTCTGGCGCCAGCCTGTCAACGTCTGCTTTTTTTTCTCGTTGCCATTATTCCTCCCACCTCATTGACTCTTTGATTTAAAAAACGTATGCTTTCAAGCATAATACTGTTTACAAACTTGCAGTGGAGTAAGGTGTGTGTGTGTGTGTAGTGTGCAGTGTGTAGTGGGTTTCCCATTCTGTCTGTGGCTCTGTGCATGAAGGAAAAATAAAAACACAACAAATGCCCCTGAGTTGTCTCACATCAGGAGAGTGTCTGCCTTTTCCCCCACCCCAGGGTGGCTGTGGCATTGTGAGCAGGCTGCAGACCCCCCAAGCAACCAGAACATTCTGTACCTTGTGGCAATTAGTCCCCACTTGGCTTAAGGACTACGACATCAAAGGAGGTCTCCGCCTGCTGCCCAAGGGAGGCCAGGGGAATGCCTCCAAACGGAGCCCTTTCCCCCTCATTAGGGGGCTCCAGCCACCAGCAAAGCAGACTCCGGACAACAGACCCGGCCCCATCAAAGGCCCCCTTCCCCCGGGAAGGCCTCTGTAATCCGGGGCCTGAGTACGCCCTGCCCCCTCCCCTAGACCAGCTCAAAAGCCGCCGTCTGGGGACACCTGACTACTCTCCAGTTCAAAGCCAAGTGAATCATTAACAAGACAAAACACCATTTTCCTGTCTCAAAACTCCTAGGGTCCTGCTTTGAGCTGCCTGCAGTTCAGGCCTGGAGGATACACAATCCCTCCCCACTTAGCCGTGGGGCCTGAAGTCAGGCCCCTCCTCTGTCTTCTCCCCAGCCTTTGAAAGCCCAGGAACACAAACAGGGGCTAACTTAAGCCACTCAGCAAGGCCTCTTCAGACCTAATCTCTCCTCAGTAAGGTAGGTGGCCAATCTGGAGCCAGCCCTCCTGAGAGCCAGGGCTGAGCGGGGAGAAAGCAGGCAGGCTCTGAGGTTGCAGCCTTCCTCTGCAAGCAAAGAGACTGTTTCTTCTGTACCAGAGCAAGTGATCCACGAGGAAGGGCTGCAAAGCCTCCCTTCAGAATCCAGGATTCTGGAAGAAAAGCACCAGATTTAGCCATTTACTCATCCATCTACTCGCTTGTTCACCCATCCATCTATCCACACATCTACCAACCAATCCATCTGTCCATCCATCCATCCATCCATCCATCCATCCATCCATCCATCCATCCATCCAACCATCCATCCATCCATCTATCCATCCATCCTTCCTTCCATCTGTTTGTCCATCCATCTGTCATTCATCTATTTCTCCATTCACCCATCCAGCCCATTGCATGCCAGATCCTGTTTCAATCCCTGGTTTTCCAGAAAGGAATTACATATAGATCCTGCCCTCAAGCAAATCCCAGTCTACAGGAAGAACAAAGAATACCTCATGGCTTAAGAGACGGCTGTCTGAGAGGGAGCAAGGGAGCTCAGAGGATAGAGTCTGTGGTACCCAGGAAGATAGCACAGAGGGTATGAAACCTGGACCTGGAAGATGAACAAAAGCTTTACCAAGGAGAAAGGGAAAGTACGGTGTTCCAGGCGGCACAAGCAAAATCACGGAGGCCTGAAACAGCCTAGAGTGTTGGTGTAGCTACTAGTTGTTTGGCTCCTGCAGTTTGTGTGAAAGAGTGAGGTCGAGGGTGGAGGGTAGATCATAAAAGGTGAGGCTGGGTCTGGAGTATGTGAGTCCCATCATTCCATGAACTCCATCCCTCGACAAGCACTCAGATCCACCTGAACATGCACGTGTGCACACGCATACACACACATACACTTACACAAACAAGTTCCCACACATGCAAACAGTAAGTATATGCACCAATACACAGAAGCGAATACCTTTACACACAACATGCTAATGCAAATGCACATATGCTCATGCATGTGCAAGCACGTGAACAGTAATGTGCTCACATACACATAAGCACATCTACCCACATTCAAACATGTTCTCATATACACACAAGCATGTGGTCACATACAAACTCACACGTATGAAATATCCTAGCGTATATACTCAAACCTTAACACATACACACAGGCAAACAACAGAAACCCACTATGACATCCATGTTCACCCATACAACCTATGTGTGTGTGTGAGCATGCACAAGTGTGCAATGTGTACTCACACACAGCACCAGGAAAAGGCCAGGAATAGGAGGCCTGCCTCTAATTATTCCTCTGTCATAAAAATGTGCCCCAGGCAGTGAAACTTGGCAGAGCTGGGCCATCAGCTGTGCTTGGGCTGGAGCCGGGTGTTCCTGGGCTTCTCTTGGCTTTGCCAACATGGCAGGGCTTCCCGTCCTGATGTCAGCCTCCTTTCCTTTCCTAGCCCTCCTGAGCCAGTGCTGTTCCCACTGTGAGAGCTGCCTTCTACAGCCATTGCCTTGCTTGGGTGATGAGGCAAGCCTGAATATGTTCAGCATCCCACCACAGGGCAGAGTGGCCAGAGCCAGCCCTATGATGGTGTCTCCTGGACAAATGCCCAGCCAGCTCTGGGCAGGGCAGCAACATTCCAGGTGGAAGACCCAGTGGGCTTCATCCTACTCTTCCAGTTCCATCTCACAGGCTTCTCCAACAGATGCCCTCTGCTACAGCCACCCTGGATCTTCCCTGGACCCCATTTAATTCCTGATGGGATTGGTCATCAACATTAAGCCACAGCTGAGATGCCTCTGAGTCTTAGAGACTAGCGTTTTCCTGGAGCAGTAAGAGGTGAGGTATGATGGGGGTGACATTAGCTGAGCTCTCTTCATTCAAGATCACTGTTGAGGCACTGTTTTACTTAGCCATGGCCCTTCTCTGATTCCAAACCTGATCATCCATCCTCCAACCCACTTCCTGCCCATCCTACTTCCTGTATACTTACCTCTCCTCTGTCTACTCATCTTTCTATCCAGCCATCCAGTCACAGATACAATTCTTAAACAATCTACCCATTTACCCATCCCCTAAAATTTTCAGCCATCCATCCATCCTTCCACTGACTTACTCATTCTCCATCTATTTACTCATTCATTTTATATTTGTCCATCCACCTACCCACTCAGACATCCATCCATTCATCCACTGCTCATCCATCTAACCATCCATTTTTTGAACACCTACCTGTCCAATCATCTGCTCGTCCACCTTCCATCTGTTCATATATCTACCCATCTGCCTATCTGTTTGTTCATCCATTCAGCCAGCCAGCCATATGCTGATCTGTTCATAGACACCAAAATAAAAAAGACCAGGATTCGAATCCTTATGTCACCACATACTACCAGTAGCAGATACTTCATTTTTCTTCCCACATCCTCCCAGTCCTTACCATCTCCATGCACATAGGTCTGAGTTCCAACTACCAGAACCTAAATCTTTTTGCCTGAGGGCTTCCTCTGCAGCTGACCCTTGTCTGTCTCTATGTGTAGAAGGCTGGAGGTGATGGGGCATTAATACCCCTTGGAGGCAGCCCCCAAACAACGGCTAGCCAGAGTTGGTGTATAAATACCCCAGCTTCGTTGTCCTTGGGGGGGATGACTCTGAGGTGGGTGTTCTTTACTGGTGCCTGGAGTTCCCAGCAAGATTAAGCTCCATTTTTCCACAGTTGTCACTTGCTTGATATCATACCACTTTGTTATTTCATCTCCCAAATAAATTACTTGCATTTGCGTCCTTGTTTCAAGGTTGCCTTCTGGAGAACCCAGACTAAGGCACTACATGTGTGACTTGGACAGATTTTTTTTTTTACTGAGACGGAGTCTTGCTCTGTTGCCCAGGCCGGAGTGCAATGGCGCAATACCTGCTCACTGCAACCTCCACCACCCAGGCTCAAGCAATTCTGCCTCAGCCTCCCAAGTAGCTGGGATTACAGGTGCCCACCACCACGGCCAGCTAATTTTCTGTATTTTTAGTAGAGACAGGGTTTCACCATGTTGGCCAGGCTGGTTTTGAACTGCCCTCAAAAGATCTGCCCACCTCAGCCTCCCAAAATGCTGGGATTACATGCTTGAGCCACCGCGCCCAGCCGGACAGAGTATTTAAGTTAGTATGATGCATATCATTGGGTAAGCATTCAACAGAATTCGTTGTTGCTTTTATTATATACTACTATTGACAATAGTAGTAATACATAGGAGATGGCGGAGGTAGTGGTGATAATGCTGGAAGTGGTGATGATGGTGGTGATAGCGGTGATGGACGAGATGGTGGCAGCGGTGGTGGTGAGATGTTTTTGTAGGAGCTTGGCCACTTTCTGGGGTCTTCCTATGGATCTTTGCCAACCTTCTCACTTTGACTCTCCCCTGTGCCCACATTTCGAAGCACACTTTCCTGAGCAGGAACTTGAAGAGGAAGATCGTGAGGGAAAGGGCTGGGGGCTTGAGAAATGGCTCCCAAGTCACAGAGAGGGACAGAAGCAGAGCAGGAGCAGACGCTAAGCTAACAAGGCCTGGGCTTGTCAATAAGAGGTACTTCCATGCTTGCTTTATTTTCCTCTTTAAATCTCTTTCCATCGAGAGCCAGGAAGTGCTTCTCAAATGTTCCTTGTATGAAGAAAACAGTCAAACATTGTCTTCTGAGCTCTTCACTGCCCTGGGATGGCCTGGGCATCAGGGCCTAAGGGCCCTGAGGGGCTCTAAGCTGTGGCCCAGCAGCTGGAGGCCCAGAGAGGGGGAAGAACACCCTAGGGTCACCCAGCATAAGTGAGGCTAAAATGGGATCTCTTGGCTTCTCATTCTTACTTTAGCCAACACATCACAAACTATGACCCCTGAGCCACCCAGAGACAGAGAGGAAAAGAGTGAAAGGACCAGCTGGGCACAAAGACAGAAAAAGACAATAGAATACCAGGCCTCTGAGGTCTTGCAGCTTACGTTTCCCCCCCAACCCACTGGGGCCCTCGAGGAGCTTCCCAGTCCTTTGAGCCAGTTCTGAGTATTCCCCAAGCCCCACCTACCCCGCCCAGGGATCCCAGAATGGGAAGGACTGCAGTTCTTGGGAGACAGACTCTGGGTCTCCAGGGTGGCGTCGTGGCAGGGCCCAGACTCGTGCAGGGCCCCCCCACCCCACCCCAGGGGGTATCAGCCACCATCACATGCTGGGGAGAGCAGACAGGCAGGGGAGGAGTGGCGCCAGGCCCTGGGCTGGCCACTGCAGGAAGACCTGCAGGCACCTGCGGGCACAGCTCCTCACCCCTGCCTCTCTCCTGTGCAGGCCTCATTAACACCCTCCCTGGGGCTGGGGGTGGAGGACAGAGAGAAATAGCTGAGGCAGTGGAAAGAGTCCCAGCTTAGGCTCTTAACTGGTCGTGTGACTTTCACAAACCATCACTTTTCTGTGTCTCCAATTTTTCATCTGTACAACTAGGGTCACAGCACATACAAAACAGAGCCCATTAAGGGGAGCCCACATGGAGCACCTATCAAGTGCCAAGTATGCAGTAGGTGCTCAATAATGGACAGCTGTAGTTGTGTATCTCCAGGGCTTACAAAGGAGCCCCCTTCCTTCCCAAATTCATGGTGCTGCAGGAAACCTTGGTCGCACCTTCAGACTTCTCAATGGGAGTGTTTCCCTCCCCCGGTCACCAAAGCCCCTCCAGAGGAGCAGAGCCTGGTGAGGAGGGGGCCCAGGTCTACACCCTAGGCCATGCCACCTCTCTGAGATCTGGCAAGTGGGCAGTGCTTGTCAGGTGGTGCCCTGGCCCCAAGGGACATTCTTAGCTCTGCCGCGTGCAGAAAGCCTATGCAGCCTACTGGTGAATCCCTCAGTTTTCTCATCTGCTCAGTGGGACAATAACAGTATCTATCCCCATAGGGCTGTTGTGAGGGTGGAAGGAGAGAAGGGGTATGATACTCAGAGAATGGGCACCTCCCTGTGCCCGCATACCAGCCCACCTTCACCAGGGACTGGCTCTGGGGGAGACCCTGAGCTGCTGCAGATAGGCCTGGGCAGCCCCAGGAAAGGGGAGGAGGAGGGAGGAGAGCAGAGAGCGGAGAGCAGGATGGGGTGGAGGGGGCAGTGGAACAATAGCCAGGCCTGCCTTGTGGTTTGCGCCCTGAGAGAGGTGAGTCGACGCTTTCTTGTCATCAGACTTTCCAGTCACCTGCCTGGGAACCTGAGGAAAAGATTAGGGAGCCAAATACATATTGTTTCTTTTGTTGGAGGTGCCAAGTTTGGTGGGATGAATTGGCCATCTGTTCTCCTAGCTACGATCTGGCAAGCCGGGAACCTCTGCTCTCCGAGTTGCCAGTTTCCATCGGTTGCTAACAAAAGCTGGGGGTCGGGGAGGGAACGCGGACTCCCCTACCTCTCCATGGCCCAGCTGGCTGACCCAACGTCAGCCAGGGCCCCTGGTCGAGGTCCACTGGGTGCTCTGGGCCTCAGACTCTAAAACCTGTGGGTGAGCTGGAAAAAGCCCCCATGACCCGGCCTTGGTTTCCCCACCTGTGAGCGAGGGTGGACAGGAACCAGCACATCCTCTGGTTCGGAAGTGCAGAATCGATGGTGTCCTCTGAGGTCTGGGGAGGGAAAGGCCTTCTACGTGGGTAGCCCTGGGGAAGGACCAGGTGGTGCTTGCCCTTTTGAGGGGCTAAACATCAAAGTTCCTGAGCCCGCTTTGCCAGGGTCCAACCATGGGGCTGCAAGAGCCTTCCATCTCCCCTTGAGCAAGCTTCAGAGCAGGGGTTCTCAGCCTGAGGGCTGGTTTCCTCTGGCAGGTGTGGTGAATGGAGTTTAAAACCCCAAGCAGGGATCTTCTTAATTTAGGAACTCCAAGGGGCCCGTGGCAGAATGTTAGGTGGAAATGCATTTTCCCTGGGACAGGGAGAGTCATTTTCATCTGGTTCTCCGGGGACCCTGTGACCTTACAAAGGCTGAGAGTGGGTGGCCTGGGACCTGGAGTTATCTAGAGTGGCAGCCCCAGATGGAGGGACAAGGAGAATAATTAAGCCCCACACCTCAAATGCAGGTGGTGTTAGAGGTCAAAGCAAGCAGCCCAGATGCCTCTGAGCAGCTGCTGAGCGACGCGTGGTCAGGAGAGGACAGGTCCAGTGTGGACTTGGCTTCGGGAACAGGGCGGTGGCTGTTGCCTCACATAGATGCCTACCGCCCTCTGTCAAAGAAAACCAGAGCTGGACGGTAAAGCCGTGCAGACAGATTTTATTCAGACTATCGCAATAGCGGAACAGAGACCTCAGCACAGAACTGGGCTCAACTCCGAATACAGCCCAGGCAGGTGGGAGTTTATAGCCGAGGAGCAGGGAGGGGGTCATGGGATGGAAAATGGCCCAAGAGGAAACATCAGGGGTGAAGGGGATTCTTGCTGAAGGCAGACCAGGGTGACCAGACATCCCCTGGGGCATGGTAGAGAATGAGGAACCTGATCGGATATGAGGGTGATCCTATGTCAAGGTGCTAAAACTAGATTTTACAAGGAAGTGCACGCATGGGGTTAGGAGAAGGTTCTGGAGCCTGACTGAAGCCTGGCCAAGCAAAGCCTCTTTGTCACCCCTCACGGATAGCTGCAGACTGGGACCCACGCAGGAAATGTGACTTGCTATTTAGTCCTCATTTATGCTGTGCTAATGGCCTCAGCAGTCCAAGGCTTGACTTTGCAGCCTCCAGTCTCTGTGCAAGGGACCCTGCTTCATCCGTTCCTCCTATTTCTCCAGAGGGCAAAGGAGTCCCTGCCAGATCACCCATCTGCACTAAGCTTTCTGAAGGCATATTTTATTTAACTTTTAGAGCCATGATAGACATTGAAGCCCTGTTTCACAGACGTGGCCACTGAGGCTCAGAAAAGTAGAATGACACAGCCAAGTCCGCTCAGCCTGCAAGGGCCAGAGCCAGGACAGGAGCCTGAGCTGTCAGATTCCAGTGCCTTCTACATACATCCAGGACTGGTTCCTCTCCCCTTCAGATCCCCATCAACAGGCCACTGGCGAGCACTTGGGTCAGTCTGGGCATAGCCAGTGTCCAGGACTTCATGTCCCCTGCCTCAGATGGGCCTGCGAGCTGCTGGCAGGTATCAAAATCCTAAAATGATTCTCAGCCCCGACAGCTCCCCACACGCCCCTCCCCCACAGCGTGTCTGCTGTGCTCCATCCAAACTGATTACAGCCTCGGAGCCAGGGGGCGGGGGGAGGGATGAGAGCAAGCCGGCCTCGAGAAGACTTGAAAGAAAATTTGAAACACACGTGTGCTGCCCTGGCTCTGGTAACCCTAAGCCCTCAGCCCGTGTGGCCCAGCGGTCTCCATCCCCCGACTGCACCCCCCATCCCCCACCCCCGCCACCTCCTCCCCTGGCCCCACCTGTGTCTCTGAGGGGGCTGCTTTCCAGGCTCAGCCCCTGCCTGGGGCAGCTGGCTGGGTCTCCAAGACCTGAAGAACTCGCAGCTGGGAGAGACCCCCACCACCAGAGCCCCCCTGTCTCAGAAGAGGACTCTGACAGCCACAGAGGGAAGAAAGTTTGCCTGGGATAAAGGGTTGAATGGAAGCAAGACCCCAGACTCCGCACTCAGCGGGAGGGAGGAGGGCGCAGGCTGCTTAGAACACAGCCCTTCCCTGAGCTCCGCTGGCCTGGCCAGAACTGCACCTCGTTTCTCTCTTCCCATGCACCCACCCTCATTCCCAGGAAAACTTGTCTCTTCTCTGCCCTTGCACCTGCTGCCTTCTGCTTTAACCCTTTCCCAGTGAGCCTGGGCTCGGGACCCTCAGGGTTCTGGGTCTAGAGTTTGAAGAGAGGGTGGAGTTGGCGGGAGCTGGCTTTAAGAGCTATAGCCAGGGTTGGGAACCAAAGGTGAGTCCAAGTGACAGGCCCTGCCTCATGCTGTTTATATGAAACGTCCTTCTAGCAATCAGCTTATGGCCTCCAAACATGTGGCTTCAATCTTTCCTTTGAAATATTGGTGGTGGGGGGTGGAGGGCTGCTGCTGCCAACACCCGCTGGATGGCTCTCTGTGCAGCCCAGCTGAGCACTTGCTGTCAACGAATCGCTCCGAGGCCTGTGCCTCTCGCCAATGGCACTCACGCTTGGTTTGCAGGCAGGATTCCTGTGTGGGAGGGTGTGGCCTGGGAACAGGGCTGAGGGGTTGGAGGAGCTGCCGGGCAGCAAAGGGAAGGGTGTCGGGCTTCAGAGGCGAGCAGGGCTGGGTGTGCCTCCTAGCTCAGGCACGTGTGAGCTGGTGGTCACAGCCTGGGCAGCTGGCTTTACACCCCCTAAGGCTTTGTTTCCGCATCTGTCAAATGGACACACACGATCATCATATAATAAAGTGTGGCGATGACATGCGGCCTTTAGCGGTGCTGCACACGAAGCGCTCAGCTTGTGTAAGCCCTCCCCTCTCATCCCTCCCCTTATCTGCCCACCCCTCCTGAGGCTCTTTGTCTGCTGCCTTTTGGCCTGACTTCTGTGCACGGCTGCTTTCTGCTGGCTTCACACGGTATGTTCTGGAAGTCAGGAGAAAAGGATCTGGAGCAAAGCTTTGTCAGGGGTTGGTCGGGTAGGTTCCGGACAAGACCCTTTCCCTCTAAGGGCCTCAGTTCTCTGAGCCATAAAGTGGCGGTGGTGGGTGGGAGTGGGGTGGGGTGGCTGGATGAGACACCCCATGAGCAATTCCCCATCTAATATTCAGGGGCTCTAGGAGGCCCAGGAAGACAAAAGTCCCAGGGCTTGAGGTCCCAGGATGATGTAAGGGCAGGGCCGGGGTGGCTGGATGTGAGTTCCGTGAGATGTGGAACAGGTGCGCTGAGCTTCGCTGGGCAGATAGGGAGGGTGTGTCCTCCCCACTTGGCCCCAGCCTCCCACTGCTGCCTCTGACTCACCTCTCCACCTCACCCCCACTTCTCCCTCTTTGTGACAAACCATCAAGTGACCTGACTCCTGGGCCCCAGCAGACACACTTCTTTGGGTGACAGGAGTGTGGTAAGAAACATTTCCCTAACGGCTGCTTCAAAACCTCCAGGGGTGCTGTTAAAATGCAGAGTTCAGGGCCCCAGCCCAGACAAATGGCACGGGCATCTTCAGAGACAAAGCCCTGGAATCAGTACCTTCCCTAACTCTCTGGGTATTGATGGAGTGCATCCAGGTTTGAGGATCCATTACTGGTAAGGGGTGCAGGTTTGGGGGTTTGCTGGACCTGGGTTTAAATTGTGGACCTGCTCTCAGCTGGCTGTGGGACCTTCAGCCACAAATTTCCCCCTTTCCAACCTCAGTTTTCTCGTTTGTTAAGTAAAAAATAATTGTTCCCATTTCACAAGGTTGTAGCAGGGATTAAATATCATCTGTATTAGGTTCCTGGGGCTGCCATTACAAATTACCACAAAGAGGTGGCTTAAAGCAACAGTTCTGGAGGAGGTCAGAAGTTCAAAATCAAGGTCTCAGCAGGGTTCCCTCCAAAGGCCCTAGGGAAGAATTCTTCCTTGCTCTCCTAGCTTCCTGCGGCTGCTGGCAGTCCTTGGCATTCCTTGGCTTGTAGCTGCATCACTCCAGTTCCCACCTCTGCCTACATATGGCTTCTTCCCTCTGTGTTTGTCTGTGTCCAAATTTCCCTCTTATAAAGACAGCAGTCACTGGATTAAGGCCCACCCTGATCTCATATGACCTCATCTTAGTTTGATTATATCTGCAGAGACTCTATTTCCAAATGAGGCCACAGTCACAGGTATCAGGAGTTAGGACTCTTCTGGGGGGACACAATTCAACCCAGTGCATCATCCATGCAGTGCCTGGCCATGGAAGATGCTTATGGTGGGTGGATAGATAGATACAGAGTGAGAGCAAGAGAGGAGGAATGCTCTGTGTCCTTGAAGAGACACATGCCCTCTCTGTGCCTCAGTCTTCCCATTTGTAACCTGGGGATAAGAGTACCTTCTGGCTGGGTGCGGTGGCTCATGCCTGTAATCCCAGCACTTTGGGAGGCTGACGTAGGTGGATCATTTGAGGTCAGGAGTTCGAGACCAGCCTGGCCAACATGGTGAAACCCTGTTTCTATTAAAAATACAAAAATTAGCCAGGCATGGTGGTGGGCGCCTATCATCCCAGCCTCTTAGGAGGCTGATGCAGGAAAATTGCTTGAACCCTGGAGGTGGAGGTTGCAGTGAGCCGAGATCGCACCGCTGCACTCCAGCCTGGGCGACAGAGCAAGACTCTGTCTCCAAAAAAAAAAAAAAGAGTATCTTCTTCCCCTAGGTGTTATGAGGAAATGTCCACAGAGGACCTGGTGCACAGAGATGCTCAAGAAATGGCAGTTCCTTCCCCATAAAGAAACAGTGATACCCTGAGGGGCATGTGGTGGCTAGTGTCCACAGTGGTTTTCCCTTGTGACTGGGAAAGGAGCAATGGGGGATACTGGTGGTGAGGAAACGTACAGTGCACAGGTTGGTGCTTTTCAAAAGCCCCAGGGTCATGGAGGGAGAGGGTTTGGTGAGCCATTGACCTTGGAGTCTGTGGTGCATCCACCCCCACAGGTCTGAGCTCACAACCAGGTGCTGGTGACCAAGGGCCAGGCAAGACCATGTCGGCAGGCTGCATCTGGCAGAATGTTTTGTACTGGAGTGATTGGAAGTGATGGCTGAGCTGGGCGGGGAACGAGCAGAGCAGAGGAGCCAGCAGGCTGGCTGCAAGCTCAAGCTGCAATGCATTAGTCCAGGGTCTGGGCTGGGGTGGGGGACGGGGAGAGGGAGGTGACACTTGGGGAAGGAGGGGGTGCTTCTAGATGGGAAGCAAGAAACTAGGGACCCCTAGGGAAGACCCTGGAAGCCAGAGGGTGGGCTGACAGGCAAGAGCCGTGGAGGTCGCTGGGCTGAGAACCCCAACCATGCATTTCTGTAGAATCGTCACAACCTCTGGAATCAGCTGCTCGTCTAGCTCCGTTTCACGGAGAAGGAACCCGTTTCCTTTTTCATTTACCTGCCTGGCTCCTCCTTCTCCACCTCCTATTACTCTCCCTTCTTAGCCCTCACCACAAAACTGCACAGCTTTTTGAAATCTGTAAGTTGGGTTCAAATCCCAGCTCCACTGCTTGCTGGCTGTTTGACTGAACAAATCACTTCCCTTCTCTAAGTCTCCATGTTCTCATCTGTCAGATAGTTCCAGCTTCGTGGGTGCTCTGGGGAATGGGAAGAAAGCGCATGGGCCATGGAAAATGGTACATGGTGGCTGCTCAATAGATGTGTGCTTCTCTGCACGTCTCCTGCTGCCCTGTAATCCAAGGCTCCAGCAGGCTCTGGCCAGTGACAGGGCCCCAACCTGGTGGGATGGGAACTCTACCCCAGACACCAAGAGAGCCAGATGCAGACCTCCCAGCGGCTGCCCAGGCTCTCTGCCGACCGGGGTTAAGTGAAGGGGGCCATCAGCAGCCATACAAAAAGCCAGCTCCTCCTTGCTCTGTCCCTTCTCTGGTTCTTCCTTCTGGAATCCTTTACAAGGCCAGGCAGAGTGTGAGTGGCAGTTTCCCAGGAGCACTTACTAAAGATACCCTCGCACCTGGGAAAATGACAGTCGGCCTTGGAGCTGCCGGGGCTCTCAGCCCCCATGTGGGCAGGTCCACAGCAGCAATTTGCCCTAAGAGAAGATGAAACATAATTACCCTTTCTTCTCCAAGTCCAGGGGAGACCTCCCTCACCCGCTCGTCCTGGGAAATCAAGCCTTGTCTTCCTGTGGTTCCTATTTCCCAACAGCGTTCCAGTAAATTAGCCAGCAGAAGACAGGTCTCCTGTGGGTTCATCAAAAGTTTGCCCATGTCTTGGACAAACTGCAAGGAAGAATACTCCTCCAGCTGCTCACCCTCCGAACACGGTCTGCGTGATAAAGATAATAATAATGTTTCTCTTGTCTTTCCATGATGTGTGATGTGTCAATATGATTCAGGAAAAAATACCATGAATCTCCTCAGATGAGAAAGCTACCACTCAGAAAGGAGAAATGATCCACATAAGGTGAAAAAGCTGTGCGAGTAGCTATTGGAGCGGAGTCAGCTGCCGTGATTCATGGCGTCAGTGTGCTTTGGTGTCCTGCCACGTTTCCAGGCTTTGTAGGAAACAATTTTATGGAACCAGTTGCTGAGTGGATGGAAGGGATATGGTGTAAAGGCATCATCCACTTCATCTTTCATTGGGTTTGTTACCTGCCCCAGGTGACAAATAAGAACTCTGTGATTCTCTTGGAAAAAGGGAATGGTTTGTCTTTGTGGACAATAGAGAGTTAGAGAAATACCTGCCAAGAAGCTCAGGAACAAGTTTACAGTAAGAGTGCAGTCATTGTGGCTCTTCAGACTTCATGTCCTGAATACCTTTCACTTTCTCCCACGTTGGCCTCCTGGGCAAATGGCCCTTTTTCTGGTCCTAAATGTCTGCTCATGGTGTTTCTTTAACTCGTGTGCACTGCTCTACCACAGCTCCTTTCCAGAACAAGATGAAGTACACAAACAAGCAGATATTCGTTGACCATTGTTATTACTGCTTGGGGATTTTCATAGCTTCAATGAGCTGGGTGTAATCTGATCAGGGCAGGACTCAGTCTGATGACCAAGTGCCTTGGAGAAAAATACACCTGAGACTGTCCACGCAGCCAGACGCAGCACCTGTTAACAAGTATTTACCGAGCACCAACTATATGCCAAGCATTGTTCTAGGTACAGACATGGTAAACAAGATAGACAATGTCTACTTCCTCACAGAGAGACAAACAACAAATATTTAGATAATAGCTTTATTTTAGATGTGACAAGTGCCAAAGGGACAGAGGCAGCGTTTGGAATGAGTGCACTTAGGGCAGGCCAGAGGTTCCCTAGAAGAAGTGACACTGGGCCAGATGTGGTGGCTCATACCTGAAATCCCAGCACTTTGGGAGGCCGAGGAGGTGGATCACCTGAGGTCAGGAGTTCGAGACCAGCCTTGCCAACATGGCGCAACCTCATCTCTACTAAAATTACAAAAATTAGCCGAGCATGGTGGCACACACCTGTAATCTCAGCTATTCAGGAGGCTGAGACAGGGGAGTTGCTTCAACCCAGGAGGCGAAGGTTGTAGTGAGCCGAGATCACGCCACTATACTCCAGCCTGGGCAATAGAACAAGGCTCCATCTCAAAAAAAAAAAAAAAAGAAGAAGAAGAAGAAGAGACATTGGAGGTAAGAAGACCAAAATGCTAAGGAGCAGTTGTGCAAAGACCTGAAGGAGGAGCACTCTAGGCAGCAAGTGCAAAGGCCCTGGGGCCAGGAGGAGTGAGATGCATTAGAAGGAACTTGTGGCAGGAATGTAGATGAGTTCAGAGAAGCTGGCAGAGGCCATATCACCAAGGTTTAGAGGCCTGTGGTGAAGAGCTGGGCCTTTTCTAAGTGTGATGTGAAGACACTGGAAGGTTTTAGCATGGGGTATGATATGACCTTTGCACTTGTCACTCACACAAATGAGCTTTACTTCCACCAAGTGGTAGGTTCATATTTGAGAAGCCAGCTGCTTTCTCAGAGTGATAATAGTGCTTCGAATTCTTCAATTTCCACATTTGCTTTGGAACTCTGCCAAGACCACTCGTGATCATATTTTTTCAAGTATAAGTTTTAGTGTTTCTTCAAAGTGAGGTGTCTAGAACATTCCTGGAATATTAATTTTTCCAATTAGTAAAGCATCAGTACTACTGGCCAGAGCTTGTGAATCTGTTAATATGGCTGTAACTCTGGATGACTGATATGGGTTATTTTCTCAAAGAACCTTAATTTTATGCTTATAGTCTTTTAGTTACTTTCTCAAACTACATTTCAGAGATGGCCTTTGCAACAGAAGGGGCTCGTTGGTAATTCCTGAGTAGTGATGGTCATTGTTATCATTTATTGAGCACTAAGTGCTGAGCTCACTGGTAAGCATTTTGCAAATGTGGTTTTATGTAATTCTCACCATAACCCTTTCTCTATTTGTAGACATAGGAACTGAGGCTTAAATAATCACCTTGATTAATGTGAAATGCCTACATGTACTACATGTAGTACATGTAGGCTGAGCACCAGCCACAGTCCTGAATTTATCTTTCAAGGAATCTTTCTTCTGCCTTCAGCGTCAGGCACTGTGCTAAGATCTAGAGACCCAGTAGTGAACAAGAAAGACATGGTTCCTGCTCCAGAAAGCCCCCTTTCTAATGGGGGAAGTTGCCTGGGAGACAGGCAATGACCCTGTAGGAGAATAAAAATGAAAATAAAGGATGATCCAGAACACAGAATAGACTCCTGGCTGAGACGTCAAGGGTCCAGGGAAGGCTTCCTGGCTGGCGTGACTTGTAGGATGAAGAATCCTGAAAGATGGGAAGGAGCCATTCTAGAACGGGCGGTGCAGGAGTGCTACTCCTCCCAGACAGTTAACACTCGCACACCTTGGAGGACCCCACGTTCCGCCACCATAACCAAGAAATGACAGCTAAGCAGGCTCTTGATGAATGAGTTGGAAATTGCTAGCTAAGACAAGGGATTGGGTTGAGGAAAGGGTTTTGTAAAGGGTTGAGGCAGGGAGGTTTGAGAGAGCCTGAGGTGATTAAAGAGCTTTGAATGCAGTGTGACAGGAGTGTGACAAGCTGGGGTTGGGAGGAGAGAGACGAGACGTGCTGTTGATGTTAATTACTCCCACTTCCCTTATAACTTTTAGGAGATGCACAGGGTATTTGATCATCCTGTCTGGATAAATCATTTCATAACATAAAGTGACTGTATCATACATGATACTCTATCACCACTCAGACACATCAACTGGATCATGAAAATTTATTAACATTTGTCCATATGAGAGCTGAGCACCAGCCACATTTTGTTATTTGAATAATTGATATCTATCTATCTTGTAGAGTCAGGAAATTTGTAAATCATATTTATAAATGTGTTATGTGATTTATAAATAACAAAACCAAATAATTTTAAGAAAAACTCTTGAAGGTAGCGTATAGTCTACAAACAAGGACTTTTGGTGACAAATCATTAACTGAGTTGCCTAATAATCCAGGAAAGAAATTATGAGGATCTAAATGAAGACAGTCGCAGGTAGAGTAGATTCAAGTAGTCTATGTGAATAACAGGGAAATATTCACTCTTTTTAATATGTTGCTTTTCCTTAACTGTCTCTTTTCAGACAATTACCCTTTACATCCACTAGAAACAGAAAGGGCCAACTCTGGCAGCACTGCCTATGAGTTAGCCCTGTTCTGCAAGGAGAAGTGCTATAAAAATAGAGAAAGAAACAAACAGGAATGATTTGCAACACATTTGACATAGGATCTCTATCCTTAATATGTAAAGAGCTCTTACAAACCAATTACAAAAAACAAGATAAACCATATGCTGGCCCGTAAAACAAGTGTCAAAAACTCAAGTGGATTTAAACCACATAAAGACTATCCTTTAAGAAAAACAGCAAATTAACAAAATATGCATTATCATAAATATTATGATACAGTTGAGATCAAACCTGTCAGTTATAACAATAAATGTGAATGGGCTTAGCTCACCTTTAAAAAAAGATTTAGAAGTTGGCTCACAAAACAAAATTAACTATGTGCTGTATAAAAGAGATAAATCTAAATTAAAGGGATTCAGAAAGGCTAAAAATAAAGCGATTTGGAAAGGCTAAAAATAAATTATATGTAACAAGTGGAAAAAAAAAACCAAAATCAAATGAGTGGAAAAAGTGATCCTGATACTAGGCAAGGTAGAATTCAAGCCAAAGAGCATTAAACATGACAAAGAAGGATACTTCTTAATGCTAAAAGCCACAACCTAGAATAAAAATATAACTTATTAATATTTATGCACCAAATAACACTACAACCATCTCCATGAAGAAACAAGTCAACAGATACCAGAAGATAGAAACACACCAATAATCTTTAACACACCAATAATAATAATTTTCACTACAGGACAGATGATGGGGCAGGGAGGGAGAGAAAATCTGAACGTAATAGGATAGCTTTTATAGACATAGATTGATAACAGAGAAGTCTTAAATGTCCACAGCAGATTCACAATAAAGGATCATGAAGAAAACGTCAGTAACTTTCATTAGAAATAAAAATGATTATACAAACAATACTCTCTGGTCACAATGAAATCTTAATAATATCAAAAAAATACAGGTCCTTCTACCTGGAAATTTTAAAGCCTATTAAACAACTCCTAGGTAAAAGGGAAATACAAACTGAAATAACAGAATTTTTAAAAATTAATGACATGAAAACAATCCATATCAGAATCTATGGGATGCATTTAAAACAGTGATCAGAGAAAAACTCATTACCTTAATACTTTACTCAATAAACATGAAAAACAAATTCAGTTAGTTAACTTGCTCACTCAAAAAACTAGAACAACAACAAAAGCAAAGCAAACCAAAATAAAGCAAAAGAATAGGAATAACATGATAAAAGCAGAGACTAATGAGGAAGACAATAAAGATCTAATTAATAAATTAAAATCTTGGTTTAAAAAATCAACAAAAAGGACAAAATACTAGCTAATTTAATCAAGGATAAAAAGAAGAAAGCACAAATATACAAAATGTGAAATGACAAGGAGAAAGATAAACATAGAATCAAATACAAATTTTAAACATATACATGATAACTTTGCAAATTTTTGTGCAAATGAATTAGAGAATAACTGGTTATGAAAATATAAATGTATAAGATTATAAAAAGAACCAGATTTCTTGCCACTTGAGAAAGAAATTATAAATAAAGAATCCTATGGTGTTTAATTTTAATCTGAAATATCAGTATAAAGACATGGTTCTTAAGGCATGGATAGATGGAAGAGAAAGAGAGAAAGTTGTGTGTGTGTATGTGTGTGTGTGTGTGTGTTTGGTGTGTACAGGTGTGTTAGTAGCTTTGTCCACTAGAGGGCCTAGAAGCAATAACACCCCAGCATTAATGAGCACAACTATCACCCAGATCTTGGCTTCTAAACATCATTCTCCAATAAAAGGAACCAGGGTTATTTGGATAAGTGGATGATTGAGTCCAGGACTAAGACAGAGAAAATATAAGATGAACCTGGAACATCTTTTGTTGGCAAAAAATTTAAAAGATGTAGTCTTGTTGAAAGAAAAACAGGAGCCAAACTGAAGAGCTCCTGATGTCCAAAGCTGAGGCAATCTGAGCAATGAAACAATGAAATAATGAAAGTAGTGGATTATAACCTATACAATCAATATTCATTGAGTCCATATTGATATAAGTAAGTACTTGATTCAATAAATAACAGGAGAGAAGGCACAGCTCTTTCATATAGTAGAATTATAATGAGTAAATGCAGAAGGTAAGAGGGAAGTAGAAAAGTACCATGAGACAAACACCACAGTAGTAATTGTCACAGACAAAAATCGACTGATGGGTTCTAAAATTAATGATGAAAGTGTAGGAAAAACAAATTTGCATAGTCTCAAACTATTTCGCCCATGACATTTATTATTTATAAAGAAAAATATATTCTCTTTATGGTAAAAAACTAGGCAGAGGGGGGTGATCAAGATCATCAGTATGAAGACATGTCAACATCATAAACTCCGTAATATCATGCACGAAGTAGGATCCAACTTCTGTGTATTCCTGTCAAAAAGACAAAAACCTCCAATCAAAAAATATCAGACAAGCCCAGATTTGATAAATCTGGGGAATTTGATAAAATAACCAATCAATAATCTCTCAAAGTAGACAGGTCATGACAAATAAGGAAAGACTGAGGAATTATTAGAGATTAAGGGGAGCTCAGAAAAACAACTAAATGTAACATGGGACCCTGGACTGAGATCCTGAGGTGGAAAAATGATTTAACAAAAAAACTGGCAAAATTAAAATGTGGTATTTACTTAAAAGTATTGTACCAATGTTAGTTTCTTGGTTCTGACAATTGTACTGTAGTTATATAAAATGTTATCCTTAAGGAAAGCTGAATGAGGAATGTATAAAATTTCTCTGTACAAATTTTGCCACTTTTTTGTAAGCCTAAAATTAGTTCAAAATAAAAAGTAGAAATATATTTAAAAAGTATGTTCCCTGGCCACAAAAGAATTAGAATACAAAGGTATAACAGAAAAAGATCTAGAAAATTCTTCAATATTTCAAAATTAAACATATTTCTAAATAACCCAGGGGTCAAAGAAGTAATCACCAGAGAAAGAAAATCTTTTGAGCTGATTAAAAAGGAAAATATGACCAGGCACGGTGGCTCACACCTGTAATCCCAGCACTTTGGGAGGCCAAGGTGGGTGGATCACCTGAGGTTGGGAGTTCGAGATCAGCCTGACCAACATGGAGAAACCCCATCTCTACTAAAAATACAAAATTAGCCGGGCATGGTGGCGCATGCCTGTCATCCCAGCTACTCGGGAGGCTGAGGCAGAAGAATCACTTGAACCCAGGAGGCAGAGGTTGCAGAGAGCCGAGATCACACCATTGCACTTCAGCCTGGGCAACAAGAGTGAAACACTGTCTCAGAAAAAAAAAAAAAAGGAAAATACAACATATCAAAATTTGTGGATACAGCTAAAGCAGCAATTAGAGGGAAATTTACAGCATTAGCATTATTAGAAAAGAGTAGCAGTTCCAAATCAAGAGTAGCGGTTCCAAATCATGACAGGAGTTTCACCTTAAGAAACGAGAAAAAGAAGAGCAGGAGGCTGGGTGTGGTGGCTCACACCTGCAATCCCAGTACTTTGGGAGACTGTCTCAGGCAGATCACTTGAGCCAAGAAGTTTGAGACCAGCATGGGCAACATGGTGAAATCCTGTCTCTAACAAAAACAAAAAACAAAAACAAAAACAACTGGGCATTGTGGCACACACCTGTAGTCCCAGCTACTTAGGAAGCTGAGGTGGAAGGATTACTTGAGCCCAGGAGGTTGAAGCTACACTGAGCTGTGATCATGTCACTGTATTCTAGCCTGGGCAACAGAGCAAGACTCTGTCTCAAAAACAAAACAAAACAACAAGCACATTAAGCACAAAGTATACAGAAGGAATGAAATGAATAAAATGAAGGAAAAAATAAATAGAAAACAAGCAGTAGAGAAAAATCAATAGAAGCAAACATAGTTCTTTGAAAAGATCAATAAAATCAATAAACTTCTAGCCAGACAGATGAGGAACAAAAGGGGAGAGGAGAAGACACAATTGTCAATATCATCAGAAGAAGAAAGCAAATCACTAGACAAATGGGCAAAAGACAGGAAAAGGTATTTCAAAAAGGAGGAAATATATTTGGTTAATAAAATATGGAGAGATGTTCAATCTCATTAGTTACAGGAAAATGTACATCAAGGCTACCTGGATTTGCCAAACTGAAGAAACTTGACAATACCAGATTCTGTAGATAAGATGGTTCAACAGGATCTCTTATATATTGCTGGTGAGAGTAAGGATTGGTACAATGAATTTGGAAATCAATTTTGCTCCATTTTATAAACTGCACTTTGCATAACCTAAAATCCAGTAATTCCTATCCTAGATATAGACCCAACAGAAGCTCGTTAGGAGAATCTAAATGCCTATCCATAGGAGAATGGGAAAATACATTGTGGTGTATACACAGATGGTTATTTTACAACAGTTAAAATCAATACACTACAGCTACATGCAGCAACATGGATAAATTTTAGAAACATACGTTAAAGGAGAAAAAGCAAGTCTGAGATTTCTGGAACACACTTTTTGTAACAAGAAAAACTAAACAACATATTGTTAAGGCATACATATGGATATGAAAAACTATAAATATATGATTCAAAAGCAAGGAAACTACAAACACAGAAGTCAGGACAGTGCTTCCCTCTGGGGGAAAGCAGGAAGACAAGACAAGAGAGGTCCATATGGAGAAATGTGAGTTGTGATCATGTTCTAGGAGGGCTTGGGTGGGCGCTGGCTTCATCATGTTCCTTGTATAATTAAAAATAAAATTGGCTGGGCTCAGTGGCTCATGCCTGTAGTCCTAGCACTTTGGGAGGCTGAGGGAGGTGAGTAGATCACCTGAGGTCAAGAGTTCAAGACCAGCCTGGCCAACATGGCAAAACCCCGTCTCTACTAAAAATACAAAACTTAGCCGGGTGTGGTGGTGCACACCTGTAATCCCAGCTACTTGGGAGGCTGAGGCAGGAGAATCACTTGAACCTGGGAGGCAGAGGTTACAGTGAGCCAAGATTGTGCCACTGCACTCCAGCCTGGGAGACAGAGAGAGACTCCGTCTCAAAAAAAATAAAATAAAATAAATGAGGACCATACATCAACCGATAATCATAGTACATGGTGAGCCAAGAAATTATGATGAATCTAATTACAGCTCACCCGTGAACAACACGGGTTTGAACTGTGAGGATCCACTTATACATGGATTTTCTTCCACCTCTGCCACCCCTGAAACAGCAAGACCAACCCCTCCTCTTCCTCACCCTCCTCAGCCTACTCATTGGGAAGACAGTGAGGATGAAGACCTTTATGATGATCCATTTCCACTAAATGAATGGTAAATATATTTCATATTGTTCTTGCCGTAATTGAAGAGGACCAACAATTAATAGCAGAAACAATGGCCAACACCACAGACATCTCAATTGATTCAGCTTACACAATTCTGACTGTGAAATTAAAGTTGAGCAAACTTTCCACTCGATGGGTGCCAAAACTGTTGTGCCCAGATCAGCTGTAAACAAGAGCAGAACTTTCAATGCAAGCGTTAAACAAGTGGAATGAAGATCCTGAAGCATTTCTTCAAAGAACTGTAACAAGAGATGGAACATGGCTTTACCAGTACTGCCCTGAAGATGAAGCACAATCAAAACAATGGCTACCAAGATGTGGAACTGGGCCAGCCAGAGTAAAAGCAGACTGGCCAAGAGCAAAGGGCATGGCAACTGTTTTTTGGGGATGCTCAAGGCATTTTGCTAGTTGACTTTCTGGAGGGCCAAAGAACAATAACATCTGCTTATTAGAAGAATGATTTGAGAAAGTTAGCCAAAACTTTAGCATGAAAACACCTGGGAAATCTTCACCAGAGAAGCCTCCTCCACCACAATGACACTCCTGCTCATTTCTCTCATCAAACAAGAGCACCTTAAATCTTAAAAAATCTTGTAAAATCTTTAAAAACTTGTAAAAGGCACCCATTTTCTTCACTTAATCATGTAAAAAACAATTGCCTCGACATGGTTAAATTCCCAAGACTGTTAGTTCTTTAGGGATGGACTAAATGGCTGGCCTTATTGCTTATAAAAGTGTCTGAACATAGCCAGGTGTGGTGATGCACACTTGTAATCCCAGCTACTTGGAAGACTGAGGCAGGAGGCTCACTTGTGCCCAGGAGTTTGAGGCTACAGTGAGCCATGATCTTGCCACTGCACTCCAGCCTGGATGAACTTCAGCCTTTGAGACAGAGTGAGACCCCGTCTCAAAAAAAATAAAAAAAGAAAAGAAAAGAAAAAAGAAAAATGGTGTCTGGACTTGATGGAGCTTATGTTGAGAAATAAAGCTCATATTTTTATTTTGATCTTTTAATTCCATTTTTCCATGAACTTTTTGAAGTCCCCTCATAGAAACTGTCCCATCTGGCAGGAGTGACTTTGAGCCAGGTGACCTGCAAGGCCTTGAGGAGTGTGAGAGAAGGTCTGGGGAATGCTCGTTGAGAGACCAGGGAGTCACCGCAGCCCCAGAACCTGCTGCTGCTGGAGCCTGCTGGTGTCTCAGTAGCGACCCATCTCCCACCCACCCTGGAGTGTGGAGAGCCCTGGCTGGACCCCTGCCCTGCCGCTCACCCACTGCTGACTGTCACCAGCTCTGTGCCCCTCCCTGCTGCACCAACATTTTCCTCTTGTGATGGATGGAAATTTCCCTGCTTGGGTCAAGTCAAATTTCTCCTGATTTGTTGTTTTACACACACTGAGGCTGAAGGTGGATCCCGCGTGATTCATAAAGAGAAATGTGCTGTCTGTGAAAGAGAGTAATTTATAGGCAATGTTTCCCCTACTTTCAGAGATGAAAGTCACTGGGTAGGAAGAGGAGGAGAAGGGACCTTCATCCACTCTCAGTAGCCAGCATGGCTTCTAACGCTCCCCAACAGGTCCTCCAACTGTGGCATGAGTTTGTCAGCGTGTTTTGCAGAAGCTGTGGCTTTCTTTGGTAACTGGGCACAGAGCCAGACCTGGGCGAGCAGGAGACAAGAGGGGTTGAGGCCCCCAATATCCTTCCTGGCTCTCCCAGCCCCTCCCACCCCCTCCTGCCCCCTCCGCCCTGGCTCTCTCTCTCCCTCTCTCTCTCATGTATGAAAATAAATGAAGTCAAGTTTCCCAGCCCTTCTCGTCTGGAGGGGGCGAGGGGAATGGGGCAAACAGCCAAATGACACCCTCCTGACCTAAGCCGTACATCACGAAGGTCACAAGGCTGCCGGGGACAGGTCTAACCTGTGGCCACTAAGATTTCAGGGTTGGACAGATCTTTGCTGGGGGTGGTTGGGGAGGGGTGGACTTCACGATCAGAAGAGGAGAAGACCAAATAGAATCTGTGGAAAGAAGGAAGGAACTGAGTGCTTACTCTGTCCCAGGCACTGTGCCAGGTGCTTTGCACATAGAAGCTCAGTTATGACCCAGTGAGGCAGTGATCACAACTTCCATTTCATAGATAAGAAAACTGAGGCTTAGGGGGTGGAGGGGGTGGCATCCAGAACTGTGGGTTTGACCACATACCCAGAAAGTGCCAGTGAGCAGAACATCGATCCCCTGGGTCCTGAGAAGAGAGAGAAAGGGGGCAGAGGCAGAAGGCTGGAGAGGTTTGGGGTGCATCTGAGGATGGGGGTAGGGCATGAATGGGGCACAAGGTGAGAGTGAGCTGAACCTGCAGGGGCTCATGGCCATATCTGTGGCCAGGTAAGCCTGGATATAGGTAAACTGAGTCGCCTCAGGAGAGTGATTGTCGGCTGTCCCCATGCCACCTCAGCCATGCCCCTTATCCCACCATCAAATCATACCTCCTGAACCTGGCCCCAGATTTTGTGCAAGCCCCACCCCCCAACCCCAGCAGATTGCTCCTTCAGGCCACTGACCTGTAGAGCCTCAGAGACTCCACTAGGTTTGCTCTGCAACCCACACACTCTCCCCACAGGCTTGCGCTCTCACTCAGGCTCACTCGTTCATTCACTGTGGACCATGCCTGGGTTGGGCTTTCAGATGTCTGTCACCACGGCCCCTGCCCCTAGGTGCTCCTCATCTAGAGGGGGACATACCAGGTGGCGGGTCCCATGATGGATGGGCAGGGAGTCAGCAAGCTCCACGGAGAGGGGGCCAACTCTGCCCAGAACATTCAGGGAAGACTGAACTGGGCTTTGGAGACTGAGTAGGAGTTTGGTTGCCAGACTGAAAAGTAAGGGAAGGATGTTCTAAGCCCCAGAACCACATGTGCATAGCAGAGTTGCAGGCAGCCATCCTATTCACTATCCTTCATTTGCCCCCAAGCCTCCCTCCACTCCTGTGATCCTGACCCACCATCTTCTGTCTGTCACTCTCTAGCCCCCTTGCTGCTGCAGAAACTGAAGCCCCTGCCAAGACACACCAGGGCCACAGGCCCCTCTTGCCTTCCCCACCATGTCCCCTGGTAAATATGCTCAGGGACACATGCGTGAACCATAAATTCAGCCTTCTGGGGATGGATTCTGCTGAATAAAAAGCACATTCAGTAGCGAGAATATTTGTTTTTGTTTTCCTTCTCCGAGTAAATGGAAACATGCACTGACCTCACTTTTCTCACAAGTACAGTAGCTTTCCTGAGCGGCCGTCAGGCCTGGGGTGCCAGGAAAAAAGTGGTGGAACATTCAGCCTTGGGAACAAGGGCCTCAGTGGCAGCTGTGGCCGGCCAGTGGAATACAGCTGTCAGGCCGCTGACATGAGTTTCCGAGAGGTGGGGAGGATCCGGCCTGGGCCTCCCAGGGGGCCCTGAGCATCGCCAGGATGGGACTTTGAGACTGCTGTCCTCCCAATTCATTTTCTGACACTGCAGACAGAGGGTCCCAGGCAGACTGCAGGCTGGGAGGAGAGCCCACACAAGGGCCTTGGCTCAGACCTGCGTTTCCATCCCGGCTGCCATTTCCTGGCTCTGTGGCCCTGACTAGTCATTATACTTTTCTGAGCCTCAGTTTCCTCAACTTCATTCCAACCTCATGGAGTTGTGTGAGTTTTAAATATTTGAAAGTACCAAGAAAGACTAGTCCTCAGTCCCTCCCTGGCCCCCCCAACGCATCCAATTTAAGCCCCACCTCCTCTGTAGTACCCACCAGACCCAGTGACCTCTTCCACCAGATTTTTTTCCCATGGCCTTGTGATGATGAGTACCTTTCTATGAGAGCAAGACATTCACCCACCCACCCATCCGTCCACCCACCCATCCACTCATCCACCCACCCACCTACTGATCTACCCATCCATTCCCCTACCCATCCACCTATCCATCTACCCACTCACCCATTTATTACTCACTCATTCACCCATCCATCCATCTACCCATCCTCCTCTTATCCACTCACCCACTCACCCGTCCACCTATTCATCTACCCACTCGCCCATTTGTCATGCACTCATCCACCCGTCCATCCATGTACCCATCCTCTTATCCATTCACCCACTCATCCACCTATCCGTCTCACACTCATCCATCTACCATCCACCTATCCACCTACCCATTTACCCATCCATCCATCCATTCGTCCATCCATCCATCCATCCATCCATCCATCCATCCATCCATCCACCCATCCATCCACCCATTAACCCATTTACTCACCTACCCATTCATCCACCCACTTATCCACCTACCCATCCGTACACCTATCTACCCACCTATCCATCCATCCATCCATCCACTCACCTATCTGTCTGTTTATTCATCCATTTACTTATTTACTCAGTGAACATTTTGAGCAACTATGTGCTCTCCCACTGTTGGGAAGATGTGCTGTTCTGTCTGTGATCTGATCTTCATCAGTTATAGACACAGTGCATACTGCCCCCTAGAGACTAGGGGATTGTCCTCAGTTTCCTCTATAGCCATGGATGGCAGAGAACATTCATTTGGTTAAAACAAACAAACAAAAAAAAAACAACTAGCTTAAGAAAACGGAAATCTAATGATTCATGTAACTGGAAAGCCCAGGTATAGGTCTGGTTTCAGATGCAGCTTGATTCAGGCCTCAAGTGCTATTTCCAAGACCTCGTGTCTGCATCTCTCAGCTCTTCCCTCCTCCAAGTAGTAGTAATGCTGGCAGCAGCCGCGGCCTCAGCCTCACATCCACCCAGGTTGCAGTCCAGCAAGAAAGATCAAAAATCTTCTCCAGAAACCCTACCCAGACCACATGGGCTGAGAATTAGAGAAAGATAGAACCCCAAATTAAATGGGGAGGAAGGATTAGAAGATGGGAAGGCAAGCGCCAAATACCTGCTACACATCCTACATGCAGGCACTGGGGATCCCCAGCTGAACGGGAAAGCTCTGTGTAGCATCTAGGGGCTGACATCCAAGGGGAGGCAGCAAACACACAAACCAACAAATGTAGAAATAAAATCACCTTGGATGGTTTGGACGATAATAACTGCTGGAGTGACAAACAGAGCAGTGTAGTTATAGCGACTGGAGTAAAGCTCTTTTAAAGAAATAGTCAGGGAATCTGACATTGAAGTCAGATCTGAATAAGTCGTCATCTGGGTCAAGAACTGAGAGAGAAACATTTCTGGCAGAAGGAACAGCAGGTGCAAAGGCCCTGTGGTGGGAATGTGTTATGCAAGTTCCAGGGACAGTAAAAGGCTGGAGAGGCACAGCGGGGAGCATAACCCAAGAAGAAGGTGAAGAGGTTGGAGGGGCTAGATCTTAGAGACTCTTGCAGGGCTTGGTGAGGAGTTTGAATTATATCTCCTCACCAATGGGCACTCAGGGTACACTTTTAATTGAGTAAGGAGATAATCTCATATAATTCTTTTTAGGATCCTTTTCAAAAAAATTTTTCATCAGGATATAACCTATACATGGTAAAGTACAAAAGCACATTCTTCTTAGGTGTACAGCTCAAGGTCTTTTTCCTTATGCCTACATTGGTGTACCCACCACCCTGATCAAAGTGGAGAACATTCCCAGCCCCCAGAGACCTCCCTCTGCCCCTTCCTACTCAACCCTTCCTCCCACAAGAGGTAGCCTCTATTCTGACGTAGGTCATCATAGGTTAATTTTGTCTGCTTTTGAACTGTATGTAAATGGAATCCTACAGTGTATGTTCTTTTGTGTCGCTCACCACTATGTGTAATTGACTCTCATGTTTCTGCATGTGGCAATGATTCTTCCTTTTTTACTGTTGCATAGTATTCCACTTTTTCCACTTTCCCTATGCTGGGAGGTGGGCCGTTTTTTGGTAGGATTGTCCTCAGTTTCTTCTTCAGTCAGCCTCGGGCTTGGGACAGGATGGATCAAACCCCATTTTGGGGATTGAGCTAAGAATTCAACCAGGATAGCACAAGACAGGCCATCTAGACTAGAAATTGCTAGATGCCCTCTCCTCCAGGCCTGACATCTCCCAGGCCCTGGGCGCCCCTCTCACCCACCTCCCTAACAACAAAGTTCAGGTGCTTGCGCTTGGCCGGGCAGAAGTTCTAGTAAATGCCAAGCCCCAGAGCCCCCGGTGGCCAGCGTGAGGGACGTCGCGGGAAATGAGAGGAGCTGCGGCTAGCCGCCAGGCAGTGACTCTACCACCAAAGAATGTGCTCTTGGCCAGGGTCTCCTTCCTCTCTCTTCTTGGCTCCTTCAGGCGGCCAGGAGTTGGCAGGCCCGGGTGCAGATAACGTCGAGAGCCCCAGGCCCTCTTCTGTCATCGCCTCCCCAACGTGAAACTCAAGATCTTGTTTATTTATGAGGAAATTCTGTTCTGCTGCTCGACAAATGGTGTATGGGGGCCAGGGCACATGGAGCGTGGAGCCGGCCCAGCCAGGCCCCAGCATGCTGCGCCTCTCTGCTGATGCAAGCTCAGAAGGAGAGCTGGCAGCGACTGGAGGGCCGGCCCAGCACTCCCTGGATGCCTCCCCCATCCCTGGATGGGGCCGGGGGTGGGGGAGGAGGGGTCCTTCTTTCTCTCAAGCAGCCAGAAACCCCTTGCCTTCCCTGAGAGGCCACAGGCAGTAACAGCCCGGTGGCTCGTCTGATGAACCTGCTGCAAGGCCAGCGCCAACCCTTCTCTGGGACTTGCTTCTCCCCCTACCTTCCTGGGAAGGAGGAATGAGATGGTGTATGTCAGTAACCAAGGGATGTGAGAGAGAAAATAAAATCTACCAATTTATTTTATGCTAATGTAAACGCACTACATGCCAGGGGTAAACCTGGCATGTAGTGGGTTTACATTAGCATAAAATGAATCAATTCAATTGATTCACCAACATTCAATTCAACTTGCCAACGATGCTACCAGGTAGATATGAGTGTCCTCACTTTTGATGAGGGGCTAAAGTTCAGAGTGATGAAATGACTCATCCAGGAACATAGAACTGGTAAGCATAAGAGATGTGACTCAAACCAGAGCTGGCCCACTCCACGTCTGCCATCTGGATGGGGTTGACTTGAGTAATCACTCAGAAACAGCCAGGGTCCAGCTGCAGCAAACCATAGATGAAATTGTTTTATATCTGACTCTAAATCTCACTCCATCATGCCTCCCTGCCTCTCAAAGTGACATGTCCTTTCATAATACATTCAACGGAGTCCCAAGTTGCAATGCAACATCCACTTCTGGATGAAGATTACCCGTTGTACTCCATCCCCATTTCAGATTAATCTGATTGAAAGACATGGCACTAGCTGAGCCCTCTTATCCAAACAAGGGTCATTTGCTGAGCCCAAATCTTCTGGAAACATTTCATGTGTGTGGGTGGAATTGGTGACTATTGAGCTGTGGTGCAAGCATGTGTTTGTGAAAGTTGCCCTTTCATCTGTGCTGCCAGAGCTATAGACCTAAAACAATAGCGAAACACTTTAAAATGACAGAAGACCAAATATGTCAGCTATGAAGTAAGTATAAATGGGTTAAATGCTTTTATTAAAAGTAAAGACTTTAGCTTCCAAACAACAAACAAGTCATTCTTTTTTTTTTTTTTCTCTACATTTTCAAAATATACCCACACTGAGTCCCAAATCTTCAAGGAGTTACCTCTGTCCTTCCCAGGCTACACAGACTCTTTTTCTTTTTTTTTTTTTTTGAGACAGAGTCTTGCTCTGTCGCCCGGGCTGGAGTGCAGTGGCGCGATCTCGGCTCACTGCAAGCTCCGCCTCCTGGGTTCCCACCATTCTCCTGCCTCAGCCTCCCGAGTAGCTGGGACTACAGGCGCCCGCCACCACGCCTGGCTAATGTTTTTGTATTTTTTAGTAGAGATGTGGTTTCACCGTGGTCTCGATCTCCTGACCTCATGACCCGCCCGCCTTGGCCTCCCAAAGTGCTGGGATTACAGGCGTGAGCCACCACGCCCGGCCCGGCTACACGGACTCTTACATCTCTGATTTCTCCAAAGCTTGCTTGCTTTATTTTTATTATAAAATATTTCAAACATACTTAAAAGTAAAGAAAATAGTGTGACATCCATTGATCTACCACTGAGATTTAATCAACGCTGATGTTTATCATCCTTTGTTTCAGTTTTTATAGTGATAAAAAGGTAAATCACTAACTTGAAGATGATTGTGTATAATTTCCCCACACATTTAATAACTTTTCTATGTATAGATGTAATCACAAACTCTATGTCGAATCATTTTGTGTTTTTAGAATTTATCTAATAATACCATGTTACAGATATGGTATATCCTTCTGCAACTTGCTTTTTTGAGAATTAGATATATTGAGACACATCGATGTATTACATTGATGTGACTTGCCAAACAATGCTCACTGTATACATAAATTACAGATTTTTTGTCCATTTACCCATTGATGGACAACCATTTCTATTTTTTTGCCATCACAAACAGTGCTTTGATGGATGTCTTTATCATAATCCCTTGCAAACTCAAGCTAGTATTTCTCTGTAATTCTCTGGAAGTGGAATTTCTTAGTTGGGCTGGTTTTAACACATCTGATGCCTATAATCTACTCTCCACTTTCCTCTCTATGGATGCAGTTAAAGTGGGCTTCATAAGCAGGATTTGAGTTGAGTCTTGGAACAAGAGAAGTCACAATGCTAGAAAGAAAAGTGAGCAGGATGGCAGGAAGAGGGAGTCACCAAGAGTAAGGGTCACATGGCAATAGGCCCTGTCATGCTCTCTACTGTTAGTTAATCCTGTGGGCTGGAGTGTGTGGGCATCTGTCATTGCAGCTGAGGACATCATATCCTTGGGTTTGTTCTGTTGGCATTATACTCATTCTTGTACCAGCTCCCATTTCAGAGCTGAAAGCCAGTGCTTTCCAATCGCAGCTGTGCATCAGAATCACCTGGGGTTGGGGGAGGGCTTAAAAAATATACAGATTTCTGAGCCTGCACCCGGAGATCCAGGCTCAAGGGTCTGAGACAGGCCCGGAAATCTGTACTTTTAAAAAACCTCCCCAGGGATTCTGAGGCTTCCAGTCTGCGAACCCAGTTTTGGGGGAGGCATTTATCTAAACGACCACGATCCCCATTGGTAAAGCTGGCATTGCCAAGGACGTAACCTCTGGTTATGTGCTTGGAGCTAGAACTGACTTTCTCCAATTATCCCACTGCCCATCACTGTGCACTTGTGAGCAATAGTTTGTGGTCATGGACTTCTCTGAGATGTCTCCACAAATCCCGCCGGTGCTCCTTGTATGAAGTCTTGTTTCCTGTATTGAAGAAACATGGCAGAGTCAGGGAGGGACCGGATTGTGACTCCCTGCCGAAATGAGGCAGAACCTTGCCTTGCCCTTCTTGTTGTCTCCACCAGATGCCTGGCTGGGCCACGGGAGAGCCGAAGACTGTACCCTTGCCCGTAAAATATTGGTAAAATGATAACAATGCAAACAGCACTTTCAATAAGGAGGAAACTGTTATGCTCCCCATTTCACAGCCAAGGAAACTGAGGCATAGCTGGTAAGTGGAGGAGCTGGGATTTAACAAGGTGAACTGGCATCAGTACCCATGATCAGAACCATTCTGCCGGACTCTGCCATCTCCTCACTCTAGAAGGAGGAAGTCTCCCCAAGGCACTGTCTCAAAACGTACCCATGCCTGGTCCCTCCTGTCGTAGGGTAATGTGGGGGTCTCCGGTCTATATGACACCTTTTCTTATCTCAGTCCTTGCATCTAACATACATTGCAGATGTTCATGTGTGAGTCATAAAACTAATATCAACCACAGCTGCCATTGTCTGAGTCCTTACCTTGACTATGTGCCAGACCCGTGAAGAGACAGTTTATATGGGTTATCACGTGCAACACTGACCATCACCACCTGCCAAGCACACATTGCAAGGGGCATCCTAACAGGCCCCCTGTGAGAGGTGAGGTCACTTGGCCCAGGGTCACTTGGCCACTCGGCTCAACTTGGAGAGCCTCTCACTCAGGACCCTGTTCTTTGTTCTTTCTACACTTCTTGTGGCTTCTAGCTCCTTCTTCAGAGTGAGGTCAATGAATCACAATAGCAATAAAAATTCAGCAACAATACAGCTCCTCCCTTGAGAGAAAGGAGCCCTTCCCCAGAACTGGAATGATTACCAGTTCTTTGGACTTTTCTTCCAAGAGCAGAAGGAGCCAGAATGTCTTGACTGTGGCATTTTTTTTTTTTTTTTTTTTTGAGACGGAGTTTCACTCTTGTTGCCCAGGCTGGAGTGCAATGGCGCGATCTCAGCTCACCACAACCTCCACCTCCCAGGTTCAAGCAATTCTGCTGCCTCAGCTTCCCCAGTAGCTGGGATTACAGGCATGCGCCACCACACCAGGCTAATTTTTGTATTTTTAGTAGAGAAGGGGTTTCACCATGTGATCCGCCCACCTCGGCCTCCCAAAGTGCTGGGATTACAGGCGTGAGCCACCATGCCCAGCCTTGACTGTGGCTTTAACCATCTTGTCTGACTCTGAGCTGGTAACTGCAGTGCTTCCTCCCTGCCCACTGCCCACCCCAGGAACATACACCCCCTGGTCTGTTCCCCAATACCAGAGCCATCTCTTTCTTGTGCAAATCTGCTGTTGTCTCCCCTCCTCAGAAGACTTCAGGGGCTCCGTAGCACCCTTTCCCTCTCTGTGTAAGACAGCTGAATGTGCCAGCTCTCAGTACACCGTAACTTGCTAAGACATCGATGCAGCGGATGCCTCATGCCTTCCTTCACAAATCGAGTGAGCCCACCTGGGAGCTGGGGATAAAGAGGTAAATAAGACTAGGAATAGCAAATATCAGGCACAGGATAGCCACTCCCCAATACTGTTGTCACTGGCCATGTGGGGCTATTGAGCACTTGAAATGTAGCTAGTGCTGCTAAGAAACTGTACTTTTAATGTTAAAAATTAATTTAAATGTAATAGCTGGGCCAGGCACAGAGGTTCACGCCTGTAATCCCAGCAGTTTGGAAGGATTGGGAGGTCAGGTGGATCACCTGAGGTCAGGAGTTCAAGACCAGCCTGGCCAACATGTTGAAACCCCATCTCTACTAAAAATACAAAAATTAGCTGGGTGTGGTGGTGAGCGCCTGTAGTCCCAGCTATTCTGGAGGCTGAAGCAGGAGAATCTCCTGAACTCGGGAGGCAGAGGTTGCAGTGAGCAGAGATTGTGCCACTGCACTCCAGCCTGGGCAACAGAGCAAGACTCCATCTCAAAAAATAATAAATAAATAAGTAAATAAATGTAACAGCTGATAATTTCATTATTAAAAAATTTTACATAAGTTTGGGATAACTTAGGTATGTGAATCTACTTTTCCAAATATACATTTTATAAAACCTTAATAGACATCAAGCATTTCTGACAAAAAGTTAGCACATGAATTGAGATGTAAGTATAATATACATGTGGAATTTCAAATGCTCTAGACTGAAGAAAATAATGGAAAATATCTCATTCATAACTTTATACACATTGTAGGTTGAAATGGTAACATTTGAATATATTGTGTTAAAATATATTATTAAAAGTAATTTATCTGTTTATCCATTTTTGAATGCAGCTACTAGAAACTTTTAAATTATATGTGTCTCCCATTAAAATTAGATTGGCCTGTGCTGCTTTAGACAGATCACTCTGGGTGGCCACTACTAATTGATCAGAGGTGGCACATTGAGGTAAAATCTGTTTGCCATCCTTGTAGTGCCTGCTTAGTGGAACTCGCAGGGCAGTCGGAGAGCTGGCCACTATAACGTGGGAAGAGATGCAGAAGGTTTTGCCAGAGCAGAATGTTGGATCGATTCGCTCTGCCTAGCAGAAAGTTTGGGAAAACATTTTACGGGGTGGCATTTGAATGAGGAAGAGCATTCCACGCCAAGAGAACAGCACCAGCAAAGGCAAGAAGGTGAGCACACGCAGAGCTGGTGGCTAGATGGGCAGCTCTTTAATGGGGCTGCAGCCTAGAGCTACGTGGGAGGACGATTTGAAGATGCTTGAACTCTGCTCCTATGTGCTCATGGCTGAGGGCCTCCACTTCATTTATTCCCCTCCTTGTTCCCCTTTCTAACTTCCCAGCCTTTGATGAAGCTGGATACAGAGACTAAAGTGCAGAGAGGAGCAGATACCAAAGCTTTGAAAAACAGAAAAGCCTTCAAATACTGAAAGCAGACACCACAGACAGCTAGGGTGGGAATGAGTTCATTGGTAGGAGTCAAGCTGTAGTGCCCCGTTGAGGCTCATATTTTGGCTCCATGGGTGGCTCATTATTTTTATTCATTGATCCATTTATTCATTCAATGTTTATTAAGCACCTAGTAGGGACAGTGAGTTATGGGGCCTGCAAAGGCAAAGTCCTAACGCTCCGCTGGTTCACAAAGGTTGGGAAGTCAAGACATGCTTATTAAAAATTTAATTAATACTACAAAGGAACATAGGACAAATCTGGTATAAAGTAGGTGCTCGATAAATACTTTCCAAGTCATGCACAAGGATTTTCATTGCACTATTGTTTATAAAAGCATAAACTAGAAATAACTTAAGCTTCCCTCAATAGGGAAGTGGTTAATAAACTATGACATATCACCACTAAGTGTTTCTCTTTTGCTGAGAGGGTGGATGGGTGGATGGATGGATGGATAGATGGATGAATGGATGGACAGATGAAGGATGGGTATAAATTCAGAAGAGGAGAAGAGAAAAAAGGGAAGTAGGAAGGTTAGAGAAAGTGTCACAGAGAAGGCAATGTGAGAGAAAACGTCTGGCACATCGTACATAGTCAGTAGAAAATGAGTCCCCCCAGGGCATCTAGTAAAATAAACCATTCCTACCCAAAGATCCCCAGGACCATCCTTCTGTGCCTGTGAACACGTCTCCTCCACAGCGCCCTGGCTGCACCCCTGTCTCCTATGGCAGCTGCACTGAAACCTTGCGGATGCCAAACTTTCATGGAGATTTCATGGCAACAATGGGGAGAATGGCCCTCTCCCTCTTTGAGTCCTACAGCAGGGCTTCCTGGGCCCAGTGTATTACAGAACTTCCCATTCTACCCACACAGCCTGCTGCTAGCTTGTTGCTGAACCCAGATATGAAGCCACGGACTTGGGCTGGGGACAAATCCAAGGAGTCATACCTGTGCCCTTCTTGGGACCTCCCAGGTCAGCCCTCTATGCCCAACTCCTTCTTAAGTTCTTATTCTCTCCAGGAAACTCCTCATCGCTCCTGTACGTCATGTCTGGTGGGTCCGTACGCCCAGTTCAGCAGACCTGCTCAAAGGCATGTCTGATTTCCATGCGTATTGAGTCAGTCCTACCCCTACATCCACCTGCTGCCCTGCCACATGCACACGTGTGTGTACACGCATGCTCGCTCGTGTGATTTAATCAGCAAACTGACGTTTGGGGATTGGTGAAAGGAATGGTCCTTAAGATGAAACTCTCCTTGCACTAAGAAGACACCCTAAGCAGCTCCCTCCTACCTCTGCTTCTCACAAAGAAAGGACCGTCTCTTCCCTGTGCAAGCACCCTAACCAGATTCCACAGGGAAGGGGGTTCCTCTGCCTTGTGACTGCCCCTACCCCCCTCTCCACTAACAAAGAGGACAAAGCCAGGCACACCTCCCCTTCCTGTCCACTAAGTACAGGTTTGCTGCCTCCTACATGAGCCTCATCTTACTCAACTATTTGCAGCCTCTGAGCTCAGGGGAGCCATGACAATTCTGAGCTTTGACCTGCCGAAAGATTCTCAACAGACATCAAATTGCTATATTCTCACCTTGACACTGAGAGGTGCCAAAGGGAAGATTTTCATGCCTGTTTCATAAGCGAAGACCCCGAGGCCTTGGCTGTGAAGCTTGTGCCTAAAGACATAGTAGAGACCGTCAGAGTGTGTTCCTGGGGTTACCCGCACCTGCTTATCGCTGAGACTATGAAGACCCACCTCTTAAGGATCGGGGCAGGGCTGGTTTTCTGAAGGCTGAGGATTGTAGTGGAAAGAGCACTGGCTTTGGAGCCAGCTAAGCCTGGGTCCAAATCCTGCCTCTAGCACCAGTTCCTGGGTGGCCATACCCTCACCACCACCACACCCGCAAATATAATACCTGAGAGGGGGCAAGGATGTCATCAGAAAATACCTTAGGGAGCAACTCAAACACCAGGTTAAAAAAAAAAAGCCACACACCTAGATATGTGCAAAAAGCTGTTTTTTTGTGTTAGCATCAGAGATCACATAGTACCCAGAATTCCAAAGGAGAACCATTGCCAGGAAGGCTGTGGGAGCTCCTAGTTTGACCATTAGGACTCAAAAGTTGTAATGAACTATAGGTAACTTGGGGCTACCAAACATTTATTTATCCTCTGTATGAGTACCCTAAATCCCTCAGAGAATCACCACTCCCCCTTTGCATGGAGTCTTGGTGGAAACCCAGGGGCTGGCTAACCATTAAGAAAGCCAACGGACTATATCCTTTATTTTGTAGGCCTGGTATGGTAGGAGGCAAGTATATGACAGCCAGAGGGAACCTCCTTCTAAAACTTTGCATCTTCATACCACAGAAAAGGGAGAATGGCAAGAGGACACTCATCATTGCAGCAGTGGCTGACTTTATAGGACCTGCAGCAAGATGGTTGCTATGGTTCCTGGAGATGCCTGAGATGCCAGACAACCTTCTTTTCTAAGCCTGCTCCTCCTACATCCCACCAATTTTGTGGTTCTTCAGCATCCTTCCAATGGCTACCCAGCCAGCACTGTTATCCAGTCCTGGTTTCTGTTGCTTGCAGTCACCGAGCTCTGAGAGAGTGGCAGACATAGAGTAGGCATCCAGTAAGTATTTGTTGAATGAATGCAGGAATGAATGAGAAAATTAATGCAGGTGTAATGCATGTGTGCATGAATGAATGAACATAACAATGAACGAACAAAGGAAGCTCCTGCCTGTCTGTCTATGTGCTTATCTTCCCACACTCTCTGTCAACAGCTGCAAGGAGCTTTCTTTGGCTGCCTTGATGTTCCAGGCTCCCTCCCTCTATAGGGACTTGGCATGTGCTGTACCCTCTCCTGAGATGATCATTCCTCCACTTACTTTTTTTTTTTTTTTTTTTTTGAGACAAGATCTTGCTCTGTTGCCCAGGCTGGAACACAGTGTCTCAATCATGGCTCACTGCAGCCTCGACCTACTTGGCTCAAGTGATCCTCCCACTTCAGCCTCCTGTGTAGTGGAAACTACAGATGCATACCACCATGCCTGGCTAATTTTTTTATTTTTCATTTTTTGTAGAGACGGGGTCTTGCCATGTTACCCAGGCTGCTACCGAATTCTTGGGCTCAAGCGATCCTCCTGCCTCAGCCTCCTGAAGTGCTGGGATTACAGGCATGAGCCACTGTGCCTGGCTTTCCCTTTACCTTAATAACTGTTCATCTTCATACTCAATCATATACCTAGAGAAGCCCCTGACCTCCCAAAGTCCCACCAGATTAAGCCTTGTTACAGTCTTCCTCCTAGACCACTGGTGTTTTCCGTCAAATCGTCTATCTCAGTAGATTCAACACCTTTTTGTGCCATTATTTCATTAATGCGTAAATCTGCCAAGACTCTAATCTCCAGGAAGGCAAGGACAATGCCTGCTTTACTTAACGCTGTATCTTCAGACCTAGCCCAGTGCTTTGAGGCAGCAAGTATTCAATAAATATTTGGTACCTAAATAATGAAAGTGTGTGCCCCTTTGAAGGAGAGGACAGGAGATCCTGACCTGAATAAGCAGCGAGTAAATGCCTGTTAGTGAATTTAACTTGGCAGCTCAATCCCATGCACGGGGTCAGTTCTTGGAGATTAGTTGAGGAGCACTCAGACAGCCTGAGATGGAGATGAGGGAGGGAAGTGGTCATAAGAAACCTGGAAAGAGAGTGGCTCAGTGGGGAGGCAGGCGGTGGTCAAGAGCTAGCTTCTTCCTCTGCTCTTGGCCATGGGCTGGGCTGGAACCCAGGCGTCCTGGCACTCAGGATGCTGCCTGCTCTCTCAGTCATTAGGAAGTTTGCTCTGAAGATTAAAGAGACTCTGCCTCCCCCCACCCCCAGAAAGCAAGGAGAGTCCACAGGAAAACAGCTCCTTAACCCTCTTTGCTGGATCCCTGGAGAATCATCTGTCCAGTTCTACCGTGTCTGAGAGGGGCCTCCAAGTGGAAAAGGGCCCCATGGTCTGGTCTACTGCCTTACTTTTGGGGTCACAAACACGTAAGCAGAACCCCAAGGCCCAGGGTCTGGGCACCTGCCTGGCTCCCCATAGCCTCCTCTCCCAGCTGGGTGACTCATCTCTTCATGGACCTTGGCACCTCTGGTTGGCATCAGGAGCAGTTGATGAAGTCACATGCTCCTGAAAACCAATCCCTCAAATGACAGAGGAGGAGGGGGCAGTCCCAGGGAGTGGGAGCGGAGACAAGGAGAAAAACCAGGGTTCTAAATATTTTAAAATTTTAAAAGAAAATGAGCGAATTCAAGTTGGCTGCTAGTAATTTACAATGACGAGGCTGTTTTTACTCTGGTACCTCATAAATAACTTTTGATTTAAAGTTTCCAAAGAATTGACAGAGCACTTCAAACGACCTCATCGGAGAGGGAATGAGCTTCTCCCTCCATGCCCTGCCCGCTCAGGTGAGGACTGAGATCAGTAGCTGGAGGGGTTCATCAGGGGTGTAGCCCGACTGGCAACTGACAGGCTTACTGACTGACTGAGGAGCTAACCGGCCAGCAAGCTCATGGAGAGACTGACCCATGGGCTGACAGGTTGGTGAAATAACCAAGGGATGGTTGAGCCAATGGCATGGTTGATACACCAATGAAGGGACTGACTGTCCAATAGATGGACAGTTGGACTAATGGCCAGCCAGCAGACCAACGGATTGACCGATGGATCGGTTTGTCAGTGAGTCAGTGGATCGTAAGGCTAACCTGTCTGCCTCCCCCAAATCTGGTTAGCCAGCTGACCTACAGACCAACAGGCTGATGAACCAACCTTCCCAGACACTAACAGGAGAATATGGAAAGGAGGGGGTCATCTAGCAGATGGACAGGGCAAGCAACCATTGACCTACACACATATCAGAAAGAATTCAGATTGCCAGGACTACACACAGCGAGGAATGCTCCCAAAAGAAGATTACATGCAGATGCAAAAAAAGATTAAAAACTAAACTAGACTAAAATGCTTACTATATGGTAGGGAATGGAGAGGACCCTGGTGATCATGTTGGAGGTAACCTGACATTGTTGACATCCAGAGTTGCATAAAGAGGCTGGCAGATTCCAACACAATGTCAAGATGTGGTTTTTGCTATTGAGGTCTCCCTTATGGGTTGAATCAAATAAGCAAATGAGCAAGTGAGCTCAGCAATGGCCTCTCTTTAACATTCTTCTGAGCCTTTCTCTATGTTCCCATCATGAACACAGCAGACTCATTCATTCTCCTAAGGTCATAGATTTGGGGTCATAAAATGAAGTCACAGTGGTGTTCTGGTTACAGGATTATGGGTGATTATTTTTTCTTTCATTTTCTAATTATATCTTATAGTGGAGCTGTATTATTTTGTAATAAAAAAATTCACACATAATTTTAGAAGGAAAAATAAAAACTAATTTGGACCCTTCTTCTCATTTGCTCCATACCCAAAAAAGATTTCTTGATTTATGGATCCGAGGAGTCTTCAAGACTCGCCTCACCTTACCTTTCATGTCAAAATGGTTTATTGAATACCTACCAGTCCTTTCTCTCTTTTTCCTGGATTACTAGAACAGGCTTTGCAGCCTCTCCTTGCTCAAGTCTGTCCTTCATGCAGATGCTAAAAGAATTTCCACTATATTTTTCCTTCTTAAGAATTTCCAGGGGCTGCCAGGTACCTGTTTAATTCTCAACTTAAACTTTTTAGAATTTAACTTTTTAAATTCTGAACTAGAATCAGTGGACTTTGGATAACTGTGTCCTCTCCTTGCACACCTCTCCCCATATCCACATGCACACATGCACACACAAGCACACGCACACAGACCCGACCGACCTCCCCATTCCAACTTCTTATGATGCCCAGTGCTTACCTGAATTCTTGGTTCAGTTACACATCTCACAGTTTTCTCTCAAGCCAGAATGGAAATCCCACACCCAACATGTGGCCACCATCACTCTGATAAACTTATCCAACTATCCATCAAAAAGTACTCACTAAACACTCAGTATTTGACCACCATTGTAGGCATTATGGAATCTCCAAGAAGGGCAGAGAGAAGAGTGCTGATATTTATTGAGTGCTTAGTATATCAAACATTGAATTCACATAGGTGATCTTTTGGTGTCCTCAGTAAAGTATTTTCCCCATTTCAAGGATGAGAAAACTGAAACACAGAAAGGTCAAACTAAGGTCACATCGCTAGGAAGCAACAGCTGAAGCTAACTCCGGTGCCTTTGCTTTCTCATCTGGTTGGGAAAGCCAGACCATGTTTTCCACACACTCATCCACTCGCATATTCATTCATTCACTCACTCATGAATGCATTCATTTAGCAAGCATTTATTGAGAATCTATTCTATACCAGGACAATACCATATGCTGAGAATATAATGGTGAATAAGACAGTGATGATCCATATTTTCATGGAGCTTACTGTTTAGTAAAGGAGATAGACCAAAAATAAAAATCTATCTATCTATCTATCTATCTATCTATCTATCTATCTATCTATCTATCTACCTATCTATCTATCATCTATCTATCTACCATCTATACACCAATTTTCAATGAGGAAGGAACCAACAGGTAGAGAATAACATGGACAAATGATCTTAGATTTTATAACATCTATCATTTATATTGCTTTACAGTTTTAAAAGCCCCTTAGAAACTTTATGTGGAACCAGTTCTTAAAAGGCAAGATTCTATAGGTAAATTGAAGGGCAACATAAATTATGAGTGCAGACACCTGGAACCAAGTCTGGAGTATGCAAAGCTGTTCTTTCTGTAGCATCATAAACAGGGTCACAATTGAACAAAGGAAAAAGCACAGGTTTGAGACTAGCAGGGCAGTCTTCAAAGGCATGATGAGACTTAGAATTGAATGAGGGCTGGAGGTGGACCAAGAGGGAAGGAAACAAATGCAGCATAGGTCTCTAGGACTGAATTGAGGCGTGCTCATCCAAAACCTTCTTGGAAGATCCCAGGTGTGTGAAGATATAAAGGCTTCTCCAAATAGATAGAACCACCAAGGAGTCTGAAAAAAAAAAAAAAGTTTGAAAATAGGATTCTCAATAATGCCAAGGTCAAATTATTTCTGACTTGAGACAATCAAAATAAAATTATAAGTTGCTTATAAGATTTGCAAACATGACCAACAACATGCTCTGGGATTTTGGAAAGATGAAGAAAAGCAAGCACCTAGTTATGTTGAGACTTGTGCTACTCGGCACAGATGAGGGCAAGAACCACAAACAGTCCTGCATGGGCCCAGAAGCTTCCCCTTGTGGAGCTGGGATTCTGAGCCCATCTGTATCTTTCACGTATCTTCCAGCTGCTAGTTCATGACCTGCTGCGAGGCTCACTTCCTTCTGTAAAGTCCTGGCAAGAACACAGGCTTAGGGATTCCCAGCCTGAATCTGCCACTGACACACTATGTGGTCTTGGGCAGGGTCCCCAGACTCTCTGTGCTTCTGTTTTCTGCAAAATGAGAAGAATCATAACTACCTTTTGGGCTTGTCATGAGAACCAAGTTTGTTGTTTTCCGCTCTGTGGTAGATGTTGGCTGTTCTCATCTACTCAGCGTCTCTCTCCTCTTCTGTCAAGAACCTCCGCCTTGCCCTTGGAGAACTGCTCCTTCCCCGTTCTCAGACCATGTTGATTTAGGTGGGGTTGACTCCACCTCCAGGTTTCCAGGATGGATACATGATATGGCTTGGCATGTGACCCAAGTATTATATAATACGTTATATAATACATTCAATAAAATGCAGTCCTAGGGCTTGTATTTAAGCTGTTGGGCAGGAGTTCTCTTTTTGTTAAGGTGCTGAGCTGGTGAGAGGTAGTCCTGAAGCTGGGCCGCCATCCTACCATCACAAGGGCAGAGCCTGCCTGAAGGTGGATTCAAACTGAAAGAGAATAAATTTAAGAAATGTAAAGAGATTAGCTGGGCAGCTGGATTCAGCCATACCTGAAGCCATTTACTCCTATTAGTAAGTTCCTTTGTTCATTTATTAAGACAGATTGAGTTAGTGTCTGTCCTTGCCATCTAAAGAGTCCTGACTAACGTGCTATCCTAGGAAGAGATCTCCATGGACTGAGATACTGGTTAACACGTTGGGCAGTTTGTAGTCTCCAAGAATCCTGTCTACATGGGTTGGTAGGGGCTGGGGAAGAGACGCAAGGACTCAGGATCTTGACACTGCCCAGGAAGGGAAGCTAACAATATGAAAGAAGAAAATGGGCTCCAAAGTCTAAAAGTGCCAGATTGAAATAATTTCTACCATCTAGTAAGACCTATGACATGCCAGATATACTAAAAACATACTCATTTATTCAATGTGTATTTCACAGGGTCTACTGTGCGCCAGGCACTGTTCTAGAGAGCTTCCATTCTACTGGGAGAGCTGAGCCTAACTCTGCCAGGTAAGTACAATGAATCCCATTTTACAGATGAGAAAAGTCACAGCTCTGGACAAGGGTAGATTCAAGATTCTAACTTGGGTCTGTCTGACTTCAAAGCCCATGCCTTTGTCATCACTCCAGGCCACACTTTTTGTAAACTCTGCTCTCTGGAAACATTGCCTGATTCACATCTTTGCCTGAGATGGAAATCGGGGAGTTGGGGCCCCCATACTCAGCCTCTGGTTCAAGAGTCAGGACCCACAGCGTCTCATGAGGCGCTTGGCCATGTTTATGTTGCTCATCAGACAGGCCTGAGTGTGTCTGCCCAAATGGACTGTGAGTTGCGTGATGGAGTTTGGCGGTTTTGTCTGAGGATCCTCCGACAGCCAGAGGAACTGGCAGAGGGCTAAATTTGGCTACCCCGCCCAGCCTGTGGCTTCTCAGTTCTCCCAGAACCCTATGTTTAAATGTACCCCATCTATCCCACCTCACCCCCATTTTGGGGAGACACCATTGCTAAGATCACTGCAGTGGTAGCTTGAGAAAACAGCTTCACTCTTCTGTGCCTCCTTTTCCCCACCTGAAAAGTGGGAAAAACAGGACTCCCCTCATAGGCTTGCTACAGGAACTAGACAGATAAATGGAATGTCTACATGTTCCTAGAACTACATCTAGCTACAGTAGGCTTTTTTTTTTTTTTTTTTTTTTTTTTTTTGAGATGGAATCTGGCTCTGTCGCCCAGGCTGGAGTGCAGTGGTGCAATCTCAGCTCGCTGCAGCCTCCACCTCCCAGGTTCAAGCCATTCTCCTGTCTCAGCCTCCCGAGTAGCTGGGATTACAGGTGTGTGCCACCACGCCCAGCTGATTTTTGTATTTTGAGTAGAAACGGGGTTTCACCATGTTGGCCAGGCTGGTCTCAAACTCCTGGCCTCAAGCCATTCACCCATCTCGGCCTCCCAAAAGGCTGGGATTACAGGTGTGAGCCACTGTGCCTGGCCATACAGTAGGTCTTTGATTAGCCTGAGTTATCTTTCTTGCCCACAGCAGCCCTCTCCCCTGTGGCTGCCTGGCTCACCTGGACATCCCCCTCCACCCACCAGCTCAGCCACCCACCCCCCAGTCTAGCTCTAATGACTTTTGCAGCCCATCTCTGGTGGCAGTAGCTGAGAGGCTGGAGACTCCCAGGGTCCCGGGGCTCTTTCATCAGCCTCTGTGAGGGCTGTAAGTGATTCAGCCTGCAAGTGATTCGGCACCGGGCACAACAACAAACAGGCCTGCGGGGAATCACTTCAGCAGAGAGATCTTGGCACATCTCTATAGCAACTCAGGGAAAATATTTCACGCAAAAGTCCATCTGCTGTAACATAAAGGGAGTCCCAGCCAATAATCCAATTATAACGAGTTATAAATTAATCCTAATTTGCAAGCTTTATTTTACCAAACCACAAAATACACACACACACACACACACGCCTCTATATATTTACACACACTGTATATATTCTTATACATGTGCACACACATGTGTGTGCAGTCAGGAGGCAATAGCAATGCAATTGTGGCTTGTTTGTCTCATCTCATGGTGCTGACTAATCAGCAGGCAGAACATTCATCCGGAGGCTGAATGATTGACCCAAGCAAGTAGACAGCAGTGACCTCCAAGGCCACTGTGAAAAGGAGAGACAAACTCACTATGTTACCTAGAGCTATCCTGCAAGCCAGGGCTGAAATCTTTTTGTTAGTTGTGTCGGTTTCTCTTAAGGAAAAAAAAAAATGTATCTTTTTGTTTCCAATGTCTTTATAAAGAGACATTTGTATTGATTCATCGGTATAAAATGCTTTGTAGAGGCTATCAAAGTGGAAAAAACAACGTGATAATTCGCATTGTGATGCTTTTAATTTTATGTGTTGTCAACACTTCAAAGCGCGCCGGAGTTCTGTGTGGGAGATCTGGGATGTCTCTCTTTGCACGTCGTATCTGGGCTGCAACTGTCTGCAACTCTAGAGCCTCTTGCATGACGCCCATTCTGGCTTCAGATCTCTCCTCTTTTTCTTTTTTTCATTCTCTGCTTTCTACGTCTGCTCTGCAAAACTCATGTGGCCTGGAAAAAGAAAAAGGGTGGTGGTGAGTGGGAGGGAGCAGGGTTAAGTGAGAGCAAGATGTATAGCATCTTCTCCCTCTTAGACAAAGAAACAGTTGGCTTCCCAGCCAAGAACCTCCCATGGCATCTCAGGGAGAGCAGCTGGAAACTGAGCCATCAAAGAAGAGTCATGACTATTTGTCACCATCCCTCGAGCTAAGCACTGTGCCAAGGGCTTGCATTATGCCACTTAATCCTGACCTCAACCCCTTGAGAAAGAGGGCATTCCCTTGAGGAAGAGGGCATTTTACCTGCATTTTCTTTTATATTTTATTCATAACCGGGGCCCAGAGAGGTGGATGAATTGCTCAAGGTTCCCCAGCTGGGAAGCTGTATAACCAGAATTCATAATCAGTTTTGGCTGATTGTACTGCCTGGACTGCTTCTGCATACCTAGAAAGACACAAAAAGGCTGTCCCTAAGAGAGCGATCTCCAACAGTTGACTTCCACCTCCGAAAGTTAAGTCAGAAAGCTGCATTGGGTCCCCAGTATGAACCCAGATGTGCACTGGACTGCAAGCACATTCATTGTCCACTCTGAACCTCACAACATTCCAAGGGAGATAGGGTAACCCCCATTTCACAGATGAGCACGTAGAGACTCAGAGAGCTCAAGACACTTTCCCAGGGTAACACAGTAGAGAAGCCAGACCTCAAAGCCCATGACCCACTGAGCCCCCGGTGCCTGTTTCCCTCTGGATAGCTGTCCCCTAGGCTCGATGGTAAGCTTCTGCAGGCCGAGGGGGGCTGGTCACACACATCTGCGCCATCCGTGGGGCTGAGTGCAGATTTGGCCGGCTTTCTTAGAGCATGTCGACTTGATGAAACGCAGCAGGGGCGGGGCCCAGGCAGAAGGGTCAGGAAGGGGAAGAGGGCAGGAACACCCTGTTACCAGATCTGGAGAAGAAATGGAAAGTGAAATACTTGGAAAATAACTTCGGCCTGCCTGGAGGAAAGTGTGTCGGGATGTTTCCAAAGGCCTGGATGAGCAAGGCTTTTCCCCACCCACTCCCACACCTCACTAGAGGGGCAGGGGCGTGTGCAAAAGAGGCTGCTTCTGGCCTGAGTCCCTGGAGTTCAGGTCACTTCCAGGGACAGTCTCTGAAGAGCCATGCGATGTTCCCCCTGAGGCCCCTGAACCTGCAAGGAAGGCCCTGAGGCTCCCTGACACTGCCCTGCCCTCCTGGAAGGGCAGGAGCTTCAGCTGCAGCATCTTAGGTCCCCACCATCCAAATCTTTCCCTGGGGACCCAGAAAGGCCCTCCCAGCCAGGGTGACTCTATTTGGAATCAGCATCGGACCTGTTGAGTTGGGGCCTTGGAATAGGGAGCTTGCAGCTGCACAAGAGGCCACGATCCATCCACTAAGTACATTTGCAAGAACAGCCCCACAGTGGCCTCCATTTCAGGCATCATTAGGGATGAGCCCATCAGGAAATTTGACTCAACAGACCAGACCCCTAGTATGGTCAATTTTTCTCTCCTTTCTTCCTTTCCTTTCCTTTTCGTTTCCTTTTCTTCTTCTTCCTTCCTTCCTTCCTTCCTTCCTTCCTTCCTTCCTTCCTTCCTTCCTCTATCTCTCTTTTTCTCACTTATTTTCTCCCCTAAGCACTTGAAGAAAGAGAACTCCCTTTCAAAGGCCAGCCTGTAGCAGCCTTTCCCATGGCTGGGTTTCCAGTGCTAAGCTGCTCCCTCTAAGCTGCTCTGTGGCACATGAGGGAGGGAGCTGTGTCCGGGGGAACAAATATCCCAGTACTCCCGCCTGTATGCCGAGAGACCATTCCAGGATCTCTCAGACTTGCTGGGAATCCACCCTCTGGGAGGGTGAGCCAAAGGCAGGGCCTCCGCTGACCTCTGCCCTCCCTTAGCCTGGCCAGAAAGAACAGTCCAGAGCACCGCAGGAAGCCCTTTGGTTGAGCAAAGCAAAAACTCGCATGCAAGCCCAGGAAAGCCCAAGCCAGGTCTTTCACATGGGGGATTTGGCTGCAGTTAACAGAGGCGTGGAGAGGCAGTGAAGCTGAACGCCCTTCACTCACCCACCCCCAGCTCCCCCCAGCCTTGGCCTCGGTCATCTCTGAATTCTCAGCCAGGTTCTGTCACCAAAAGTTGCCCTCAAGTGGCAGAAAGACATGCACCCTGGAGTCGGAGGGCACACTCCCGTGGGAGGCCCTGGAGTGTAGCAGCTAAGAGCTTGGAGTCCAACAGATCTTGCTTTGAATCCCACATCTGCCACTGACCATCTGTGGGAGTATTTATTCCAACTCAGGAGCCTCCGTTTCCCTAGCTGTAAAATGGGGATAATAACATCCCCCGTTTTGTACAGTTTGGGTTGGTGGTAACAACATCACCCGTGTTGTGCAGTTTGAGTAAGAGGAAAATGAAGCAATACACGTGAAGCACTTAGACCTTTGCATCCTGTGCCTGGCACAGAACAAGTGTTCCCAAAATGATAATTATCATATTTTGCGCTTGTTCCTACATCCAGATCCTCCATGTGCTGCGTGTGCACGCACACTCACATACACACGCGCACAGTCAGTCCAGGAGCACCCTGAGGGTCCAGGCTGCCTCTCTGCATCATCATAGAATGTGAGAGTTGGAGAGGATGTTGGAAAATATCTGAGGCCAGACAGGGGATGTGTCCTGGCCGTAGTCACTGACCGGTATGTGGCAGAGTGGGGCTGAAATGCAGTTCTTATTTAGTTAGATTTCCTCTCCTCATTTATTATGTATCCAACAAACATTTATGCTGACCACCCCCTCTGTGCCAGACCCTGGCTGAGCTGGGCTTCAAGGTGAGCAAGATGGCACCTGCATTCCCAGATCCTGCAGCCAGCAGCTTCCGGCCCATTGGGCAGCTCTGTGGCTCTCTAAACTCCCGTCCTGTGCATAATCAGAATCTCAAATACCCCAAATGCTTGGGCAGCTTTGTCTTTGTCTCAGGTCTAAATCTCCTTTCCCTTGGTGATGGTAGGCTCTTTGAGGGCTCTCTCTGCTCGTTCTGGGTAGGGGGCTCCCATGTGGCAGCCTGGACTGCACTGAGACGTACCCATCCGCACGGGGATCTGTCTCTCCCCACAGACCAGGAGATCCTGCAGGCAGAGGTCTCCACTTAGCCAAAGCAGTGCCTGGCATGGAGCTGACTCTGTAAATGGTGGTTGAATGAATGATGAATGAATGACTGCTCAGGGAAAAGAAGGTCGGTAATTCACTTATTCACTGACAATGCATTTATCATGAATTTATCTGTGCCAGGCTCCTTGAGACCCTGGGATACAGAAATGAATGGGCCATCATCCCTGCCCTCAAGGAGGCCCAGTAAACAAACATGAGCGGTGATAGCCATGCATGCAGGGGCCAATGGGGTAGGAAAAGGTGAGGTCAGTTCTTCTGGGCAGTGGGGAATCAGCAGGAAAGACACGGAGTGACACTAGGACAGGGCTGAGCAGGCAAGGCTGCCAGGTAAGCAGGGAGAGAGCAGGCTTTCTGAGCAGAGGGACAGACATGGGCAAAGGTTCTGAGGGGTGATGTACTCTGGGAAACATCAGCCTTACCATTTCACTCCATTTACCACAACAGTAAGAACAACAATAAGAGCAAATATTTGTGGGATGCTTTGCTCCAAGCACTGTCTTAAAGCTTTGTAAGGGTTAACTCAGTAATACGCCCACCTTAGTGTGTCTCTAGTCTCATTTTTCGAAGAGAAAACTGAGGCACAAAGAAGGGAAGGAATTTGTCCAACGTCTCACAGATTTTTAGTGGTAGAGCTTGTTGTCAAAGAGACGTTAAGGCTAGAGGTGCCAGCACTGACCCGGCCACAGAGAGCCTTAAATATTGAGTAAAGATGCTGGACTCTACCCTCGTGCTGGAGGAGAGCCACTAAAGGATTTTGAGCAGGGGAATGTCGTGATGTGATTTTCATTTTTGATCATTTCTTCTGGGATAGTCAGGGGAATTGACTCAAGGTTTCTAGTAGCTGTGAGGTTAGAGAGGACCAGGAATCTCTTGCACACATTCGATAGAGGACAGGTATAAAAAAAGTTCACGGAGCGATTTTCACAATATCAAAAACACAAATGCCCATCAATAGCAAAGTGGACCAATAAACCATATGTACACTGTGGAATATTACACAGCCATGAAAATGAATGAGCCATAGCAGCATGCAACAAAAGACTGAATCTTGGTGTAACAGCTGGTGATTGCTGTGTAACAAACCACTCCAAACTTAATAGCTTAAACAATTACTTATTTGATTCAGAATTCAGTGGGTAGGTATTCTAGGCTGGGCTCAGCTGGACAGTTCTGGTTTTGGCTGGGCTTCCTCATGAGTCCAGGGTCAGCAGAGAGTCAGCTAGGGGGCACTGCTTCTGAGAGTTGACTGGTTGTTGGCTGAGACAATGGTGGCAATTGGGCCACATGTCAGTCCTCATCCAGCAAGCCAGCCCAGACTTGTTCAAAAGTTTCCAGGAAAATATGGAAGAGCACAGATCCTCCAAAGGCTTAAGCTCAGAACTGGCACAATTCCACTTCCACCGTATTATATTAGTCAAAACATACATCAGCCCAGCCCAGATTTGAGAGGTGGGGAAATAGACTCCACCTCTTGATGGAAGGAACTTCGAAGTCATGTTGCAAAAGGGATGTGGAGGCGGGAAGAGGAATAATTGCAGCCATATTTGGAAATGATCTACTACACTTGCAAAAAGTAAATTCCAAAAGATTACATACAGAATACCCATTTATAAAATTAGACTTTAGGAGTACAGATACATAAAGTAAGATTTTATCAACAGGAAGCAACAGAGCAATAGACACAAGACATAGGATGATGGCTCCCTCGGAAGGCGGAGGGCAAGGAGATGGGGTGGAGAATCATGCATGGTGAACGCAGGTTATTGTCATGGTTCTAGCTTTTGTTTTGTTATTAAAAAATAAGGAAATTTAAAAAGCAAGCCATTTGAAAACTGGATTATAATTAGTTGGATTGTATATACTTCAGGTCCAGAAAAGGAGAGGGAGATTGAGAGAGAGAAACAGTCCAATGGAAGTGCACAAAGAGTCAGGTTGTCAGGATATGGCACATGCCACATCTTAGATGTGGATGGAGAGGGAGAAAGAGGAACAAGGATCACTTCTGAAACACCCGCTTGGGGGACTAGGTGGTAGTACCATCCCTAAGCCAGGAACCCCACAGAGGAAGACAGTTTGGAAGAACAAAGAGTCGTGTTGGGGAATACTGTGTTTACAATGCCTGTGAAGACCCACAGATCAAGGTCCAGTGGCTGCTCTTCTTTCCAGAGCTTTGGGGAATGGTCAGGACTGGAGAAGCAGGAGCCCCAGCAGACCTGAAATGGAGACCATCCCAGAAAATCCTGTTTGATATCAGCATGGAAAGCCTCCCTTCCGCTGAGAGCCACCACCAGCCCCTTCCTGACAGCTCCTTGGGGCATGTCCACAGCCAGGTTTCCCTTCTAAGCAATCAGGCCTCCACCCTGGAGTCCCAGGCCAAGCGAGTAGGCTTGGGGTTGTGGCTGAGGGGGCCCCAATAGCAGCCTCCTCCCTCCAGCAGGGCCAATGGGACCCCAGAGGGGGCTGGATGTTTGTGCAGATGACATGTTTATGGCCCAACCTCTCCTTACTCATGCTTTTGGCTTTCCCTCGCTGATTTTGGTTGGGTGGATCCCAGTTCTGCTGCTGGGTTTGGGAGCCTTGGGGCTGGGGCTGAACAGAGGTTCCTTTAACTGTTCCAACCCACGATGATTCCAGCCCCTTCCCCCTCTCCCCCAAGACCTCATCTTTTCCCACACCCAACCTTATTACCAAATGCTGGCCTCTCAGAGCTGGAAGGGGCCTCCGGCATCCTCTTGTCCAATGCCTCCTCACGTAGATGAAGAAACTGAGGCCCAGAGACAAGAAGGGACTTGCCCAAGGTCATCCAAGCAGGTAGAGACAGAAGAGCCTGCATCCTGACTTCCAGCTTGGAGCCCTGAAGCCATCCTCCCACCACCAACTTCCTTGGTTGCTGTTTTGTTTGGGAAAGGACAGTTCAGCTTTTTCAAGCCTGCAGCAGTAACTCTCTCCCCTCCCAGGGAGGCAGCAGACAGTGACGGACTCTCTGCTTTTACACTTTAATTCCATAGGAAATTGGAAATTGCCTGTCAGAGGTGTCCGGGTGGCCCGGCTGCCGGCCACCCCACACAGACCCAGGCTGCCCCGCCCCGACCTGGCCGCCAGCACGCCCGCTTCTCCCTGCTCCCTGGCAGGGGGGCCCTTTTCGGAAGCTCTCCTGAGGGCTCCTGTGGAATCTCTCCCTGCTCTTCCTTCCAGGGCAGGAGGATAGAGCTCGGTATAGGGCAGCCAGGCCTGGCTGGGGCCCGAAACCCTGACATTTAGTCGCACTGTTTTCCATTCCGGGCTCTCGGGAGTCTCTGGCCCATAGTGGCAGCTTGGCTTCAGCATTGCTTCCTGCCCTGAGGTCACAGCGAAATTGGGGGACCCCTCTTCTGGGGGTCTGGGGTATCCAGGTTCCCTAAAAGCCTCTACATTGCCCTCCCAGTGCTTGTCACCATCTCAGGGTTTCTGAGACTGCAGTGGGTCACACTTCTTCCCTTCTCTGGGTATCCCCTGCATTTGGGATCCTATGGTGGCATCTCTATCTTGTCTCAAAAACCAGCCCGGAAGCTTCTGGAGGTCAGTGTTCCTGTTGCATAGTAGTTAGAGGTGAGAATCTCTGGCATCACAGTGCCTGGACTGAACCCCAGAGTCACCACTTTTGAACTTTGTGACTTTGGACAAATTGCCCACCCCTCCATGCCTTTGTTTTCTCATCTCCAAAATGGGAATGCTAATAATAGCACCAAATGTGCAGGGTTGTGTGAAGGTTACATGGGACAGCGCAAGTGAAGCACTTGATAAATGTGAGCACTGTTCATATTCTATTTCAGCAGCCTCTCATCTGACCCTGCATTTCGGCCCAGACCTAGGCTATGAGAGATAGTAAGTACTCATGAGCTGACCTCTTAAACAACTGGCAGGATATATAGCAGAACAAGCAGTCTGTAGCTTCCTGGGTCCTATTCAATGCAATGAGCATTGATGGAGTGCTTGTTATGTGTAGACACTGTGCTTGGTGCTAGAGGCTCAAGGGTGTGCAAGATGGACAATCTCTGCCCTCCCACAGCTTTCATTCTAGTAGGGAAGCAAATGCTGGAGCAATCCCAGCCCAGTGAGCCAGGTGATGAGCTGGAAGCAAGCTCGGGGCCTGCAGGTCCAGAGGAGGCATGGAAAAGAGGTCACTCTGCGGCTTTGACCTTATGGATGAGCAGACATGAGTGAGTGTGAGTGTGTGTGTGTGTGTGTGTGCGTGTGTGTGTGTGTGTGAACAATGTGGAAAAGTATATAGCAATGCATATATGCTTGATGGAGCAAGATTCAGTGAAGGAATTGAAGAATGTTTAGTGCAGCTGAAGAAGAAAGTAGGGAGAAGCAGGAGGGGAAAAATGAGACTGGAGAAGTGGAAAGAGGCCAGATCTCAAGAGCTTTGTAGATTTGTTCTGAAAGCAGTGGGGAGCCACTGAAGAGTACAGAGCAGGAGGGTTTGGCAAGGGGAAGTTTGCCTTTTAGATTGTTCATTCGGTGTGGCGGATGGATGGAGGGGTCAGGCCTGGAGGCAGGGAGGCTTGCAATGAGACCGCTGCAGTGATCTGGATGAAAGGAGGCGAATGGCAGAATATGGACTAAAGTTCAAAGTCTCAAGGATGACATTCAAGGCCACTCCCAAACTGGCCCACTGGACTTTCCCAGTCTTCCCTCATACTAAAACTGAGTTATTGTGAGAATCAAAGGAGACCCATGGGCATGGACATGCCTTGTTAAACACAAAGCACCGTGTGAGTATAAGAAATTGTTATCTTTGGGATTGTTAGTGGTTGGTTTGCTGGACATACTCACATGAGCATCCTGCCAGGTCCAGGAGTAACACCGCCTCCTTGAGAGAGGAGGATTTATTTCAGTTTGCCTCCAGTGGTTCCTAATGGATACCCACAATTGGTGACACAAAACTGAATTTCAGGGCACCCATTCCAACCAAATTTCTCTGCTGCCTTGATGAACTGATTTCTAGACAGAAACAAACTCATAGCATCTTCCATGCTTGGGAGAAGGCACTTGGGCTAAACGTAAGCAAACCTGCCATAAATACAGAGACTTTTAGAGGACCAGGGAAATCAGCTGGGCCCTAGACAACAGTGTGAGCTGGCAGGAGTTTGGAAGAGCTCCAAATACAAGAACAGATTACTCATCTCAGATATTTTCCTGCCCCACATGCTCCCCTTTCTCACTGCTGAGTAAGCAATAGTGAAGAAAGAGTTAGTAAACGGATTGTAGTTTAATGCATTCTCGTGATGATAGGATTCAAGATCCTGACAGACTTGAATTTAAAAGTGAACCAAAACTATCTGAAACTGTAGGCTGGGTGTGGTGGCTCATGCATGTAATCCCAGCACTTTGGAAGGCCGAGGCGGGTGGATCACCAGAGGGCAGGAGTTCGAGACCAGCCTGACCAACATGGCAAAACCCCGTCTCTACTAAAAATACAAAAAAGTAGCCAGGCATATTGGTGTGCACCTGTAATCCCAGCTACTTGGGAGGCTGAGGCAGAAGAATTGCTTGAACCCAGGAGGCAGAGGTTGCAGTGAGCCAAGATTGTGCCATTGCACTCCAGCCTGGGCAACAAGAGTGAAACTCCATCTCAAAAAGTAAGAAAGAGAGAGAGAGAGAGAGAGGGAGGGAGGGAGGGAGGGAGGGAGGAAGGAAGGAAGGAACTGTAGCCATTTTCCAGCTCAAATTCTGACACGATTAAAAACAAAACAAAACAAAACAAAAAACAACAGCTTTGGGGTTTGGACATTGAGACAATCACACAGATGAACTCAATCTAATTAAAGCTGTGGCCCAGCCCCATCTCAACTTGATCAAGGAGAAATGTGAATGATCAGACATTTACTTTAACCATCAGTCATAAGAAAGGGTTTTCAGTGTGGGAAATAAACAAAGAAAAGTATCCTTTAGTCTTCACTGCTATTTATATATAGTGTTTGGAATACAATTTAAAAAGTACAAGCCATCTGAGGAATCTCGTGGTGGTGGGGGGAATAATGATTATAATCAAGAGAAAGCATAATCAACAGAAACAGACTCCCAAAGGAAATATAATTAGAATTGAAATTCTGTCATTGGAACTGGCAAATAAGAACTTTGGAACAACCATTTTAATATGTTTAAAATTTTAGAGGTAAAGAAAGATATAATCATTGAAGAGATTGATATTTCTGCAGAGAATTGTAAACTATAAAAAATGACAAAATGCAAATTCTGGAACTAAAATATATGAAGCAGAAAATTAATAGAATGAGGTCCTCTGGAAAGATGGTGAAGTAGAAAGCACCAGAAATCTGTCTACCCACCTAACACTAGCAGACTCCATCTGATGTAACTATTTTGAAACTCTGGAGTTTATTGAAGGCTTGCAAATTCCAGGGGAAATTTCACTCTCAGCACAGTAGTAGCTATTCATCCCCCACCCCCAAGCCCATGGCAAGCAGCCGTGCACATGTTTCTGGAGCAACCTGCACATAGCTTGAGTGAGCCAGGGTAGACCAAAAGGACCCTATCCTCTACATATCAGGCATCTGTTGTCTGATCCCTGATTTCTGCTTCTGATCACAAAGGTGCAGACAAAGAAAAAGGCAGCCATTGTTGTTGCACCTCCCCCAACTGTTGCAAGCCCCTGCTTCTTGGCTGAAATGACTTCCAGGGGATTTAAAGGGCTAGCACTCTTTTTTTTTTTTTCCATTTGTCTCTGTTTTTTTCTCTTTTTCGCCTTTTGGGGGCCAAACATTAAAGACTAGAAGATTCAAAAGCAATCACAGATACAGGGAAATCAGAAAATGACCACTCATGTCCCAGGAAAGATGAAGGCTCAGAAAAGACTTGAGAAGACCTTAAGTTTATACCCCAGGCTGATCCTTGGCATGGAGACAGCCTACAACAACCAAAAACAAAACAATAAGAAAACAACAAATCCTGAGGAAGGGAGAGAATCTAACTTCCAGTCACCATATTATTAGATTCAAATGTCCAGTTTTCAACAACAACAACAAAAAAACCACAAAGCATATAAAGAAACAGGAAAGCATAGCCCATTCAAAGGACAAAAATAAACAGAAACTGTCCCTGAAAAAAAACCTTATGGCATATCTGCTAGACAAAGACTTTAAAACAACTATTTTAAAGATGGTCAAAGAACTAAAGGAAGATATGGAGAAAGTCAAGGAAACAATTTATGAACATAATGAAAATATTAATAGATAGAAACCTAAAAAAAACCCAAAAAATATGAAGCTAAAAATACAATAACTGAAAAGAAAAATTCACTACAGAAGTCCGAATCAGAGGCAGATCTGGGCAGACAAAATAATGAGTGAACTTGAAGGTAAAACAATGGAAATTATCAAGTCTGAGGAACAAAAAGAAAAAAGATTGAAGAAAAGTGAATAGAGCTTAAGAGACCTGTGGGACACCATCAAGCAGATCAACATATGCATTGTGGAAGTCCCAGAAAGAGAAGAGAGAATGTTTGAATAAATCACGGCCAAAAACTTCCCAAATCTGATGAAAGACATGAATATAAACATCCAAGGAGTTCTTCAACAAACTTCAAGGAAGATGAGCTCAAGGAACTTACACTAAGATTAGGGTTAGGGTTATAACCTAACCATATAATCAAAACTTTACATTATAATATAAACTTTTGAAAAACAAAGAAAGAATCTTGAAAGCAGCAAGAGAGAAGTGACTCATCACATACAAGTGATCCTCAATGAGATTATCAACACATTTCTCATCAGCAACTTTGGAGGCCAGAAGGCAGTGGGCCAATATATTCAGTGCTACCAACAACAACAACAACCTGCCAACCAAGAGTCAAAACTGGCTCAGAACTAACACAAATGTCAGAACTATCAGACAAGGATATTAAACTAGTTATTGTAAGTATATTCCAGTTGTTCAACAGTTAAGTAAAGGCATTAAAGATCTAAAAAGGTCACAAGTCAAATCTAGAGAGATTAAATCTACAATGTCTGAGATGAAAAAAAAAAAAATACTAGTCTTTAATGTTTGGTTCCCAAAAGGTGGAAAAGAGAGAAAAAAGGGGTGGGGGAAAGGTGCTACCCCCTTTAAATTCCCTGGAAATCATTCAGAGGAGAAGGACTTGCAACAATGGGGGAGGTACAACAATGGCTGCCTTTCTCTGCACCTCTGTGATCAGAGGCAGCAATCAGAGATCAGACAACAGATGCCAATATGTAGAGGATAGGGTCCTTTTTAACTAGGAGATAGTGAAAAACGGCACACTAGTGTTTGAAGAAGCAATTAAAACTATTCAAAATGAGACAAGGGGAGAAAAAATTTTAAAAGTGAAAAGAGCCTCAGTGAGCTTTTGGACAATGGTATAATACCCATAATCACATTAAATGTAAATGTGCTAAATATCCCCAATTAAAGAGCAGAGATTTTCAGATTGGATTAAAAAAACAACAAAAAAGAAAGAAAAAGAATTATATCCTGTTTACAGGAAATGAATTATATATATAAAATAATTATATATAATGTTGCACCATTGTCTTTTTGCTTGCATTGCTTTTGCATTGCTTTAAAAAGAAATCTGATGTCATTCTTATATTTGTACCTCTGCATGTAACATGTCTTTTTTTCTCTGACTGCTTTTGAGATATTCTCTTTGTTACCAGTTTTGAACAATTTGATTAGGATATATCTTGGTATAGTTTTCTTCACGTTTGTTGAGCCAGAGATTTGTTGAACTTCTTGGACATTTGGCTTTATAGTTTTCAATAAATTTTAACAGTTTCTGACCATTATCTATGTGTGTGTGTGTGTGTGTGTGTGTGTGTGTGTGTGTGTGTATAAAATGAAAGTAGAAGGATGAGAAAAGATACCATGTTATCCCTAACCAAAAGAAAGCTGGAGCAGTTATATAAATATCACAGTAGATTTCAGAGCAAAGAATATGGCTAAAGATAAAAAAGATCTTTTATTATGATAAAGGGGTTAATTCATCAAATTATAATTCTAAATGTTTATGCATCTAATAACAGAACCTCAAAACACATGAAGCAAAATTAACGGAATTGAACTACAAGGAGAAACAGATAAATCATCATTACAGTCAAAGATTTCAACATCCTGTCAAGAGTTGATAAAATAAGTAGACAAAAAAATCAAAAAGGATATAAAAGATTTGAATAACACTATGAACCAACTTGACCTAATTGGCATTTATATAGCACTCCACCCAACAACAGCAGAATATACAATCTTTTCAAGAGCACAAGCAACATTTACCAAGATAGACCATATTTTGGGCCATAAAATAAGTTTCAGTAAACTTAAAAGGATTCTAGTCTTACAAAGTATGCTCTCTGACCAAACTGAAATCAAATTATAAATTAATAACAGAAAGATCTCTGGAAAAATCCACAAGTATTTGAAACTAAATAACACACTTCTAAGTAATTGAAGGGTCAAAGAAAAAAATCAAAAGGAGAGTTAAAAGTATTTCAAACTAAGTGAAAGTGAAAAAACATCAAAATTTGTAGGTCACCACTAAATCAGTACTTATAAGGAAATTTATAGTACTAAGTGCCCATATTATAAAAGAAAGGAGTTATCAAACTAATGATCTCAGCTTCCACCTTAAGAAACTAGAAAACAAAAGAGCAAATTAAACCCAAAGGAAGCAGAGGAAAGGAAATGATTAAAATTCCACCAGAAATGAATGAATTTTAAAACAGAAAAACAACAGAAAAATCAAATGAAACCAAAAGCTGGTTCCTTCAAAAGATCAATAAAATTTTAAAAACTTCTAGCTCAACTGATCAGGAAAAAATGAAAAGAATATAAAAATTACCAATATCAGAAACAAGAGAAGTTATATCAATACAGACAATATCCCTAAAACTATTGAAGAAAATGAATTTGCAGTTAAACATTGTCACAAAAACAAAGCTCCAGGACCAGAGAGCTTCGATGGTGAAGAATATGTAACATTTATGGGAGAAATAATGTCTGTTAGACAGAAACACAGGCATACCTTGTTTTGTTGTGCTTTGTTTTACAGATTGAAGGTTTGTGGCAATCCTGCGTCAAACATATCAGCACCTTGTCTCCAACAGCATATGCTCACTTCATGTCTCTGTGTCAGCAATTCTTAGCAATAAAGTTTTAAAAAAATTAAGGTATGTACATTGTTTTAAAGACATAAAGCTATTGCACACTTAATAGATTACAGCAGAGTGTAAACATAACTTTTTTTCTTTTATTATTAAACCTTAAGTTCTGGGATAAATGTGCAGAACATGCTTTTATATGCACTGGAAAACAAAAAAAAATGTGTGATTTGCCTTATTGCAGTGGCCTGGAACTGAACTTGCAATATCTCTGAGGTATGCCTGCACTTCTAAAAAAATTGAACAGAAGGAAACACTTCCCAATTCATCCTATGAGGCCAGTTACCTAACATCAAAACCAGACTAAGAAATTACAAGATGAGAAAATTAAAGACCAATACTTCTCATGAAAACAGATGCAAACATTTTAAATAAGATTTTAATGTATTGAATCTAATGACATATAGAAATGAATAATACCTCATGATGAAATGGTGTTTTAAATCCTTAGGAATTCAAGGTAGGTTTAATATTCAAAAATCAACCATTGTCATTCATCATAGTAAAGACTAAAAAGAAAAACCATATGATCCACCCAATAGATACAGAAAAAACATTTGAAAAAAAAATCAAACATTTGGCTGGGCATGGTGGCTCATACCTGTAATCCCAGCACTTTGGGAGGCTGAGATGGGTGGATCACTTGAGGTCAGGAGTTCAAGACCAGCCTAGCCAACATGGGGAAACCCTCTCTCTACTAAAATACAAAAATTAGCTGGGCATGGTGGCGGGCACCTGTAATCCTAGCTAGTAGGGAGGCTGAAACAGGAGAATTGCTTGAACCTAGGAGGCAGAGGTTGCAGTGAGCCAAGATCGCACCACAGCACTCCAGCCTGGGTGACAGAGCAAGACTCTGTCTCAAAAAAAAGAAAAAAAATCCAACATTTACTCCAGATAAAAAAAAAATCCAACTATCAGCAAACTATGAGTAGAAGGGAATTATTCAATCTCATAAAGAGTGTCTAGAGAGGCCAGGTGTGGTGGCTTTAATCTGTAATCCTAGCACTTTGGGAGGCCAAGATGGGGAGATCACTTGAACTCAGGAGTTGAGACCAGTCTGGGTAACATTGCAAGACCTTGTCTCTACAAACACTCAAAAATTAGCCCAGCATGGTGGCTACTTGATCCCAGCTACTTGGGAGGCTGGGGTGGGAGGACTGCTTGAGCCTAGGAGGCAGAGGTTGCAGTGGGTCAAGATTACACCACTGCACTCCAGTCTGAGTGACAGAGTGAAACCCTGTCTCAAAAAAAAAAAAAAAAAAAAGAAAAGAAAAAAAAAGTCTACAAAAAAACCCTAAAAACCTACAACTAATATCATATTCAATCGAGAAAGACTAAATGTTTTCTCCCTAAGACCGGGAGCAACAGGATGTTTATTTTCAATATTTCTATTTAGCTTTGTATACAAAGCTAAATAGCAAGTGCAAGAAGGTAATAAGAAGAAAAAAAATACATCCAAACTGGAAAGGAAGAAGTAAGAACCTCCTTTTTTACAAACAACATGATGTTTTATGTAGAAAATCCAAATGAATCTCCAAAGAATCCACCTGAACAAATAAGTTAGTTTAGCAAGGCTTCAGGATACGAGATCAATATACAAAAGTAGATTGTGTTTCTGGCTGGGTGCGGTGGCTCATGCCTGTAATCCCAGCATGTTGGGAGGCCGAAGCAGGCCGATCACTTGAGGTCAGGAGTTTGAGACCAGCCTGGCCAACATGGTGAAACCCCCTCTCTACTAAAAATACAAAAAAAAATTAGCCAGGGATGGTGGCGCATGCCTGTAGTCCCAGCTACTCAGGAGGCTGAGGCAGGAGAATCATTTAAACTCAGGAGATGGAGGTTGCAGTGAACCATGATCGCGCCACTGCACTCCAGTCTGTACAGTAGAGAGAGAGAGACTGTCTCAAAAAACAAAAAAAGTAAACTGTGTTTCTGTACACTAGTAATGAAAGAATTGGAATTACAACTTAAAACCAATCCTATTCATAATAGCATAAAAAATATGAACTATTTAAGGATAAACCTGTCAAAAGATACATATGATCTATACACTGGAAACTATAAACATTACTGAGGAAATTAAAGAAAACTTTAATAAATGGAGATATGTGTTCATGAATCAGAGGACTTAATATTATTAAGATCTCAAGTTTCCCAAAACTGACCTTCAGATTCAACAGTTTCAATTGAAATCCCAGTAGGCTTATTGGAGAAATTGACAAGCCGATGCTTACACTCATACAGAAATTCAACCAACCTAGTATGGCCAAAATAAGAATAAAATTGGCAGACCACTATCATCTAACTTTAAGACTTACTATAAAGCTCCAGTGATCAAGATAGTGTGGTATTCATGTGTGTGAGGCCGTTCTTGCATTGCTATAAAGAAATACCTGAGACTGGGTAATTTATAAAGAAAAGAGATTTAATTGGCTCACAGTTCTGTAGGCTTTACAGGAGGCATGGTGCTGGCATCTTCTCTGCTTCTGGGGAGGCCTCGGGAAGCTTACAATCATGGCAGAAACTGAGTGGGGACCGGTATGTCACATAGAGTGGGAGCAAGAGTGAAGGTGCCACACACTTTTAAATGACCAGATCTCATAGAACTTACTATCATGAAGACAGCACCAAGCCACGAGGGATCTGCCCCTGTGATCCAAATGCCTCCCACCAGGCCCCACTTCTACCACTGGGGATTATAATTCAACATGAGATTTGGGTAGGGACAAATATCTAAACTATATCATGATGGAAAAATAGAAAACAAATGAATCAATGAAACACAAGAGGGAGTCTAGAAATAGGCCCAAATATAAACAAACAACTGAGGATTTGGGGTTTTTTTTTGAGACAAGGTCTCACTCTGTCACCCAGGCTGGAGTGAAGTGGTCTGATCACAGATTACTGCAGCCTAAACCTTCCAGGCTCAAGTGATCCTCCCACCTCAGCCTCCCAAGTATCTGGGACTACAGGTGTGCACCACCACACCTTGCTATTTTTTTTTTTTTTAATTTTAGCTAAGACAAGTTCTCACTATGTTGCCCAGGCTTGTCTCAAACTCCTGAGCTCAAGCAATCCTCCCAACTCAGCCTCCCAAAGTACTGAGATTACAGGCGTGAGCCACCACCCCTCCACCCCCTGCCATTAACAACAGATTTTTGATGAAGATGCAAAGCAATTTGGTGGAGAAAGGATGTTCATTTTATACAATGGTGCTGGGAAAATTGGACTTCTTTAGGCAAAAAAAAAAGAACTTTGATTCATAAGTCACATGGCGTAAAAATTAATTCAAAGTGGATCACAAACCTAAAACTATAGAAATTCTAGAAAAAAAATAAGAGAAAGAGCTTTGTGACTTTGGATTAGGCAAAAAATTTTTAGATATGATATCAAACAACAAACCATACAAGAGCAAACTCATAAATTGGACTTCATCAAAATCAAAGATTTTTACTCTTTAAATGATACTTCTAACATAATAAAAAGAGAAGGCATACATTAGGAGAAAATATTTGAAAATCATACATATGGTAAAAGGCTTGTGTCCAGAAGATAAAAAGAACTCTTAAAACTCAATAATAAAATAAAAAGGCCAGGCACAGTGGCTCACGCCTGTAATCCCAGCACTTTGGGAAGCTGAGGCAGGAGGATCGCTTGAACCCACGATTTTGAGACTAGCCTGGGCAACATGGCTGATATGGTAGGGTTGTGTCCCCATGAAAATCTCATCTTGATTGTAGTTCTCATAATCCCCACAAGTGGTGGAAGGGATCTGGTGGGAGGTGATTGAATCATGGAGGTGGTTTCCCCCATGCTATTCTCGTGACAGTGAATAAGCTCTCACAAGATCTGATGGTTTTACAAAGGGCTTCCCCTTTGACTCAGCTCTCATTCTTCTCTCTCCTGCTGCCATATGAAGAAGGATGTGTTTGCTTCCCCTTCCACCATGGTTGTAAGTTTCCTGATGCCTCCCTAGCTCTGTGAAACTGTGAGTCAATTAAACCTCTTTTCTTTATAAATTACCCAGTTTCAGGTATGTCTTCATTAGCAGCATAAGAATGGACTAATACAATGGCAAAATCCCATTTCTACAAAAAATACAAAAAATAATAGCCAGATATGGTGGCAGTGAGTCATAATCACTCCACTGCACTTCAGCCTGGGCTATGAAGCCAGACCATGTCTCAAAAAAAAAAAAAAAAATATATATATATATATATATATATTTATATTTATATTTATATATACATACTGCTCTTACCATGAGTTTACAAGAATTTAGAAAAACTAGAAGTCTCATAGACTGCTGATAGGAATGTAAAATGGATCAGCTGCTTTGTAAAACTGTTTGACAGTTTCTTAAAAAGTTAAACAAAGGGCTGGGCACAGTGGCTCACACCTGTAATCCCAGCACTTTGGGAGGCCGAGGCTGGCAGATCATGAGGTCAGAAGATCGAGACCATCCTGGCTAACACGGTGAAACCCCATCTCTACTAAAAATACAAAAAATTAGCCGGGCTTGGTGGTGGGCGCCTGTGGTCCCAGCTACTCGGGAGGCTGAGGCAGGAGAATGGCGTGAACCCAGGAGGCGGAGCTTGCAGTGAGCCGAGATCGCGCCACTGTACTCCAGCCTGAGCAACAGAGCGAGACTCTGTCTCAAAAAAAAAAAAATGTTAAACAAACACATACCATATGAGCAAGCCATCCTAATCCTAGGTATTCACCCAAAGAAAATTAAGTATGACCATATAAAGACTTGAACAAAAAAGTTCATACCACCTTTATTTATACTACCCAAAAACTGGAAACAAATGTCCACCAATCGATCGATTGTGGTATATCCACATCATGGAATACTACTCAGCAATAAAAACCTGTGTATTAATACATGAAATAACATGGATGAATCTTAAAATAATTCTGCTACCTGAATAAAGTTGGACAAAAAAAGAGTATACATGCTATGATTTCATTTATACAAAATTCCAGAAAAAATGCAAACTAATCTAGAGTGACAGGAAGCAGAGCAGTGGTTGTCTGGGGAATGATGGGTGGCAGGGAGAGCTGGGAAGGTGAGATTGCAAAGGGCATGAGGAAACTTCTGGAGATAATGGATATGTTTATTATCTTGATTTGGGTGGTGTCTTCACTTGTCAAATTATATGATTCCAACATGCACACTTCATTATGTGTTAATTATATCTCAATAAAATCATTTGGAAAAGCAGAGATTGTTGATTAGATTGTTAAAGTGGCCCCAGACTGTGCTGTAATCAAGCAACTCATTCTGAATATGAATACACAAACAGGGCAAAATAAATACACTTTCAGACACAAGAGCTGAGAGAGCTTGCCATCAAGACAGTTCCAAAGGAGAGGCTTCTGACAAAATGATAATTATCTCTGAGGAAATTTTTCAAATGTGAGTAGAAATGAAAAACAAAAAGGGAAAAGGTAAAAATAGAGTAACGTCTAGGCTGGGGAAGGAAATGAAATAGAACAAAGATGATCAAAATAACATATTTTAGGAGAAGGTGATTGGAATTACAGCATTGAAGATTATTTTATTACCAGTAGAAAGGCAGAGATATTAACTTTCTTATTTAGTTCAATTTGCATGTAAATTTTCTGGAGGAACCAATTGGAAAATTAAAAACAAATTTATAAATAACTCATTGATCTAAGAAGCACTGATATATTAAACCACTTAAATACATGAAGCTTGGGGCTGGGCACAGTGGCTCACTCCTATAATTCCAGCACTTTGGGAGGCCGAGGCGGGTGGATCACTTGAGGTCAGGAGTTTGAGACCCATCTGGCCAACATGGAGAAACGCTGTCTCTAATAAAAATACAAAAGTTAGCCGGGCATGGTGGCGGGTGCCTGTAATCCCAGCTACTTGGGAGGCTAAGGCAGGAGAATCACTTGAACCCAGGAGGCAGAGGTTGCAGCGAGCTGAGATCGCACCACTGCGCTCCAGCCTTGGCGTCAGAGCAAGACTCTATCTCAAAAAATAATAATAATAAAATAAATAAATAAATAAATGCTTAAAGCTTGGGAGGCTGAGGCAGGAGAATCACTTGAACGTGGGAAGCAAATGTTGCAGTGAGCCGAGATCTTGCCACTGCATTCCAGCCTGGGTGACAGAGGGAGACTCCGTCTCAAAACAAAAGAAAAGCTTAAAGCTAAATAATAAAATTTTTATATGTCAAAACTTATACAATGCAGCTATCACTGAACTTTTGGGGAAATATGTAGCCTTAAGTGTTTATATTTAAAAAGAATAAAGCTCAACATTAACAACCTAAGCATTCTACAGCACAAACCCAAAGAAAATAAGAGGGACATAATAAAAGGAAAAATTATTGAAAAATAAAACATATAATAAAAAGAATCAGCTGGGCATAGTGACTCATGCCTGTAATCCCAACACTTTGGAAGGCCGAGGCAGGAGGATCACTTGAGCTCAGGAGTTTGAGAACAACCTGGGCAACATAGGAAGACCCCATCTCTACAAAAAAATTTTTTTTGATTAGCCAGGCACCTGTCATGTGCCTGTAGTCCCAGCTACTTGGGAGGCTAAGGTGGGAGGATCACTTGAGCCCAGGAGTTTGAAGCTGCAATGAGCCATGATTGCACCACTGTGCTCCAGTCTGGGTGACAAAATGAGACTGTCTCTAAAAAAATAAAATAAATAAAAAGGATCATCAAGGCCACAAGTTTTCTCTTTGAAAAGCCTAATAAAATAGACAATACAGATGGATAAAGTAGACAAATATCTAGTCAGACTAATCAAAAAAGAAAAAAGACACAATAAACATTAAGGAAAAGGGACATAAAAACAGATGATAGTGATATTAAACAGACAATACAAAAATGTTGCAGAAAAATTTTGACAATTTATTGGAAAACTTAGACAAAGGAGCAAACTCCTCAAATAATATAACTCATTAAACTTGATTCAAGAAAAAAAAAGAAATTTAAGAAACCCAATGAAATTGAATCAGTCATTGAAATTGAATCGGTCATTGAAAAGCTCCCCATGAAGAAAACTCAGGTTCAAACATCCTTACATCTTCACAAGTATTCTACCAACCAGGTAACTCAATCTTAAACTTTTTCAAATAATAGAGGGGAAAAAAGAACATTTTATGAGCTTGACCCAGTCTTGATTAGAAAGTCAGGAAATAAAAGCATAATCAAGGAACCTACCTCATTTTTGGAGATCAACGTAAAAACCCTAAACAAAATTTTATCAAACAGATTTCAACAATGGATATTTAAAAATCCAACTTCATGGCCAGGCACAGTTGCTCATGCCTGTACTCCCAGCACTTTGGGAGGCAGAGGTGGTCGGATCGCTTGAGGTCAGGAGTTTGAGACCAACCTGACCAACATGGTGAAACCTCGTCTCTACTAAAAAATTACAAAAATTGGCTGGGCTTGGTAAAGCATGCCTGTAATCCCAGCAACTCGGGAGGCTGAGGCACGAGAATTGCTGGAACCCAGGAGGCAGAGATTGCAGTGAGCTGGGACTGCGCCACTGCACTCCAGCATGGGCAACAGAGCGAGACTGTCTCAAAACAAAACAAGACAAAACAAAACAAAACAAAAAACCCACAAAAATCCAACTTCACCAAATTGGCTTTACCTAGGAATACAAGTTTGGTTCAATATTAGCAAATCTATTTATGTTGTTCATCACATAAACATAATTACAGAGAAAAACCATCTGATTGGTTCAACATTTATTCATAATAAAAACTCTTAGCAATTGGAACTAAATACTTTCTCCACCTCTTCAAGAGTATCTTCAAAAAATCTATAGCAAACTGCCATATTTAATGGTGAAAAGATTCTCTTTATTAGAACAAGGAGCTAGGGGAGAATTTGCCTTACCAGATATAAAGGTTTGTTATAAAGCTATGACAAGTAAGAAAGTGTGTACAGGTGCAAGAATAGGAAAATATACCAGTGTGAAAGAATAGAGAGACCAGAAACAGACCCATGCAAACAAAGAAACTTGGTTTATGCCAAAGTGGAATTGAAGATGAGTGACAAAAGATATTGTCTGGACAATAGTCCATTCATATGGCTGAAGAATGAGACTGGATTCCTATGTCACAGCATAAAAAAAGTCCACTTCAGATGGATTAAAGCCTTAAATACAAAAGGCAAAACTTTAAAAATTTTGGAAGGCAATGAAGGAAAATACTATTGCTGACTTCAGAAAAAGGAAGGATTCCTCAAACAAGATGCAAAAAGCAGAAATCATTAAAAATTATAATAAACTTAACTGCGTTAAATTTAAGAGCCTCTGTTCATGAAATAACACCATAAAGACAGTAAAAAGAAAAGCTACAAACTGAATGTACTTGCAGCACATATAACTGACTAAGGATTAATATCCAGAATATATAAAGAACACTGATGGATCAACAAGGAAAAGTCAAACCATACAATAGAAAATGGAGAAAAGTCATAACCTCTTCAGAGAAGAGGGAACATCAACGGCTCATAAAGTAGGAAAATATGCTCAACCTCAATAATCATGGAAATGCCAATTATATTCATGAGATCTCATTATACTCCCATCCAAAATGCTGGTAAGAATGTCGAGTAATGGAAATTCTTATATACTGCTGTTGGGTTTTACTTTTCACATGTAAATGGCATAATCATGAAACACTCAATAGCATTGATCAGTAATGAACCACAGCTTCTACATATGTGCATATGAACACAGATGCGTCTCAAAATCATAATGAAAATGATAGAAGAAAGTCATAGAAAAATACACACGGTATGATTCCTTTTATAGGAAGTTTAAACAAAGAAAAAAGAAATGATTAGCACAAACTTCAGGGTGATAATTTCCTGATTGATAGGTAGAGAAATGCAGTTTGAGAACATGCCACACGGAGCTTCAAAGGACCTGGAAATGCTATTTTTCCTAAGGGGAATGGAGTGTCCCTGGATATTCATTACATTATCATTTCTTTTTTTATTCTTTTTGTTTTCTTTTGAGACGGAGTCTCGCTCTGTCACCCAGTCTGGAGTGCAGTGGTACGATCTTGGCTCACTGCAACCTCTGCCTCCTGGGGTCAAGCGATTCTCCTGCCCCAGCCTCCCAAGTGGCTGGGATTACAGATGCCCGCCATCACGTCCAGCTAATTTTTTGTATTTTTGGTAGAGACGGGGTTTCACCATGTTGGTCAGGCTGGTTTCTAACCCCTGACCTCAGGTGATCCACCTGCCTTGGTCTTCCAAAGTGCTGGGATTACAGGCATGAGCCACCATGCCTGGCCCATTATATTATCATTCTTTATACTGGACATATGTGTTATCTACAATCTTCTCTCTGTGTGACATATTTTATAAAACATTTTACCTAAAATAATTTAAAAGAAAGAAGGTAGGTTATTAATACATTAAAAAGTTCTTAAAACTAACAAGAAAAAGATTAAGAGTCTAATAGGAAAGATGAGCAAAGGACTTTAATGGTTCAGGGAAAAATAAATAAAATGGCTTTAAACAGATAAAACGATGCTCGATTTCACTCATAATAAAAGGAATGCAAATTAAATCACAAGATACAAGTTTTCTCCTATCCTAGTGAATATATACGAGAAATATATAAGAAAAATAGGCACTTTTATACAAAGTTGATGAGACAATAAACTGCTACAGTGCCTTAGAAGGGCAATTTGGTAAAAGCTATGAAAATTTAAAATACACTTGTAAGAATTTATTCCATAGATATAATCACTCATGTGTGCAAAGAAGTGGACAGGGCATTTAATCTCTTCGTGCCTTGGTTTCTTCATCTATAAAATGATAAGAGTACCTGCAATCTAGCTTTATTTTGAAGATTAAATGATTTAATACAGGGAAACATAAAATAGTTCCTAGTTAGGAGTCCAACAAATGTTAACCATTATCATTATTATCAATAAAATAGCATTTGCTGCATTATTTATAAGCATCAAAAGAGTAGAAATGTCTTAAGTGTCCATCAATTGCAGTCTGATTAAATAAATCATAAGACATCCATACAAGGCTGGGCGTGGTGGCTCACACCTGTAATCCCAGCACTTTGGGAGGCAGAGGCGGGCGGATCACGAGGTCAGGAGATCAAGACCATCCTGGCTAACACGGTGAAACCCTGTCTCTACTAAAAATACAAAAAAAATTAGCCGGGCGTAGTGGCGGGCACCTGTAGTCCCAGCTACTCGGGAGGCTGAGGCAGAAGAATGGCGTGAACCCGGGAGGCAGAGCTTGCAGTAAGCCGAGATTGCGCCACTGCACTCCAGCCTGGGCGACAGAGCCAGACTCTCTCTCTCAAAAAAAAAAGACATCCATACAATGGAACATTCTGCAGCTGTTAAAATGAATAAGGTAGATGTATGTGAAACCGTCTCAAAGATATAGTATTAGGTTAGAAAAGCACAGAAAAATGCATATGCTCTGCTAATATTTCTGTAAAACACATACCCACAAATCTATACCTTTATATACATAAGCTTCTAAATGGTGGCTCCAGACAGGTAAACTGGGGAACTGGGAGTCAGAGCTGAAGGTGAAATTCCTTTGGAGGATCTAGCCTTTGTGCTATTTGAATGCCTTGCTGTGCACATTGGATCTGTGTCTGAAATAGAGGAGGAAGAGAAAGTAGCAGAAAGAGGAGGAAGTAAAGGGATGAGGGGATCCAGGAGGAGGGAGAAGGAAAGAGGAGGAGGGAGAGGAGGTAGAGAGGAAGGAAAATGGGAGAAGTAGGGAAAAGGAGATAAAAGAGGAAGGGAAAAAGGAAGGAATGGAGGTAGTCGAGGAGGGGGTGGCGGGAGAGGAGGGGAGGGGTCCTCCCACCTGTGGCTCTGAACCCATGCCCTAGTCTAAGCCACCTTCTGATTGTGCCTTGGCATCCTGTGAAATTCTATCTACCTAGGGTTCATGCTGCTCAGGCCCCTGTGAGCATTAGGCGTGAGTGGCAGTGCTGATTCTCACCTTATCTACATGAATCTGTCTGTTCTCATTGAGGATGCAAAATCAAGATTTTGCCACTACAAGGTGGCACAAAGTACCCCGGGCAATGAATTGACCCTGGACAGTGGCAATGAGCTCGAGGTGAGTGTCCCCTGGTGGAGGTCGGGCTAGGCTGGGGGTGGGGGTTGCGAGTGGTCACATGCCGGCCCTTAGTGTCCACCCACAGACCCAAGGACACTCCCCCACCGCCATATCTTGCTTCTCTGACCTCTATCCCAGGGCTCCATGGCACCAGGGCCCTGCAGGAATTGCCTGCTCTTCCTTCCCCTTGTGTCCACACTTCCCTCTGCCATTCTCTCTCCAGCTCCTAGCCTCTCGACCCACAGTCCCCACTGATCTTTTTCTAGAATAATCATAGAGACCTATCTTCTCTTTATCAAGGCAAAATAAGGATGGTATGCACCCCTTCCTGGGTACCTACCAAGTGCCAGACCCTGTACTCAGCCACCTCCTGTTCCAGCACTGTTCATCCCCTGGGCAAATTCAGGACACGTCTGAGACCCAGAGGGGCCAAATGACTTACCCAAGATCACATTGTGAGGACGCAGTGGACTCGGATTTGAACACAGGTCTGTGTTTCTCCAGAGTTCATGCTCCTAAGTCCCAGGATGGAGTGCTTTCCCCGGCTGCCTCCCAAGAGGCTGGCGGTGGGACCATTCACGGTGGTCACTACTCGAGATGAGTAAGGTGGGGAGACTTTGTGAAATTATAGAGCTGGCTTCTCTTTCCTGCAAAAACAAAAAACCAAAGACTCAAAACCAAAAACCTTGGTCCTATGGTGTGCCTGGCATGCATTTGGCTTTCCGTCTCACCAGTGCTAAAGGGCAGCACAGTCTTCCCAGAGTGGTCTGGGATGGTGAAACACAGAGGGAAGCAACATCCTGTCATTCTAGAGCCAAACCTCCTCCCCACCCATCCCTTCAGCCACCTTTAGAGTAGCATCCCTCATGGTGATTTCTCCCCGGTGAAGTGGGAAGGAGACTGGACTACCCGACAGTCATGTGCCTTCTTCAGTGTAATGAGCTTGCCCACCTTCTCCCTGTCACCAAATTTCACATGAATGAAATAGCTCAGTATCTGGGCACAGTCTTAGGCATGGCTCCCCAGTTGGAGAAAGGGACACCTTCTGTAATGGAGTGGCAGGAAAAAGAACTGAGCCATGTGTTCAAAGGGAGGAGAGTCTGTATGCACAGTCAGCATCGAAAGTCTCCTCCATTAACCTCATCCCCTTCCTCCATGCCCTGGAGAGTGGAAAGCTCAGGCAGGGTGGGGAGGAGCTGGTTTGCTTGAACACCTTTGATGAGCCTCAAAACAGCTCTGGGTCCTCAGTCTGAAGCTGGGGAGTGACTGGCCAGTGCAGGGAGGTGGGATGCCTCAAATCTTAATTTTTTTAACACATTCTCATTATATATATATATATATATATATATATATATATATATATATATATATATATATATATACTGTAAGTTCTGGGATACGTGTGCAGAACGTGCAGGTTTATTACATAGGTATACACGTGCCATGGTGGTTTGCTGCACCCATCAACCCGTCATCTACATTAGGTATTTCTCCTAATGCTATCTCTCCTAGCCTCCCACCCCCCAAGCAGGCCCCGGTGCGTGAGGTTCCGCTCCCTGTGTGCATGTGTTCTCATCGCTCAACTCCCACTTATGAGTGAGAACATGCAGTGTTCGGTTTTCTGTTCCTGTGTTAGTTTGCTGAGAATGATGGTTTCCAGCTTCATCCATGTCCCTGCAAAGGACATGAACTCATCCTTTTTTATGGCTGCATAGTATTCCACAGTGTGTATGTGCCACATTTTCTTTATCCAGTCTATCATTGATGGGCATTTGGGTTGGTTCCAAGTCTTTGCTATTGTGAATAGTGCTGCAATAAACATACGTGTGCATGTGCCTTTATAGTAGAATTATTTGTAATCCTTTGGGTATATACCCAGTAACAGAATTGCTGGGTCAAATGGTATTTTCGGTTCTAGATCCTTGAGGATTCGCCACACTGTCTTCCACAATGGTTGAACTAATTTACACTCCTACCAACAGTGTAACAGTGATCCTATTTCTCCACATTTTCTCCAGCATCTGTTGTTTCCTGACTCTTTAATGATTGCCATTCTAATTGGCGTGAGATGGTATCTCATTGTGGTTTTGATTTGCATTTCTCTAATGACCAGTGATGCCGAGCTTTTTTTCATGTTTGTTGGCCACATAAATGTCTTCTTTTGAGAAGTGTCTGTTCATATCCTTCACCCACTTTTTGATAGGGTTGTTTGTTTTTTTCTTGTAAATTTGTTTAAGTTTCTTGTAGATTCTGGATATTAGCCCTTTGTCAGATGGATAGATTGCAAAAATTTTCTCCCATTCTATAGGTTACCTGTTCACTCTGATTATAGTTTCTTTTGCTGTGCAGAAGCTCTTTAGTTTAACTAAATCCCATTTGTCAATTTTGGCTTTTGTTGCCATTGCTTCTGGTGTTTTAGTCATGAAGTCTTTGCCCATGCCTATGTCCTGAATGGTATTGCCTAAGTTTTCTTTTAGGGTTTTTATGATTTTAGGTTGTACATTTAAGTCTTTAATCCATCTTCAGTTAATTTTTGTATAAGGTGTAAGGGAGGGGTCCAGTTTCAGTTTTCTGCATATGGCTGGCCACTTTTCCCAACACCATTTATTAAACAGGGAATCCTTTTCCCATTGCTTGTTTTTGTCAGGTTATTCAAAGATCAGATGGTTGTAGATGTGTGGCATTATTTCTAAGGCTTCTGTTCTGTTCCATTGGTCTATATATCTGTTTTGGCACCAGTACCATCCTGTTTTGGTTACAATAGCCTTGTAGTATAGTTTAAAGTCAGGTAGCATGATGCCTCCAGCTTTGTTCTTTTTGCTTAAGATTGTCTTGGCTATACGGGCTCTTTTTTTGTTCCATATGAAATTTAAAGTAGTTTTTTCTAATTCTGTGAAGAAAGGCAATGGTAGCTTGATGGGGATAGCATTGAATCTATAAATTACTTTGGGCACTATGGCCATTTTTATGATATTGATTCTTCCTATCCATGAGCACGGAATGTTTTTCTATTTGTTTGTGTCCTCTCTTATTTGAGCAGTGGTTTGTAGTTCTCCTTGAAGAGGCCCTCCACATCCCTTGTAAGTTGTATTCCTAGGTATTTTATTCTCTTTGTAGCAATTGTGAATGGGAGTTCACTCATGATTTGGCTCTCTGTTTGTCTATTATTGGTGTATAGGAATGCTTGTGATTTTCGCACATTGATTTTGTATCCTGAGACTTTGCTGAAGTTGGGCAATCAAGCAAAAGAAAGAAATAAAGAGTATTCAAATAGGAAGAGAGGAAGTCAAATTGTCTCTCTGTTTGCAGATGACATGATTGTATATTTAGGAAACCCCATCATCTAAACACATTCTTAAAAAGCTGGTAAAAGAGACTCTTCTGAGAGCTGACACAGGCTAGACTCGCCTGGGTGACAGTGATGGTGACAGGGAGAAATATGGAACACAGCTAGAGATTGAGCTAAAAGAATGAGAAGTGGAAAGACTTGTGGAGCCTGGTGGGTGCCAGTTCAGCCCCCACAAAAGCAGCCCTCCCAGCGTGAACCCCTTCCCTGCAGGAGTGAATGGGAGAGCCTGAGGAATGACCTAGGGCTACCGTGGCTTCACCCCACTGCTCTCCACTGCCACATCCACTTCTGGGCAGACAGCACAGTCAGTTGCCAGATGCCTCTTCTGCACGGAGACCATTTACTTGTGAGCCTGACAGACAGGTAAGGAGACAGTGCTGGCATCCTTAGCTGTGCGACCTACATCCTCAGTCACCTCACCTCTCAGCTGGAAGCAAAGAGACCTTTCCGAGAGTTGCTGGAGGATTCAGTGAGACGGTGTGGTGTGGGCTTGGTGGGGGCCAGTAGCAGTAACCCCCTACCGTATGCACAGCTCTTGCCGTTGTTATTACCATTCCTATGATTTACCCTCCCCTTCCAGCTTCACACCACCCTGAGGAAGTGGTTCAGAAAGAAAATGTCAGTGTTTGTACTCATGACAGTCTTCAAAGAAATTTGGAAAGCATAGACACTGAACGGCAGTCCTTAATTGCCCCCCAACCCCAGTAAGCTGTGATCTACTCCAGAAGTGAGAATTATCAAAACTTTGGATCTGGTAGGTCCTCTTGTTTATTTTGTCATTCTCATGATCTCCACTTGGCCTTCATTTTCTTTTCCTTTGTTCCTTTTTTTAAAAAATATAAGCTCTATTATTCACAGTAGCAAAGACATGGAATCAACTTAGGTGCCATCAGTGGTGGATCGAATAAAGAAAATGTGGCATATATACACCATGGAATACTATGAAGCCATAAAAAAGAACAAAATCGCCTTCCAGCGATAGGGATGCAGCTGGTGACCATTATCTCAAGCAAATTAATGCAGAAACAGAAAACCAAATACTGCATGTCCTCACTTATAAATGGGAGCTAAATATTGGGTACACACAGATATAAAGTTGGGAACAATAGACACGGGGGACCTTACAGGAGGAGAGGGATGAAGGAGGACAAGGGTTGAAGACTCCCTATTGGGTACTATGGTCACCATTTGGGTGACAAGTCCAATCAAAGCCCAAACTTCAGCATCACACAGTATACCCATGTAACAAACCTGCACATGTACCCCTGAATCTAACATTTAAAAAGAAAAAATAAATTATAAGCTCTATAATACATGCTAAAAGTATTTAAAACATTATGTACTGTATCATTTAAGGTAGGTAAACCTCAAAATTCCAATGGCTTCACTCAAGAGAACTTCTTTCTTTTTTTTTTTTTTTTGAAACAGGGTCTCACTTTGTCACCCAGGCTGGAGTGCAGTGGTGCAATCTTGGCTCACTGCAACCTCCACCTCCCAGGTTCAAGTGATTCTCCTGCCTCAGCCTCCCAAGTAACTGGGATTACAGGCGCCCACCACCACGCCCGACTAGTGTTTGTATTTTTTGTAGAGGTAGGTTTTCACCATGTTGGCCGGGCTGGTATCGAACTCCTGACCTCAAATGATCCACCCACCTCAGCCTCCCAGAGTGTTGGGATTACAGGCGTGAGCCACCATGCCCGGCCAGAAGTCCAGGGTTTTAACTTGCATGATAGACTACCCTGGGTATTGTGGGCATCTGTTATTCTTACCATCTAGCAATCATTCTCCTTTCTCGCAGTAAATGTGCAATGATTTCTCTCTAAAGAACTACACTGTTGCCCACTGTCAGTCCACATGATTAATATGGAGTTCCATCCTTACTCCAGAAATGCACACATGATGTAGGCCTAGCCAATTCTAACGTTGCATTCTCTTGGCCATGGTAATGGGTCAGAACTGATGAGCTACAACTAGCCCCTTGCTGGGACTTGAACCTTTGCATGAGTGCTGGAATTCCTGGTGGCCATCTTGCTACCACAAGGGAAAGTTCATTCTGAAGACAGAATCAGAACACCAGAAGCAAAGCCAAGAAATGGAGAAAAAGAAACTGAGACCCAATCGTCTTTTTCAATGCCCTGGATCAAGCCATGCCTGAAGTTCTAACTGCCTTAGTTTACAAGAGCCAATAAAATTCTTTTTTAGTTAAGCCAGTTTGAGTTGGGCTTCTGACACTTAAATAGAAATATCCCAAACTTTTACACAGACTAAATACTGTCCACGAATGTTTGAGAAGATGCACTGCACTGAGGATAAAGTATTCTCAAAATGACTTAACAGTTAAAAGTATGTATTATTTGAAGACTTAGATCATTTCTTCTGTAACATAGCTTTCCATCCTTCCCTCTCCTAATTAAAGAGCACAAAAAGACCCCTGTCCAGCTGCAGAACAGGACCCCTCACCCTACTTTCACCCAGTGCAGAAGCAGGAGGAGAGAAAATTTCCCTCCGTAAGGGTGGACCAGTGTGTCATCTGATCTCGGGAGATTTGAGGGTCTCAGTTTAAAGTGATAACAAGCCAAAATTATTCTGAACCAAGATTTTTTTAAAAATCAAATGTACATCAGTAGAATCCCATAAAAAATAATTACCTATCTGTCACCTAAAATCATTTCAATGCTGTTTTTCAGCTACGACATTCAGAATACAGGGATCTTGTCTTTCTTCATTTGGGACTACACTGCCCCTTTTCTCTCCCGGAGTTAGGAAAGAAAACATTCTTATTTCCAGTCGCTGGTTACCCGTGTAGCAGCCTCTGTCCACTGGCCCCATCCCACACTCATTTTTACGCTGGGGGCCTCCAGGCCATAAATCTACCCTTCAGCACAAGTGGTCTGTGGCTCATAGGGGCTCCCTGGACTCCCTGAGCCAGGCCTGGCCAGCTCCTCTGCAGAGTGAGCTTCGGCCCAGGATCCAGATTCAGGGAGGGGCAGCTCGGCAGGGACAGAGTCCAGGTCCCAGGCCAGCAGAAGAGCGCAGATGGCAGAGGGTGGAGGCAAATGGCTGTAAACTCAGTCTTCAAATGTTTTTTTAAATCGAAATATAATTCACAAACCATAAAATTTACCCTTTTAACATGTACAATTCAGTTTTTTAGTGCTGTATTCACAAGGCTGCTATACAACCATCGCCACCATGTAATTCCAGACCATTTTCATCACTCCAAAAAGAAGCCCCATACCCATTAGCAAGACAATCGTAAAGAAGGATGCCACTCCCATGTTCCTAATGTTGGCATTTCCCCCTTTGCCTATATGGAAAGGAAATGCCCTTCTTTTATTCATATTGGAAAGGATTAGATGGAGAAGATGCAATTATTCCCTCTCCCTTGGGCCTTGCCACTCAAACACAAGAACAGAGGCCCAAAGCAGCCAAGGAAACAACACATCTATGAGGAATTCCAGCCCATCATCACTGGGAGAGAAACTGCCTCCTTCAATAAGCTGGTACTGTACCTTGGCATGGTTTTTTTCTTTTGTGTAAGGGAAGCAAGGTGCCTAGGGTGAAAATTGTAAGGAGGTCCCCACTCTCAGAGTCCATTACAAGTTTCAGATCATATAAACCACTGGAGATCTTTGGTAATTCAAGGGAGGAGGTGCCCAGGAGGGAGATCTTGGGCTTCCTGTCCATCTATCATTTGAAGACTCGACTTGATTTTAATTTCTGTTGAAAAATAAAATACAAACCTCAAGTTTGTGAATTCAGTCATAATCATTATTCCAGGGAAATTTGAATTGTCTTTTGTGTTCCATAATACAAACCTTAAGTGTATTGATGGGGACAAGGTAGATTCCAGGATGGAAAGGGGTGACTTAGTGGTATAGGGTGACATTAGCAAAGAAATATGTCTATGTCTTCCCCCAAAAGACTGCTTTCATTACTGTGGCTCAGCTGTACAAATCATTTGAAGTTTTTCTCTGATGGCGTTGTAAAGCTAATTTTCTTTCTTTTCTGACCCTATTTCTTCATTTAATGAATATTGCCAAATGCCTTCTATGATCTAAGCAGAGTGCTATGGATCACAGAAGTGCTAGGCCATGGGAACTCAGAAAAAAAAATAAGATGTCCTTTGTTCTCAAGGAGGTCAGTTTAAAGGAGAAGATAATCTTAGGAACCAACCTTTGTGGTCCAGTTCTATGATGGATACATTTACAAGAACAGACGGATGTGAGGAACCAACTTTAAAAAATTCATCACATCACTGTTTATAGGAATAACAACCTTGAAATAATCTGAATGTCTAATTATAGGGAAATGGCTGGAGATAATGTAAGGAAATAATATTGATTAGTACAATTGTATAGGAAAGCATGTTCTATTTGTAGCTGTAGGAAAAAACTTCACTATCCCTCCAAACACACACACACACACACACACACATGCATGCACGCACACTTGTTCTTCTTACAGGTTCCAAGCATAAGTCTTAGACTGACACAGCCCAGGTTCAGTTGTGGCAGACATTTCACTCACATAGTGTTTTAAATTTGGCTTTGCCCACATTTTAAAATGAAAGATTTCCCATTTTTTGGAAGATGAAATAGTTTTCTGGCTTCTTTTGAAGCATGAGATGATGGGACCCCAGTGAGCTCCTGTCCTGCACAGCAGTGGTTGCCTGGAGCTCCGTGGTGGGCTCCCCCTTGAAGTGGGTCACACGCTGGCCAAGGCCACTGCCCCTACCCACTGGCCTCTTTCAGCACAGGCTGTGGGTCACCATTGATCGTCCTAGAGCTGGCCCTGGTATACTCAGTGATGTGAGCTTCCTGACCACTGCATGCATTTAAAGTTTGACCTCCTTGGGGAAGAAAAAATTGTTTCTGAGAATAAATGTCTGGTAGAAATATACACTGTGTGTGGTGTGCATGTGTCTTGGTATGGGGGGATCAACCCAGCAGTCAGCCTCTGCATGGGCAATCAGAAAAAGAATCATGTTTACAACTCACAGTGGTGAAGAAACCATAAAGAAGCAAGGCTAAATCATTCTTCTATAGAGATACATGCACATGTATGTTGCAGCACTATTTACAATAGCAAGCAACCAACAACCCAAATGCACATCAGTGATAGACTGGATAAAGAAAATGTGGCACATATATATCATGGAATACTACACAGCCACAAAAAAGAATGAGTTCATGTCCTTTGCAGGGACATGGGTGAAGCTGGAAGCCATCATTCTCAGCAAACTAATACAGGAACAGAATACCAATAAGTGGGAATTAAACACTGAGAATACACGGACACAGTGAGGGCAGCATCACACACCAGGGCCTGTCGGCGGGTGAGGAGCAAGGGGAGGGAGAGCATTAGGACAGATACCTAATGCATGCAGGGCTTAAAACCTAGATGATGGGTTGACGGGTGCGGCAAACCACCATGGCACATGTATACCTATGTAACAAACCTGCACGTTCTGCACATGTATCCCAGAACTTAAAGTAAAATTAAAAAAAAAAAAAAAAAAAAGGAGCGAGGCTTGGTGGGCCCACAGCAGCTTTGGATAGTTCTACAGAACACAGCATGTCAAAACCACATGGTGTCCTGTTCTGTGGGGCTTGGGGGCTACCATGGCATTACTTCCAGTCTGGGTAAATTAGGCCTGTGGAAATCCCCTGCTGCAGGAAAGAGGGATGAGCGTGGGGGCAAGGTCAATATCTATGGGTCAGGAAGATAATCTTCCAAAATCCAGGCGAGCTTTTGAAAGGAGGACGTGTGACAGAGACCAGGGAGATCATTGCGAGGGGCTTATCCCCTGCACAGCGGGCCTTACCTTTTTTTCTCACACGGGAATCCCCATCGGTCAGTCAAGCCAGGCACACCTCCACAACTGTGGGCCATTATGGGGGGAGTACAGGACACGGGCATCAAAAATTGTGAGGCTCGAGCGCCTGGAATGGGAGACTGCCATCCCAGAGCTCCAGGATGTGGGCCGGACAGCTTGAGCTGTGGCCCTCTGAAGAACAGAGACCCATGTGGGGGACAGTGAAACGTGGTGGAGGGCAGTCAGGTTGTCAACTCCGAAGCAGAAAGGAGGCCCTGCCCTTCGCTTTCACACACAGACTTGAGGCCGATACTGCTAGTGCTTTCCCAAACCCTGGTCTCCTCTTCCAGACTGTATCTCCCAGCCTTGTAGCTGCTTGTGCCATGTGACTGAAGTTTGGCCGATGGGATGAAGGCAGAAGTGATGTAGGTACATGACCTCCAGGCCTTGCCCTTAGCACTTGCAGGTCAGCCGCGCTACCAGGCTCCCCAGGGTGGCCCGGGTAATATTTCCCTTTGCCCCTCTCAGGGTGAACAGCACAGTTCTGGACACACCGCTGCTCAGTAATCCCGAGGATTTAGAACCCTGGGTTTTGGATTGAGACCGGCTGGCTATGTGGCCGTGGGCAAGGAACTGACCTCTGAGCCGCTGGTCCTCAGTGGTAGAAGAGCAATGACGAACTTTCCTCAGAGCCGTGCTGCAGCGACAGGGGCAGTATGTTCCCTCCCTTGTCCAGGGCCCCAAGAGAACTGAGCCACCTGGTGCCTCCAGGACCTGGTGAGCCACATAGAACACCTGAGCACTTTTCCCCAAGGCCGCTCAACAAGGGGCTCAAATGTTGAGCCCAGCTGGAGGGCCCATGGTCCCCCAGACCACTTGGGCCTGAACAAATCCCTGCTCCTCAATGGGAAATGGGAGGAAGCAGGCCGGACCAGGGCAGGAGTGCATCCCTCTCTGAGACGGGGAGGGGGCCCAGTAGGGGGAGGCGGAGGACATGACTCACTCTACAGGCCAGGGAAGCTCCCAGGAGGAGATGCTCAGGAAATGGACCCACCCTCCCGCTGTTCCGGCGAGGATGTCTAGCCCAATCCCACTCACATCCCCAAGCCCCCGTACAGGGGTGATGGCAGGAGCTGAGCTAAGAGAACAGGAGCCAACGGAAGGTTAAGTGGGGACATGAAGAGTCCTGGTGGAGTTAGGGTGGGCAACTCATCAGGGGTTGATGGACCAGTAGAAAGTCAGCGCTCAGGAATCAGTGAGGCGGTCCTTGGGGTAAGGCGTGGGGTGAACAATGAGAAGGAGTCTTAGGGGAGGTTAGCGGGGCCACTCAGAGGGCAGGGTCACAGCTGCCACAAGCCCCTGTCCATACACCCTCCTCACTCTCCATTACCCTGCATGTTGACCCAGAGGTGACCAAGTGAAGCTCTTATGACCTATCTGAAAGCTAACTACACACAGGACAAGCCAGAGGTATGGGGAGCTAACATCCCCTGCAGGGCCCCTCAAACGATGGCCGTGGGCCTGGCATGGAACACTTTGCTCCCACTTCCTGGCGGGCAGCCTGAAAGGCACACTTTCCACACCACTCCCAGACCCACACCACTAACGACCCCCATATTGACCTCCTGCCCTTCTCTGTCTCATAGCCCTTCTCTGTCTCATAGCCCTGTTCCCCTTGCCAGCACTTTCTGGAATTACCTTCCAAATAAACATGTGTGCTCACATCCTCCTTTCAGAATCAGTTGTGTGCGGGCTGGAGGGGGTAAGTGGTGGGCCATGGGAAGAGGGGGGTCAGCCTTTCTGCCAGGACTGATGATGTTAAGTCATGACCCCAAGGCTGGTGATGTGGCCGCCTGGGCCAGCCCCGCTCTTGTCTCTCTCAGCATCAGTCTACAACTCTGCAAGGCGGAGCTCATCCATTTGAGTACCAGTGAGGTGGGGAGGGTGAGGAGCCTCCACTGGGGCCCTAGGACTCAACGTCCCAGGCAGCCTAGGGACAGAGTTCCCTTCCCAACTTCAAAAGCCCAGTTGGAGCAGTCTTGGGGAACAGGGTGGTTAGGACTCCACCCCAGTTTTCCGGATACTTTCAGTCTGGGTAAGGGGCTCAAGCACCGAAGCCTTTGAACTGCATGCTTGTGGCAGCTGTGGCGCTGCCTTCTGAGTGGCCCTGCTAACCTCCCCTAAGACTCCTTCTCATTGTTCACCCCAGCCCTCACTGCATGTTGAGAAAAACCCTGTGGCCGAAACAAGATGGCATATTAGGATCTGAAAGGAAAGTGCATTTTGAAGGCTGGTCGGGGAGGGCTTCTCTGGTGATGTCCCTGTGATGTCTGAGCTGAGACCTGAAGGTGCAAAGGAACCAGCTGATGGAATACTACTTGACCAGAAAGGGTGTCTCCACCCAGGGCTGACAGATTCAATGCACGCCCTGCCCCCCAGCCAGTGCCAGCCACTACTACAGGCGTGATCTCACTGAATCCTCATAACTCCAGAAGAGTGTTAGGATTCCCATTTGCACATGAGAAAACCGAGGCCCAGAGAGTGCAGTGACCTGCCCAAGGTTGGCACAGCAGGCACGCAGTGCTGCTGGGATTCCTACCCCACAGTTCTGGATCTTGCCCTGAGGTCTTCGCCTGGGCTGTTCTTTGAACAGCCTTCCCTACCCTTCCTTCTCAGGTCCTGACTAAAGCCAACTCACCCAGCTCAGAGGTTACCTTCCAGGTCTTCCAAGAAGCTTCCCTGACCTGCCAAGCCTGAGTTAAGATCCTTTGCTGTGTTTCCACAGGCCCCTAGCTGAGTAGTGACTGCATGGTGTTCAAACTGCCCCTTCACTTCTTTTCCTCATGCCATTCACACGAGTCCAGCAGAATAGTCATGCTAGTAAATGGCCCCGCCCCTGGCGCCGTCTAGAGGCAGGCACCTGGTAGAAGCTAAGCCCATTAGAAACCTTCCCTGGGGCTTTGGAACTGGAACCCAGGAAGAAGAGTCAAGCTCTGCACAGATGGTTGGAACAGAGCCCATAGGAACAAGATCCCCGTTCTGCTGCGGTGACCGAGGAGCAGAAGGGCCCGCAGACCATGAAAGAAGAGTTAAAACCCAGCTAGGAGAGAAGTAGAGGCAAGAGATAAAGAGAAAACACTTCTGGGGCTTCCCACCATGTTTGGTTTGGGGTTCCAGCCCATCCCTGGCTGGAGTCTGACTCTAGGAGGCCGGGCGCTCCCACAGTGTCCTCATTTCTGTTACCACCAAAAGACTTCAAACACAAGAAGCTCAGTCAATGCCTATTAAATGAATAAAGCAGCCCGAACACGGTGCTGATTCCCGTCTCACTGAGTCTTTCTTTGATGTTACATTAATTTAGAGAAAAATAATAATAAAGATAAAACAGGCCAGTCTAGCTGGCAGGCTCTCTGAGCCCAGAAGAGAAGACAGCAGGACATGCCCCCACAAGAGGCCCCAGCACATGGCCCCAGGGGTGTCCGGCCCCTCTTCCCTTCGAGGAGGAGCTGCCCTCACACTCCCCTCGACAGAAGGTCACAGGCGTGAAATGGGTCCCTCCCAGTGACCTGGCCAGGCCTTGGGTGTGAGTTGGAAGAGGCGGCATGGTTTGCTCAGGAGCCAGAGGTCACCAGTCAGAGCGGATGCTTTGAATTTAGACCCGGGTTTATGAGCCGCAGCGGCCGCCAGCGAGGACAGGACCCAGCCCTTCCCAGGCCAGGGGCCGTTGGGAGGAAGGCGCACTTTTAATGGGAGTGTTTCTCCCAAATATTACGCTAGGCAGGGAGTTTGGACCAGAATGAAAGCAGAGGGTCTAATTTTAGACAGTACCTATGAATGAAACTTGACCCAGGCTGGGGAGGAAATACCTTCCACCAGCCCATGCCAGGGCCAGTGTGTATGCTTTACTGCTAAATTAGGCAGCTCCTGCAAACAGGTTACTGCGGGGACTTGGATTTTTTTCCCTTCTTCTCTCCATTAAATTGGTCAGACTCTTTATTTCTAAATATACATTCCCTCCTCCCCTCATCCCCTTTCTTTTATGAAAGCTCCAGGTCACCCCATCCCTGCATGTCCCAGCTAGTTAACCATCTGCCCCTCCTTTTCAATTTCCCCATCCCTTCCCAATTCAGCCCTGCCTAGGACCAAAAGCCCAAGACATTACGTCAAGTGACATGGGACTATAGGGCCCGGGGTGCCACACTACCAAGTACCAGCTTGACTGGGGTCAGATGGTAGCCAGGCTTAGACTATGGAGTTGATGAAGGCAAGGCCCACATCTGTCCTATCCATGGCTGTCTCCCAAGTCCCCAGCAGAGTCCAGCAAGGATCCAGGCTCAGTCAATACCTATCAACTCTTAAGGGAAAAAGACATTTGCCCTCTTGGTTGCTGCATCTGAGCCCAGTTTGAGTAGATCAGAGGTCATCTTCTGACCCAAAATATCTACTCTCCTTGTTTTTGCCTTATTTTTTTTTCTTTAAAATGATTTGGCAAACATCACCTGGGAGAAAAAGAAGCGTATGACCTCCACCTCCATAGATACTGACCTACAGCAGAGAGGGAAAAGGCAGCTGAAGAGACCAACAGGCCAGGGCTCCGATTCCAGCCCTGTCTCTTCCTGTCTGTGTGATCTTTGGCGAGTCTCTTGTCCTCCATAAGCCTCAGTTTCCTCATCCATAAAATAGGGTAGCAATCCCAACTTTTCAGAGTGCCCTGCACCTATGATTCTTTCCCTAGAATGTTCCCCTATCTCTCTTCCCAGCTCCAGCTCCAACCGGGGCCTGGCTAGACTTGGGGGCGAAGGCGGAATCACATCAGCCAAGCAGGACAGAGGCTGGGACGTAGCTCCGTTCCCAGTTTGGGGCGAGGCCCTGGCCAGGCTAAGGATCCGGTTCATCTGTGGCTGGGCTCTGCAGCTTTGGAGCAAAGGCCCAGGGAGCATCCCAGGAGGCCCTTGAGACCGAGCAGCCCTGGGGCAGGGACAGTAGTAAGGACCTCGGTGGTGACAATTGTCATTCCAGCCATGAGACGGGGCCGTGTGGGCTGGCCATGGAGACAACCTGAGTGCCACCCGCACTCCCTCCCCGGCCAGCCCTGACCATTTGCTTGTTGTATGTTGAATGACTCAGCCATTTGGGACCCATTTTCCCTTCTCTAGAAACCTTCCCAGCAATGTTCCTGGGGAGGGAAAAGAAACTTCCCTAGAAGATGTGTTTATCTCCAAGCGCTTATTTTCTTTTGGGGATTTGGGCCGAGAGTACTTAGTGGGGGAAAAAAAAAGACACACTCAAAAAGACTTACACTCAAAAAGGCTTCTTAAAAAGTGTTCTGTGGCTGTCTCTCCCTCTATGCCACGCTTCTCACAACAACCCCCAAAGACTCAGCTACCTCTCTCTAATCGGGTTTTTTGCTATTCCTTCATCCTTTCTCCCTTCTTTCTTTCCTCTTTCTTTCCTTCTTTTCTTTCTTCCCCCTTTCTTTCCTTCTTTTCTTTCTTCATTCTCCTTCCTTTCACTCTCTCTCTTTCTGAATTCTTTCTTCCCTCCCTCCCTCCTTCCTTCCTCTCCCTCTTTCTTTCAATTCATTCCTTCCTCCTTCCTTCCTTCTTTCCTTTCTCCTTTCCTCCCTTTCTTCCTTACTCAAGTTCGGTTCGGCAAACCGGTTGTTTTTTTTTTAATTTTAGCTTTTATTTTAGGTTCAGGGTTACCTATGCAGGTTTGTTTCCTGGGTATATTACGTGAGGCTGAGGTTTGGGGTATGGTTGATCCCATCGCCCAGGTCAGTGCCCAATAAGTAGTTTTTCAGCCCTTCATCCATCCCCACTCTAGTAGTTCCCAGTGTCTAATGTTCTCATCTTCAGCAAACCTTCAAATGCTTACTACGAGTCAGTACTCGGTGAGATGTGGGTAAAGATGGTTATGGTGGTCACACACGGCAAATGCAGAGCCATCTGACTGGCATTGATTCAGCACCCACGACACTCACCCTGCAGGGGGAGAGGGGCACAGCAGCAAATGAACGCACTGGCAGCAGGCAGAGGCAGCACAGGGGAGTCGGTTCTGGGCTCTAGTGCAGGCTCATGGAAGGGGTCCTTAGGGAAATGATGTCCGAGCAAGGCTTTGAAGGTTGAAGAGGAGTCCATCAGAAAGACAAGAAGGGAGTCTTGACTAAGCATCCTAGGAGAGGAGGCAGAGTGCACAGTGACAAAATATGGTCCATATTAGGATGCACAGAGGAACTTGTGGGGTATAAGACACACAAGAGCCAAATACAATGCCGAATTAGTTGAGGGTGCTAAGAACAGAGCAGCGGGCAACAGGGCTCTGAGTTATAATAACTTAGAAGAGCTTGGTCAGGGAAGACAGCCTGGAGGAGGGGCCTGTGAGAAGTCCTTTAATAATAAAAGTATTTCCTCAGGGAAGGACGAAGGATGGGGGAAAGAAGAAGACCGTCTAGAGCAGTGTTCCTCAGGAGCACCTGGGGTGCTTTTAAGAACACATACCCCTGGGCCGGGCATGGTGGCTCACGCCTGTAATCCCAGCACTTTGGGAAGCAGGGGGGTGGGCGGATCACTTGAGGTCAGGAGTTCGAGACCAGCCTAGCTAACATGATGAAACCCTGTCTCTACTATAAATACAAAAATTAGCCAGGTGTGGTGGTGCAGTCCTGTGGTCCCAGCTACTCGGGAGGCTGAGGCACGAGAATCACTAGAACCCAGGAGGTGGAGGTTGGGGTGAACTGAGATCGCATCACTGCACTCAAGCCTGGGCGACAGAGCGAGACTCCATCTCAAAAAAAAACAACAAACACAGACCCCCACCCTACTCCCAGACAGTGGGATTCAATTGGTCTGGGGTGGGGCCCAGGCATCTGTATTTTTTTAAAGTTCTCTGGGATTCTGATGTGCAACTAGGGTTGAGATGCGCTAGTCTGAGCAAAGCAGACAGTAGAAGGAAGGATTTGGGGGGAAGAGCAATGGAAGCTGCACATGGGAAGACACAGGACAGCATGCCAAGGACCTCAGGGTCAGGCTCAGAGGCCTCATCTCCATTCCATTTTCACATGGAAGTCATCAAAAGCTTTTGAGCAGTGGCACTTGTTGGGGCACAATCAGAGTGAAGGCTGCTGGAAGAAGGAAGGGGTTGGAAGTAGGGTGCCTGTTATGGCTGTCGGACAGGGGAGAAATATACAGCCCTGACCCGGAGTGGTGATAGGGGACAGGTTTCTGGACTTGTGGACGACAGGGGGGGATGTCATCAATCCTGGATCTCTGCTAAGGACACTGACCTAGTGCATCTTTGCACATCCATGTGCTGAGTGCTTGTCAAGTTCACTCTGCTAAGGACACTGACCTAGTGCATCTTTGCACATCCATCTCCTGAGTGCTTGTCAAGTTCACTGTCATCACTATGACAACATTATGGCAAGTGTGATTGTTAATGCTATGTGTCAATTTGGCTGGGCCATGGTGCCCAGATATGTGGTCAAACATTATTCTGGATGTTTCTGAGATTAACATTTAAATCAGTGTCTTTTGAGTAAAGCAGATTGCCCTCTGTAATATGAGTGGGCTTCACCCAGTCAGCTGAAGACCTGAATGGAACAAGAAGTCTGACCACCCTTAAGCAAGAGTAAATTCTGCAGCAGATGGTCTTCAGACTGGAACTGCAACATTGGCTCTCATCTGGGTCTCTAAACGCTGGCCCACCCTGCAGATTTTGAACTTGCCAGCCTTCATAATCAAGTGAGCCAATTCCTTAAAATAAATCTCTCTTCACACACACACATGCACATACACACGTATGTGTATGCACACACACACACACGTAGCCTATTGGTTCTGTTTCACTGGAGACTAATACAGTAGAGATACCTCCGCTCCTTTACCACCCTGCAGCTTCAACAGAGCCAAGCTCTCTTGTCCAGCTTTGGCACAGGGATGCCTCTTAGCCAATCCATAAAAACAAGCATGGTGCCACCTTCCTTACCAAAGCCCTGCCTCATTTCTTGCAAGAGCCTGGTGCCGTAAAACTGGGTATACATCTGGATTTTCTTTGCATAAACTAAAATCTCTTAAGTAAACTCAGAGTATCAGACAGGATGCTTTCAGCAAAAAACCAAAAACCCCAACTCATAAGTAAATATTTAGCTTACGTATTAGAAACCCCATGGGTAGGTCAGGCTCCAGGACTGGCACTGCGGTAACTGAGCATTGCCACCAGAGTGGGCTCCTTCCAGCCATCCTCCCTGTCTCAGTGTTAATTTCATCCTCAGCCTGGCAGTAACATGGCCACAGTGGTTCCAGATGTCTCCACCAGACACTGCAACATCAAGGCAAAGTGGCAGATCCTTGCTTCCTGTGGCTGTCTCTTAGGAAAGAGGAAACTCTCCCAAAAGGCCCACAGTAAATTCCCCTCATATCTCATTGGCCAGAACTGGGCCACATGACCACTCCTGAGCCAATCACTACCAAGGTGAGTGAAATCATATTAATTGATTTAGACTAACTACCTCGGATGGGATAGGTGTCAGAATAAATGAAGACAACCAACTTCATTGTCCCCTCACATGTGGGACAAACTCTGTTGAAAGAATCACTCTGGACTTACACCCATTTAATAAATGTTCAGTTAATTAGGTGGGTTCTGACTGGTCAGGTGGTTGCACAGTTGACAATTATTCTGAATTATGTTTTACTACAATATGCCCCTGTGAGTATTTCTAGAAGCCACTAACTGTCTTGCAAATGCCACTACCAACATGTCACTCTTTTCTAGTGAGGTGAGGCTTTCTCCAGCCCTGGGTAAGAGGTCACACTGTATGCAACAAGGATCAGGGAAGAGGGTGACGATGAAATACCTAGCACAGTGCACACAATGCCATCTAATTCCCCCAGGAGCTGTAGAAAGTAATCATCATTCCTTATGTCAGCTAGGGATGCTTCAGATGTGAGTAACAGAACACCCGAAGACGATCAAAGACTTAATTACTTCCTGTAACAAAGAGTCCCAGTTTGATGCAACAGTTCAGTGTTGTCATCAGGATCTTTCTCTCCTTCCCCTGTGTCATTCCCAGTGCATGGGCTTTAATTTATAAGCTCATCATTTCGTTGCTCTATGATGATTTCTTCAGCTGTGACTACCACATTTTTGCACAAATGAATTCACGGCAGGAAATAAAGGGAGACAAAATGTTTTTCATAAACCTCCAACCAGATGTCCTGTTGGTCAGAATTTGGTTACATGTCCGCTTTTAAAACAATTACTGGCTTAGCCCAAACATGACACATCCCCAGGGTAAGGACATCATCAACATGGATGAACTCAGGGCTCTGTTAGATGGAGGTAATAACTATTCAGTGGGCAACGAACAGTGTCTGTCACATGCCTATTCTACAAATGATGAAACAGGCTCCAAGGGGTTAAGCCAAATGCCCAAGGTCACCCAGCATGCAAAAGGCAAAATTACGGCCAGGCCTGGCGGCTCACACCTGTAATCCTAGCATTTGGGAAGGCCAAGACAGGAGAATTGCTTGAGCCCAGGAGTTTGAGACCAGCCTGGGCAACACGGCATAAAACATACCCGATCACCTCTACAAAAAATGAAAAAATTAGCCAGATATGGTGGCATGTGCCTGTTGTCCTAGATACTCAGGAGGCTGAGGCGAGAGGATTGCTTGAGCTAGGGAGGTAGAGGCTGCAGTGAGTTGTGTTCACGCCACTGTACTCCAGCCTGTGCGACAGAGTGAGACCCTGTCTCAAAACAAAACAAAACAAAACAAACAGAAAAAAACACAAAAGCAAAAGCAGGATTCAAATCCAAGTTGAGATATTCCGAATCAAGGGTCTTTCCATAGTGCCGTGATAACAGGTGAAGACGTATGCCTTGAAGCTCATTTTACTCACATTCCTGAATCTTCCGCTGGCCAATTACACACTTCCTGCTGGGCTCCGCCTGGTTACCTCGGTATGAATGATACTCCACACTCACTGACTGATGGCCCCATAACAATTGCAACCAACTGGACAAGGGCTTCTGGTTGCTGTTTGGGGGATACCCGGACACAGCTCCACTGCTCTCAGTGTAGTCATTAACACCCAGCTGTTAAAGGGAATGGCTCCCTGTTTGCACTGAGCCAATTTTATGACATCCAGTGAACATGAGAGAACTGCAACCAGAACCATTTATAGACTTCATCTTAGGGCCTGCAATGATATAAATGTCTAATGCTTTTTCCAGGTGTGGGCTGGGGGAAGCTGTGTGCATAAACCTTGGGTTGAAAAAGGACTGACGTAGGAGGGTTGGGGTCACAGGAAACATGGCTGGAAACTCTGGCTGGGGAACAGGACACCTTCCTCTAGTCCTATCATGATCCTGGGCGGACCATCTCTTCTCTCTGAGCTGTTCTGCTCACCCTCCTTGTTTTTTCCCCCAAATGCCCTGGAAGAAAAGAACTAATTCTTACTCATCTTCATTTCCTTATTAATGGTTAAGGATTGGCACATAATGGGTACTCAGAAAGTATTTGAATGAATGAATGAATGAGTGAATAAACGAAGCGAATGGATGCCTCTCTTCCTTGAGGGAGGAGTAACATCTGATTTCCTCATTCCTATCTGAAACAGAGGAGGAGCTCAACTGCAAGTCTGTTGGGTGAAGACATGAATGAATAAAATGTTTCAAACCTGGGGTTGCATTTACTGAGTTGACTTAGCTGTTGTACTCAATGGTCCCTCTGCCCAGAACCTTCTTCCCCTGACTCACTCAGGTCTCAGCTCAAATCTCGCCTTCTCAGAGCTGCTGTACCCGATCACCCTATCCAAGATTTACCATCCCCTGTTCCAGTGCCTCCTGAAGCTTCATCACACTCCTTGTTCATTTTCCTTCCTGACACTTTTCTTAATATGCAATTATTGCATTTGTTTATAGTCTGTCTCCCCCCACTATGAAATAAGCTCCTTGAAAGTAGGAGCTGTGTCCGTCTCAGTCACTGCAGTACCCCCATTAAAATGTCTGGCACACAGTAAAAGTTCAATAAATATCTTTTGAATGAGTGAATAAGTGAATATGACTTCCAACCTTTTCTCTGGCTGCCAGTGTCCCCCTCTCCAGAGCTGGAGGCTCCTTCCCATTTATTCAAATATTCCAGGGCCCTTTACAATATAAAGCATCTTAAAAGTCTTTCCGGCCTTGGCTTTAGTAACCCTACACCACCTTGGCCCCCTACCCCTCTGACCACATTCCCCATCCTTCTCCTGCCCCCACAGTCCTGAATCTTCTGAATTACTGGTCATGCTTAATTATGGTACAACCATACAATAGAATAAACACTGAAAATGATGTTAAAGAAGCATGTCTATTGACATGGAAAGTCATTCACAATATATTGCTAATTAACAAGGTAATTTTATACAGGTAGTTAGATTCCATTTCTATAAAATCTCTGTGTACAGTTACATGTGAATGTATCACATAAAAACAGAGGTTTATACAAAAAAAATTTAACAGTGATAACATTTGTGTATATTCTTTGTTTATGTCGTCCTTATTTTTTATGATACTCCTGTATCCCTTATACAATTTCTGAAAATATTAAGTTAAACCACATGAAATTGCCATTTTGATAGATCAAAAACAGTAAAATATCTTCTATTTCATATGATTAGTTGAAATAAACAAAAAGAACAGAGAAAACATAAAGACTAAAAGAGCCAAGATTGCATGCCAAGGGGAACTGCGTGCAGGGAAGCCAACCCCACTCAGTAGGACCAGGTTTGGGGAAAGAGAAATGGGGCAGGTCTTTGAAAGCCAAAATGCTGAGTCACCGTGTCCAGTATTAGGACACTGAAGGTCCCTGGTCACTGCTGATTGACAGGTGCTGGGGATTATTGATTAAGCACTGAGACAGCTGGGGGCGATGGACACAGCTGGGGGCTGTCTCCGAGGACTTTTTTGTTCCTTGCCTTGGCTCCTCACATCAAGTGCCCGATTTGGGGATCATGGCACCCACTTATCATTTGAGCAGAAGTCAACTCCGTGCCACTGTCAGCAGCCTGGGAGGCTAAGTCAAGATTCATCAAAGGAAAAAGAGGAAGAGGGAGAAAAGGAGAAGGGGAGGGAAGAAAGGATATTTCTATTTCCCAAGCCCGAGTGTCAATGGCAGGTGCTTTTCCCTGGGTGCTAAGCCTTTACACACCATGGCTTCTGAAAGAGGCAGTGACGCCACACATATCTATGACACTCGTTTGAGAGTACTGAATGCTCAACGTGGGAGGAAGATGACTGATCTGGATGTTCAAAGGAGCCTGTCATGAAGTTTCACAGCAATGACTTTGACATGCTGTGGCATTTGTCAAAAGGTTTTGTTATAGATAAGACACCTCGCTCAGACGTGGGAAGCCAAAGGTGGGGAAGAGTGGGGAGAAGGTGGAGTCTCCCAGGCGTTGGTGACTCAGGGTGTGTGTGTGTGGTCACAACCAGCCCTCAGGCCACATACCAATGCTGTCCCAAACCTTTGAATGGCTAGTGTAGGCTAGCACCCACAGCTTAAAAAGGGGGCTCCATCCACCACTGAAAGGCAGTGACGGTTTAAGCTTAGATACATCTGAGGAAATGACAAGAGAGAAAGCAAATAAATATATCTGTACATGAAAAAAAAAAAAAAAAGCCAAAATGAACATGACAAGACCCACAGTTTGGGGGGAAAAAAAACAATAAATTCTACCAAAAATGACTAAAGGGCTAAAATCTTTATCAAGGGCAAATTAGTTAAGAAAGACACAAAATCAAAAAATAAGTGGGCAAAGGATATAAATTATTATGTCACAAAAAAACCGGGATTTAACAATAAGATACCATCTCACACCAGTCAGAATGACTATTATTATTAATAAAAAGTCAAAAATAACAGATGCTGACGAGATTGTAGAGAGGAAGCAACACTTATATATTGCTGGTAAGAATGTAAATTAGTTCAGCCATTGTAGAAAGCAGTCTGGAGATTTCTCAAAGAATTCAAAATAGAACTACCATTCTTCCCAGCAATCTCATACTGGGTACATACCCAAAGAAATATAAATCATTGTACCACAGATACATTCACACGTATGTTCATCATAGCACTATTGACAGTATCAAAGACATGGAACCAACACCGACATCAATAGTGAACCAGATAAAGAAAATGTGGTACATATATACCATGAAACACTATGCAGCCATAAAAAAGGAGATCATGTCCTTTGCAGCAACATGGATACAGCTGGAGGCCATTATCCTAATCGAATTAATGCGAGAACAGAAACCCAAATACCACAAGCTCTCACATGAATTGTAAGTGGGAGCTAAATATTGAGTCCACATGGACACAAAAAAGGGAACAATAGACACTGAGGCCTACTTGAAGGTGAAGGATGGGAGGATGGTAAGGATTGAAAAACTACCTATCAGAGGCCAGGCACGGTGGCTCACACCTGTAATCCCAGCACTTTGGGAGGTCAAGGTGGGCGAATCTCCTGAGGTCAAGAATTCGAAACCAGCCTGACCAACATGGAGAAACCTTGTCTCTACTAAAAATACAAAATTAGCCAGACTTGGTGGTGCATACCTGTAATCCCAGCAACTTGAGAGGCTGAGGCAGGAGAATCACTTGAACCCGAGAGGCAGAGGTTGCCATGAGCTGAGATAGCGCCATTGCACTCCAGCCTGGGCAACAAGAGCGAAACTCCATCTCAAAAAAAAGAAAGAAAGAAAAACTACCTATCAGAGGCTATGCCAATTACCTAGGTGACAAAATTATCTGTACGCCAAACCCCCGTGACGTGCAGTTTACCCATGATATACCCAACCTGCACATGTACACCTTGGCATAAAATAAAAGTTGGAAAGGAAAAAAAATCTGGATTTAACTTATTTTTTAAAAAACAGGGAATTCAACTTCACCAGCAATCAAAGAAATATAAATTAAAACAAGAAGATGTCAATTCTCTGTTGTCAAATTAACAACAGTTTTAAAGTTTAAAAGTATATAACAGCCCACGCTGATGAGGATGGAGTCATACAGGCATTCTCAATATTTACATGTGGACATGTGAATATATATATATAGGAAATTAACAATGTATAACAGAATTTGTTAAGAGTATTCAAGACCTTTGGCTCAGTAATTCTACTTCTGAGCATCTATCTTAGGAAAGCAATATTTTTTTAAAAAATTAAATTTTATTTAGAATAGTTTAAAAACTGAAACAACTTTAATCTTCAGTAATATTGGGATGATTGGGGAGATGTCAACCTATTAATTCACTTAAAATAATATTATAAAGATCTACAGTGATATGTAAAAGATATATTAATAAATTCAAACAAAAACACATAAAATGCTTATCACCTAATATTAAATGAAGAAAAATCAGGAAGAAAAAACTGCCTATGTAGTGGAATCCATACTCTGTAATAATCAAAATTAAATAGAGTAAAAAAGACAAGAAAGAAATAACTCAAAATGTAAAAAAATTAATGTGATTGGAACATCAGTGATTTAAGGGTTTTCTTCATATTCATCTTATTATCCAGTTTCTTTAATTCCTTATAATGAGAAAAAAGTAAGTAAGCTATACTTTTAACAGACAGAAAAGAACAAAGATGTCTGCAATCTCTATATCATAAATAATAAAGTGCAATGAAGCCAAGTACACGCCCGACCTGTCTGCCCCACCCTGTCTTCCTTCCCCTGAAAGCAGTTCTGGCTCACTCTGTTAGCATGGAACAAATTCACACAGTGCACAAATGTCAGCACACCCAAACAGAAGAAAAAGAAGGAAAAAAAAAAAAAAAGCACAAAATAGAGAAATCTAATGAAACATACGAAGCACCATCAACTTGATACTTAATAGAAATGCCCAAGTAAGATAAAAGCATCTGATCTTCCTGACCTGGGCTTTTTTGTTTAATCTAGAAATATTGAAAAGTGGGCAAAATAGAAAAGGATACTTGAAAAGTGGATTTTAAAAATCTCAAGGGTCTCAAGGGGATTGAAATATTCTTATCTCAAAAGAAATATAAATTTGGTACGTAAAAATTTCTCTGTGAATTTGGGGATGGGTCAATGGAGGCCGCTGTCCTCAGGCAAAAGAGAACCAGCCTTGGGAGTTTAAATCTCCACTCCTTCCTTGGCTGGCTGGATGCGCTCTGTAAGGCACGTCTTCCTTTCCCACAGGCTCAGTCTCCTCATCTGTAAAATAGGCATGCCACCTTCCTAGGTCATAACCAGGAGTCTCTGCTCATTACGACTTCTCTTTTTATTAATTTGTATTTTATTTTTCTTTAGAGACAGGGTCTCACTCTGTAGCCCAGGCTGGAGTGCAGTGGTGCAATCGTAGCTCACTGCAGCCTTGGACTCCTGGGCTCAAGCTATCCTCTCACCTTGGCCTCTTGAAGCACTGGGATGACAGGTGTGAGCCACCACATCTGACCCCACTTCTCTATTAATTAAGCAGCTCCTCTCTGCTGGAGCTGGGCAAGTGCTTCATTATTATCCTAATGAATCAATAATAAGATAGCAAGTGTTAAAAGTGTAGAGGTTACATGTATTCTTGTCTACTTTCCCTTGATGAATTGCTTTTAGATAAAGTTTGCACCCTGAATGCTAGACCCCAAGTAGCAAGGGTCCAACATGGGTTATTTGATCCAACTCTGCACTCAGGCAGGTCTTGAGTTCTCCAGTACATCTACCATGGCTTCCTTCAATCATCAGGCATTTATTGAGCACCTACTCTATGCCAAGCACTGTGCTGGGTGCTGGAGATGTACCCACAGACAAGGCAGCACTGGGCCTTGCTGTCCCAGAGTTTAGGACAGGGACAGAAACAGACCAGGAAAATAGGTCTTTGCAAGACCAACTGATATGTGAAGGATAACAAATCCCAGCTTTACCATTTACTATCCATGTGACCTTGGACACGCGATGCCACCTCTCTATACCTCACCTGTGAAGGGCGGACAATAATAGTTCCCACCTCAGAGGGCATTGAGAGGCTAAAGGGAACTAATATGTATTGAGTGCTTAGAACAGTGCTTGGCACATGCGGACATTATGGAAGCACTTGCTATGAGCATTAGTGTTCACTAATATTTGTATTAGTGTTAGTATTGACATTAAACTTAGTACTAGCCTTAAGGACAGGCACTGTGGCTCATGCCTGTAATCCCAGCACTTTGGGAGGCCAAGGCGGGCAGATCACTTCAGGTCAGGAGTTTGAGACCAGGCTGGTCAACATGGTAAAATCCTGTCTCTACTAAAAAATACAAAAAAAATTAGCAGGGAGTGGTGGTGCATGCCTGTAAGCCCAGCTACTCAGGAGGCTGAGGTGGGAGAATTGTTTGAACCTGGGAGGTGGAGGTTGCAGTGAGCCAAGATCGCACCACTGCACTCCAGCCTGAGCAACAAAGCGAGACTCCATCTCCAAAAAAAAAAAATTTAATTAAATTAAAAAATAAATAAACTTAGTACTAGCTTTAAGATTAGCATTAGTACTATTGTTAGCAGTATTTTTAGTAGTTATAGTACTGTTGTTAGTAGTTAATCAGTAGTAACATAAGCAAAGCACTGGGGATACAGAGCAAAGTTACCTTATCCAGCCTGGAGATGGGGATGAGTAGGGAAGACTTCCTGGAAGAAGTAACATTTAAGCAAAGACCTGAAAAATCAGTAGAATTCACTTGGTGAATGTGATGGTGGGAAAGTATTCTAGGAAGAGAAGACTGTGTGTGCAAAGGCCCAGAGTGGACAGAAAGCAGAATGCATCTGTACAGTTAACTCCGAGAAGGCCCTCTAAAGTACAGAGCGCTCCGAGAAATGGGGGCAGAGATAAAGCTGTTGAAGGCAGGAAGGAGAGGGCAGGTCCTGCAAGGTCTGTGGGCCAATATGGGGAGTTTAGACTCTACCTTGAGGTCACTGAGGGCTCTTGGTATGGACATTACATGATCAGATTTGGCTTTTAGAAAGACTTTTCAGGGGCCATGGGGAGGGATTGAAGGAGGGTTGGCTGGAGGCAGGGAGTCCAGGGCGGAGGCAGCTGTCATCATTAGGGGAGGGAGGATGACGATCCACCAAAGCCTTGGCAACGAGGTGGAGAGAAATGAGCGGGCCCAAGAGATTTAGAGGATACAGCAGGATGAACCCAGTGTCTGCTGGGATGAGGAGGAAGCCAGAGGAAGGCAGGCTTCTGGCCTGAGTGGCAAGGACGTGGTTTTGAGATGTTTTTAACTTCTCGGATTTCAAGTCTGAATTCATACTGAGATAATGAAGTTCTTGGAGGGCCCAGGACTGTTTTAAGCATCTGTGAATCTCAGGGGCCTGGTACACAGTGGGTGCTCAATGAATACCTCTGACTCGGGCCCTTCCCAGCCACCAGCCGTTCCACTGGGCTGAGCCACTGCCAAGCCCTTTACCACGGAAAACCAAACCGCAGTGGGTTTCCAGAAATGTGGAAAACATCCCCTCAGGAATCCACACGTCCCCACGGCTCTCCTGTGCTGCAGAGGAGTGGCAGGAGTGGGGAGCCAGGCTGGCGAGGAAGGCTCCGGGCTGGAGGTCTTGCTGCTCAGGAGAGCCGTAAGGAGCCCTCGGGGAAGGCTTGGAAGAGGGTGAGCGAGGGAAGGGCTCTCCTAGAGTTCAGGCGTGTGACCGATCCCACACATGGGCTCCATAGCTCTCAGGAGCCATGAGGAAAGGCCGGGACAGGAATGTGAAGGCAATAAAAATCTCCGACCCACCCAAAGCCGTGCACACCACAGCCCCCCCACCCAACACACACACACAGAGACCACCTCCTCACCACCATTTATCCAGCATCTGTGAGGGGCCCTGTGCCCCGTGGTTCTTGTATAGCTCTGAGGCACAGGATGACTGATAGGGAGGTGAACTCACTTGCCCAAGAACACACAGCCAGTTGGGAGGGATGCAGGATTTGAACCCGGCATGTGTGATCCTTGCTTGCTTTTAAACACCATCCAAAAGGCCAAAGTCTGGAGCTGGTGGCCATGAGGTCAACTCAGCAAGCACATGTGTTTTGTTTGGACCTGACACTGTTCTAAAAAGTGGGAAATTTCACATAAAAATCCAGGTTTCCGGCTTCTCTTTAGAAACCAGATCTGTCAACCCTAGGCCCACATTTCCGTAGGGCCACAATTGGCCGGGCTGAGGAGTGGCTTTCCCTTAGATGAAGCTGTACACTCTGCTCCGCAGCCCACGTGCCTCACTGATGTCCCCTGCCTGGTCTCGGAAGGCATTGACTTTGACTGACAGGCCCAGGAGCTCCCTCCCAGGAGACAACCCTATACCCTAAAGTAAAGATTCTGGCCCAGGTGCAGTGACTCACGCCTGTAATCCCAGAACTTTCGGAGGCCAAGGCAGGCAGATCACCTAGGTCAGGAGTTTGAGACCAGCCTAACCAACATGATGAAACCCCATCTCTACTAAAAATACAAAAATTAACCCGGTGTGGCGGCAGATGCCTGTAGTCCCAGCTACTTGGGAGGCTGAGGCAGGAGCATCTCTTGAACCTGGGAGGCAGAGGTTGCAGTGAGCCAAGATGGCGCCACTGGGTGGCAAGTCTGGGTGACAAGAGCAAAACTCCATCTCAAAAAAAAAAAAAAAAAAGATTCTGAGTTCCCTTTCTCAGCAACCTTTTGCACCCTCTTTTTTCCCATGTTGAGTGCATGATCTTTAAAGTCAGGCGGGAGACCAGTGGCTTCCCACTTCTAGCCTCAGTTTTCTCATCTCTAAAATGAGGATGTTAACAGTATTGATCTGACAGGGCTACGGAGAGAATGAGATGAGCTCCCAAATTCCGAGTTTGGGCCAAGTGAGTCCTCTCTTCCCCATTCTATGGAACAGAGTAGGTTCAGGGGTTGCTAGCAGCCACTGGGAGCCCCAGGTAGGACAACATCTGTCAGAGTGGAACTGTAACAGGCCACGTTAATGGGTTCCCTGGGCTGGATGAGATGCCACCCTGGGCTCCCACAGTCGTGGGGCTGACCCCTTTCTACAGCTTGTTGGCCTGGTGAACTTGCTGGTTCCTTCCACGTACTGCCCTTTTTAAAACACACACTCTGTGAAGGCAACAACCACGTTTTCTTCTATCTGTACCCTGAGGGCTCAGTATATATTAGGAAAATCTCTAAGTGATGGAAGGTCCTGGGCTCAGTCCTTGGACCTCTTCTCTTCGCTGTCTACACTCGCTCACTTTGTGATCTCATCCAGTCTGAAGGTTGTAGACGCCATTCCTATACCAGATTGATGCCTCCAGCCCAGACCTGCTCCTGACCCCAGACTGGATATTGAGCTGTCTTCATGGTGTCACTGCTTAAAGATCTAATGGGTGCCTTAGGCTCAACATATCCAAAAGGAGCTTCTCATATTTGTTCCCCCCAACAAAACCACCTCCACCCACAGCCTTCCCTCTCAGGTGATGGCAATCTTTCCAGTTGTGCAGGCATAAAAACAAAATCATCCTTGATGTCTCTCTTCCTCCTTCACCTCACATGGAATACTGATGGTTCTTGCCACCTCCACTACTATTACCCTGGTCCAAACCGACATTATCTCTTGCCTGGATGGTTGCAATAGCTTCCTAATGGGTCATCATCCTGCTTGGACACTTACCTCCTGACGGGCTATTTTCTACACAAGACCTGGAGTGATCATTTTGTTTTGTTTGTTTGTTTGTTTTTCAGGCAGAGTCTTGCTCTGTTGCCCAGGCTGGAGTGTAGTGGCGCCATCTCGGCTCACTGCAACATCCACTTCCTGGGTTCAAGTGATTCTCCTGCCTCAGCCTCCCAAGTAGCTGGGATTACAGGTGGGCACAACCACACTCAACTAATTTTTGCATTTTTAATAGAAAGGGGGTTTTACCATGTTGGTCAGGCTGATCTCGAACTCCTGACCTCAGGTGATCCACCCGCCTCGGCCTCCCAAAGTGCTGGGATTACAGGTGTGAGCCACTGCTCCCAGCCTCCGGAGTAATCATTTTAAAACCACAGTTGGATCATGTCTTCTCTGCTCAAAGCCCTGTGATAGCACCGTTTTTACTCAGAGTAGATGCCAGAGCTCTTCACAATGGCCTACAAAGCCGTACATGGCCTTGAGCCCTCTTTGACCTCATGTCTCTCTCCTTCCTTTACAGAGTTTCAGTGACTTGCACAAGTCCCTCAGCTAGGAAGGAAGCAAACTGGACCTAGAAGTCTGTTTGAGCTTCAGGATTCTCAATCTTTCAATTACAAAGCACAACTTCCCAGCAAGTCTCATTGCTTTTCCTGGCCTGCAGTTTCCTCACCTGTAAAATAAGATACTTCCTCCCACCTAGATTACATCTGAGGGGGTGGCATTAGACACTTTCTAATATTACATTCCACCTCCAATATTTGATGAACCTGAATGAGGCCTCAGCAGGAGCTGTGTTCTAGTCATTTCTACACCTCTGATGCCTGGCAGTTAGTAAACATGGGATGGGTGGGTGAATGGATGAGTGGATGGATGAATGGATAGGTGGATGTAGGTAGAAGAATGGATAGATGGATGGATGGATGGGTGGATGGATGGATGGATGGATGGGTGGATGGATGGGTAGGTGGGTGGGTGGATGAATGGATGGATGGACAGATGGACAGATGGATGGATAAATGAATGGTTCAATAAATAAATAAATAAATAAATAATGTTTAAGGGACATTCTGAAAGCTTAGCAAAGGAGAAAAGGGAGAGAAAACATTGCCGAAGGGGTGGTTTTTAGGAGCTCTGATTTAGAGCTGGAGGGTTAAGATGATAGCCAGGACAGAAAAGCTTCCCTTACTTACCAAATTCTCCACAGGAGACCAAACTCTGAGCTAATGGGTCATATGAGGGGCAGGTTGGAATAGAAGACAGAACACAGACTTTAGGGTTGAGGGGCCTGGGTTCAAATCTTGTCAGTGCAGGTTTCTAGTTGTGTGACTCTAAGCCCTGGTTTTCTCAGGGGCATGGGGGAATCATATAATCCTTTTTTCTTGTGGTCGTTGTGAGGAGTAGATGAGATATTAACATATATTTGTAAGTGCCTGGCACATAGTAAGTGTGAGGCAATGGTGCTGCCATCATGGCTAGGAAAGGACTCTACCAGAGACAGGGGCCTCAGCCAGACACCTCAAAGCAACTCCTGTCTTGACGCTGCCTAAGAAGCTTTGATGAGGGGTGCCAGAGGCAGAGGCCAAATGCTCTGTCTATATCTGCTGATCTCTGGCCATTGGCTAAGCGGCCCAGCTGGCTTGAGGCCTTCTAGAGTACACAGGATGGGCCAGCCTCACGCAGAGTGGGCCTGGCCACGTCCCTCCCTGACAGGTTCAGAGGGCCTTGTGAAAGAGCCAGCCACCTGCCCTGCCCCTCCAGGCTTAGGGGGAGAACTTGGCTTCAAGCTCCAGAGCCCCAACTTCTCAGGAAGCTCTCAGACATGAGGAACTTTCCGTCCACATTGCAGGAATTTTTTGCAGAAAGGGAAAAAACTAAAAACCTTCATCCTTTGGCCTCTGGGAGAATATTCCTTTTATGTGAAACTGGCAGGGAGGAAAATTCAAGATTCCTTCTCCTTCGCCTAATTGATATCAACATGAAATATTCTGGTGTTGTTTTAATAAGACTTTGGTTTTCCAGCAAGAGTAGGGGAAAAAAAGAAAAAAAGATCTTCTCCTGGACCAGAATATTTTTAGCGAAAATATTTTGCTTGCATCCTCCCTGCCCCCTCCCTTCCCTGTTCCTGCCTGGCTTCAAAGGCACAGCAGCGCCGTTCTGGGGTGCTAAACAGCGGCCCACACTCGGCAGCCCCCTCCTCCCGTTGCATGGCAGGCCGGCCGGCCAGAGAGTGCCAAGCCAGGAAGATATTTTTTCCAGAAGCGGCATCTGGCTGCTTGGCAGCCGCACAAGCAGTTGTGCTGGCAGCCAGGGCTGGCCGGGGTCTGCCGTGCGTTTAGGCTGCTGCCTCTTCTGACTCTCTCTCACAAACACAGTGTTCTCTCTCCCAGGCTGGGCCTCTCCTGTTCTCACCCCTCACGAGGATAGGGGGACCTTAGAGCACCTGGGGGCTTTGCCCCTGGCCTCCCGACAGGATCTGACATGGGAGGCCCACCTGAGCTTCATCTCTTGCCAACTTGCCCTTGGGCAGGTGGTTTAACTCTTCTGAGCCCTCAGTTTCCTCGACTGCGAAAAGGGAGTCGTCAGCACCCACATGAATGAGGCTGTCTGTCTGCTCTGGCCCCTGCCTGACTCCCCGAGAGAATCTCTTACATGCTTCCCATCACACGTGAAAGTCCCTGAAAGCATGGCCTCTGCTTTCTCAGGCTCTCAAAGCCTTTGCCATCCCAGAGCCTTTGCACTTGCTGTGCCCTGCCCACCTCTGCCCACCTTTCAAACAGCTGACTCCTGGCACTTCAGCTCAGAACTCAAAAGCCACCTCCTTCAAGACGCTCCCTGGATTCCCCATCTCCAGCAGCCCCTCCTGACCTGTGATCCCAGCTCCTGGCGCTCTCCCGCAGAGCAGCTATCACAAACCGCTCCGTGCATCTGGTCTTCACTCCTCTGCCATCCCAGGCACAGGGCTCCATGAGAGCAGGTTTCCCATCTGTCATGTCAATCATCAATCCCAAGCACCTTGCATAAGACTTTCCCAATGACATGTAGATGAACGAAAGGGCCCCCAGGCCCACTGGACATGTCTCTTGCATCTCCCATTGACAGCCCTTGGGGGTCATGATGTCCCCAACCCACCCCCTCGGAGAAGGGAAGGAAGGAGGCCAGCTTCCAGTGTATGCCTCCTCCCCGCAAAAGAGGAATTATTATCGCTGATATACAAATGTGGATTCTGAAAAGTTGAGGGGCTGGCCTGTTGTCACACAGCCAAAGTGTAGCCAGCTCTGCCTAACCCCATTGCCCTCCTTCTTCCACTCCCCACAGCTGGTCCTACCACTGTGCCATGTGAGCTGTAGGCTCGGGTGTGATGCTGTAAGGAACACTGATGACAGCTCCCATGCAAAGTCCTTGTGCCATGCTGGGTGCCCTCCATCCATCATCTCATTAAACTCACAACAGCATTACAAACGGGGATCATTAAATCTCATTGTATAGGTGAGAACACTGAGGCTCACAGGAATGAAATGGTCTCCCTGGGCACACAAAGGAAGTAGGGGAGTTCCTTAAGTGCTGAATGGAATGGACCCACTGCTAAAGTGAGATCCCATTAACATGTGTACCATGCTTTCTGATGCACCTTCAACATCCGCTATTGACCACACAGCTAGCATGCACCTGCGCTCAACAATTAGTCATTGCATAGATGAATGGATGGATGGATGGATGGATGGATGGATGGATGGATGGATGGATGAATGGTTGGATGGATAAATGAATGAATAGATCCAGAGCTGACATATGAATCTTGATCCATATCAAAAACCAAAGTCCCAACTGAGCACAGTGGCTCACATCTGTAATCCTAACACTTTGAGAGGCCAAAGCAGGAGGAATGCTTGAGGCCAGGAGTCCAAGGCCAGCCTGGGCAACATAGCGAGATCTTGTCTCTACAAAATAATCTTTTAAAAAATTAGCCAGGCATAGGGACTTGCAGCTATAGTCCCAGCTACTCCAGAGGCAGAGGCAGGAAGATCGCTTAAGCCCAGGAGTTTGAGAGTTTGAGGCTGCAGCGAGCTTCGATCCTGCCACTGCACACTATCTTGGGTGACGACAGAGCAAGAACTTATCTCAAAAAAATAAAAAGAACCAAGGTCCCAATTCTGGCTCTACTCACCATCCGAGGCCTAGACCAGGGTCTAAAACCCGTGGATGCCCAGACGCCAGCTTCAAGGAATACAGACTCCCCAGGAGCTGGCCCCACAATGAAACCATTGCAAGCAGCCCTCACAATTCTGTCTCCCATCCTCGTCACCCCATAGAGGGGCCGGGGTCAGAAATGATGATCATGGCTAATCCAGTGAGTTCTCCAGCCACCTTCTAAGTGGTCACCCAATTCTACCTCTCCTTGAGTCATCTGAATGAGAATGTTGGAGAGTAACCTGAGACCGCAGGGAAATGGAGGCACAGAGAGGGGAAGGGACTTGTCAAGGTCAGTCAGCCTTGGTTCCTGGGGTTGAGCTTGATCTGCATGGAAAGAGCCTCAAACACCATTTTGTGCTAGCTCCCTGGGATCCTTTGCCTTGAGTACATTTTTATAGCTCCTTCTTTGCAGACGGAGTGCTTGGGGCCCAGACACAGTCCTTGTGCCTGTGGAGGGGCAAGCTGATCAGCCTCGAGACAGCCTCCAGCTTCACCGGCAGCCCTGACAGCTTATCAGACCCAATCAAACACACATCCAAAATGGTTTTCTAGGCCAGGGAGGAGGGTGGAATATTCATCCGGTCAAGCAAAGTGTCACACTGGTTGTCCATACTCTCAGCCTGGTATTCAGAGCACACCTCTCTGCGTTTCAGTTCATCTCCTAGCTTTACACTGTTGGCCTTCCAGCAGGGCTATAGCCACTGCAAGACCTTTGCAAATGCTATCTGTCCTTTCTGCCTGGAGGCACGTTCCTGCTTTATCCCTTGTAGAATTCTCACTCCTCCTGTAATGCCACCTTGGAGGCCCCACCCTTGAACTTTCCTCCTACCTGGCTCCTCCCACTTCTCCATCCCAGCATTCTGTTCCATCATGGCCTTGTGATGGAGTTGTCTCCTGCCCTGGACTGTGAGTTACGTGCAGAAGAAACCTTGTCAAATAATCTTGTTACCCATCCCCTCACTGGTCAATCCCAGCACCTGGCACATTTAAGGGTCTGTCCCTGATGTCCTGACTCTCTGAAGGCTTGACCTCTCCTGCAATCACCGAGCTCTGTTCTGAGATGTGATTTGTTCTGAAATGTTCTTACTAACTTGGGTGAATCCTCTGTACTGCAGAGGAATGCAGCCCTTTAGCAGCTTTTTCAGATGACTCACTAGGGGCTGAGGATGATTAAGGGAGCATTAATGTTACTCTTTTCTCTCCAGTTCCTAAAACCTCCCTGGCCTGCTCACAGATGTATTCCCAGCACCCGACACCAGGCTGGCACAGGCCTTGTTTCTTGCAAGAGGAAGAAATGAATAAAGGCAGCTCTCAGCCCAGCAGCCCCTAAGCTGTCTACATCTGCAGCTTTCCCTATCTCCTAGGGTGACATAACACAAATGTCACAGGTTGCAAGCTGAAGAGGCCTGGGGTTGAATCTTAGTTCTGCCTCCTCCCACAGTGAGAAGGTGGGCAAGTTCCAGGAGTGACAGTGCAGAATGCTGGAGCTTGCTGGAGACTTAAAGGTGCGATGGCACAGAGGCACGGGGCATGACTGCAGCTTGGGAAAGGTCTGTCCCACCCTCCCCCCATTGCCCTCCCTCATACCTCCCCCACATCTCAAGGGCCTTTGTCTGTTCCCATCTGCCTCTGCCCTGGGCAGAGGCTGCCCTGCCTGCCTGCAAGCTCTGCCTGCTGTTGCGGGGCAGGTGGGTCTGGGAGGGCCAGGCCCGGCCATTTCCTCCCTTCCCTTCCCGCCCCGCCCGCCTGCCTGCAGCCAGCTGTGGGGCAGACATTCCTAGGCCTGCTCATTGATATTCAGGAATGGAACTTGAGCCGGCTCCGGGTGCCCAGAGCGGGCAGGCGCTCAGACCCTCTGCTTGGGTTCTTCTGCCCATATTGGGAGGACCTCAACAGCCTCACCAGCCAGAAAGAGCATCCCAGGCCACCGACTCCAGCAGTTGGATGGCAGGGGAAACTGAACCCTGAAGTGGGGACCCCTCAACAGCCCCAGGGCACGCAGGAGTCTGGGGGTGTGGGTGGCTGAGATCTCCCGACTCGCTGCACAGTGCTCATTCTCTGCCAGCCGCCTGAGTTGCAAAGTGTCCCCAGAGCTTCCTGCTCCTCCAGGTGCTTCCGAGTCCTTCCCAGCCCCACACTGCTCTCCGGAGGCCCTGCCCAAGGCCCCATGGAGGGAGGGAGCTGGATCCCAGGCTGGGCTGGCCGGCCTTCCCACACTGTCTCAGCGGGAAGACAGGAGGCTCCTCCCTCCCAGCCGCAGATTGCCAAGCCTCCACCTCACACCTCTGGGTTTTTGCAGATGGGCTTGTTTTTCCTTGGGGTGTGAAAGAGCTGGTTGGTCATCGAAGGGGCCTCCTCCCCTCCAGGCAGCTGCTCAGGCCAGCCACAAACTCCCATCTCCCCAGGAGATGGCCCCTGACCCAGGGGTCACAGGGTGGGGAGGAGGTGGTACCCTCCCAGGACCAGCTGGGACGGGCCTTAGGGGGCCCAGCCCCGAGGACTGAGGCTCCCACCCCAGGAGGTGGCAAAAAGCCCCCTCCATTGCTCCTTGGGAAGCAAGATAAGCACCTTCCCCCCACCCCGTAGGTCCTTCTCACACTTCTCAGCTTCAGCTGAATCCTGTTGGACTCAAGTGTCCACAGGAAGGACACAGGACAAGGCCTCACATCCCTGTAAGGGGGTCCATCCCCTCATACACAGTTCTACAAGCTCCTATCCTCATGCTTTCTGCACAGTCTCTCCCCTGGCCCAGCTTCCAGCCTTCCCTCCTTCCAGAACCTTCTCCCAGGACCCTGAAGAACCCCAGCCCCACAAACAGCACACTGCCTCGCACACAGCTTCCTCCTCTTCCCAGCTCCTCCCTTCCATGGCCTTGGGGAGCCCCCTCTGCCTTGGGGACATCATTTCCTCCCCTCCCTCCCAAGAGAAGGCTGGCTTTCCTCTCTCACCTCAGGACAGGAGACAGAGGCGGTGTCCCCTTGCTTCCATGGCCACTTTCTGGCCTATGCTGCCCACACCTTCCCAAAAACACCTGCTCTCTCAGGACACAGGCTGTTTGCAACATCTCACCCCCCTCACTTGTCCACAGCCTCTTGGGCACTCTTCACTCCCTGAGGAGCCCCCCAACTGCATCTCTTGCCATTGCCCTGGGTCGCTTTGACACCCTCACAGACATCCCTCTCAATGTCCTGGCCCCTCTGTCTTGGACTTCCTCGTCACCAGTGCCCCTCCTCCACCCCGAATCAGCCATCAGGACTAGTCATCACAGAAACTGCACCACTTCCACCATCAAGGACCCAATCAGTACCTTCTTCACCGGCAGCCCTCTCTCTGTCTCTGGGGCTCGGGAGCTCCTGTACTGCCCGCTCCGTCCCCAGACTGTTCTCAAACACATCTCTCTCTGCCTCTGAGAGTTTCCACCCCATGGCTGCAGCCCAGATTCCACGGCCAGCACGGTCATCCCTGTCTGCCCTCTCTGCCTCCGCCACCCCCACCTGCCTGAGCTGCAAGCCTGGGTGACCCTCCAACCCACACCCCTGCTCCTGTGCCTGAACAGCTGAGCTGGGCCAGAGACACTCACCCTGAGGGGCAGCTGGCCTCTGTGCTCCCAGTCCCTGGCCCGCACTGGGTGATCCGCATCGCTGGCAGCCTCTCCCTGGGCCCCAGCCGGCTTCCTTTCCCTCTCTCCACCACGGCCGCCGCATCGTTCCTTTCCTCTCCTCGACCCACCCTCAACCTCAGCCTCAGCAAACTCCTCCCGACCCTCAGGAAGTGGTCTTGTCTTGTCTTGATCTTCATAAAGAAAATGGAG